>NC_000002.12:112641133-112944163 GCF_000001405.40 Homo sapiens
TGGGCCTTGGGGAAAGCGAGAAGTCCCAGTTTAAGTCACCAGAGACGTCTTCCTAAAGAAGTATTCAGGATGCTGTGCTATCCAGAAGCTGGCTCCAGAGACACCTGGACCATTTCAAGCTCTAAGAACTGTGCTTCTGTTCCCTCTGCCTGGCTCCTATGCCATATCACACCCACATGTGTGAACTCAAAGCCAAAGGGAAGAGACCAGGCCATGTGCAGCCAGGACAGAGGCATGTAAAATCTAGAGAGGGTGGGCCAACCTCCCATACTCCTGTGTTGGCGGAGAAATAGACCCACCAGTTTGTCTGGCACAACCAAAACTCAGCTTTCTTGCCATGGGATGCTGGCCTGAGACCAGTCACAACCAGTCTCAACCAGTCTCCATATCAGGGCTTGGCTGTCTGGGTGCTTTCAAGCACCCTTCCCCCACCTGGATCCCAAGCATCCCTTGGACTCTGCCAGGACAGAGCCACAGATGCCGGGGGAAATGGGAAATGACTGGAGACACAGAGGACAGCCACATTCAAAGCTGGTGGGAAAGTGGTGGTGGTGACATGTGGCCCTTGCCTGAAACATTATTTTGAATTTATTTCCTGTAGGAATTGACTACAGGTGGGTTTTGTCTTGCAAGATAGGTTTCCTTTCTTGAGAAATCTCAAGAGAACAGAGTTTTCAGTAACTCTAAGACACGGTTAGGCCACTGCAACAACTTTATTTCTGGAGAGAACATGTGCTCTGGCTTCCTGCCTCTTCCTACTCTGGGGAAACTGGGGCCAATCTCGAAGACTGATCTCCTAGAAATGTCCTTTTTTATTCCAACAGGGTTTGATGCAGCTCAAAATACAGGCTGTAAAAGCAACAGAGTTAATAAAAAGGAGGGGGAAAGAAGGAGGAAGTAAATGTGTTAAGTGCAAATAAGAGTTGGCACCTAGGGCAATCATACTTGCCTCAGTACTTGCTGGCATCCTGGGAAAAGGCACTTACAATCTTGAAATTTGTTAGGTTCTTCGCAGCTTTAACTGCCGCTTCCTTCTCTGTGCCTCCGTTTCTCTGTCTATAAAGTAAGGGGAAAATACCTCATCTGAGATTTATTGAGAGCATCACCTGAGATAATCCATGCAGAGCACCTGAAATAGTACCTGGCACACAGTAAGCATTCAACTGCATCACAGATATTATTATTATTATTATTTTGAGATGGAGTTTTGCTCTTGTTGCCCAGGCTGGAGTGCAATGGCACGATCTTGGCTCACCGCAATCTCCGCCTCCCGGGTTCAAGTGATTCTCCTGCCTCAGCCTCCCAAGTAGCTGGGATTACAGCCATGCACCACCGTGCCCAACTAATTTTTGTATTTTTAGTAGAGACAGGGTTTCTCCATGTTGATAGGCTGGTCTCGAACTCCCGTCCTCAGGTGATCCACCCGCCTTGGCCTCCCAAAATGCTGGGATTACAAGCTTGAGCCACCATGTCCAGCTACAGGTATTATTATTACCTCATTCATCTGGGGATGGGGAGGGCATTGGTGGGTGGAGAGGAGCTGGTTCTCCTTTACTCCAAGGCTCCTACCTTCTCTTCCCTGGATGTTCTCGCCCCTGCTCCCATGCAAGTCCTCACAGACGGCCTCTGAAGCCGCCTTTGTTCCTGGTCTGGTTCCACAACGTTCCCATGCCCACTTGAGCTCCCTCTACTCCAAGTAGACTATTTCCAGGATGAGTACTTCAAGTACATCGAACAGTGACCTCAAATGCATTTCCTTGACTGTGCCTCTCTGAACTAAAAAGTGCAGAAATGTCATTGCTTCCTTCTTTTGTCTGGTCTTCCACAGGGCTAGGTTGGGATCCGGGGGGAGAGTAGCTTTCCTAGCTCTCAGCAGCTCAACTCCACCGAATTAGTGAACGATGGACATGTCCCCAAGAGGACTCTAAACCCACAGTCCCCAACATGGTGTTCTGCAGCATGCCACAGGTCATCTTGTTCTGTCCTCTCTGAGGGTGAGGTTGGAGAGGGACCCTAGGCTCACAGGCTCAGTGACAGTGACTCACCAAAGATCCTGTGGGCAGTCAGGGTCTGGGCCAGGCCAGTGAGCCCATTCATATGGCATGAGCCACAACACTGTTCCTCTTCCTCCGGCAGCAGCCCGTTTTGCGTGTCCCCTCACTATGAGCCGTGGGAGAAATTTGAAAGGGCTTGGATCAGAGGGCAGGGAGAAGAGGGTGGTCCTGACATCTGACACATACTTCATTTTAAACATGGGCTATGTATGACAGGCCTTCAGCTAGTTATTGAACAAAGAGAATAAGAGCCCTTTTACAAGGGCTTTACATATATTCATTCATTTGGTCCTCACAACAGCACTGTGAGTTAGAAGTCTCAATCTCACCCCTTTACAGATCAGGAAACTGAGGCAGATAATTTATTTGCCTATGGTCACAGGACTAGTGAGTGACAGAGCAGGTGGTTTGGTCTTACAGTCTATGTGTTTAACCACTACACCAAACCACCTCCCTAAGATGCTAGAGGGGGTTTGTGCCAATGCCTGGATTCTAAGAGATTAGATTCTCTTTAGGATCTCTGACCTGTTTCCTCAGCATTCAGAGATAAGGCCAGAAACAATGCCATTTGTGCACGAACTGACAACTGACGGTCCTCCTACCTCCTATTTCTATTTAAAAGGCACTGTAACTTCTTTCCACAGGCAGATCCCTACCTCTCCTCCCTTAGGGGAGGACGAAGGTGTCCCAGCCAAGGAAGATCCTGGTCTCCAAGGGCTGTACCCTACTGATCCGGAGGCAAAGCAGTGAGGGCCCACCCCAATTCCTCACCTCCCATTCTACTCTTCGGCAGAAGCATCTCAGTGTTGGAAAGATAAGGATTTCTTCCTAAAAAGGAAGGATTACACTATATCAGAGTCTGAAGATACAGTTTTCATTTGCAACGCAAGGGAATTCCTTTGAATCTCTACCTTATGATTTCCCTGCAAACCCACTCCGATGGGGCTGGAGAGTGCTCTCTCACTCAGATGAATCTCTCAGGGGTTGTCCAGCAGGTGTTTGCCAACTTGAAGAGCTACCTACTATCACAGACCTATAAAAGTACGCCTGTGGACAGACTGAAAACAAACAAACAAAACACACACACAAACACACAAAACAACCGCACACTGGGAGAAGTTCTAGGCAATTTCCTTGCAAATAACTGCTTTGAAAATTACTGTTTTAAATTGGCAGAACACTAAGGACTTTGAACAGATCATCCCTTTTACTCAATGTTTTCATAACCTTGAAGTGAAGGTGGAGGGAGCAGTACGTTTTAAGGTGCCAGGATTACACTACGGGGTCAGTGCTCCCGGATATGAACTTTCTTTTTCAGACCGACCTTGGGACCTACAGCTTTGTAAGTTACTCATACAACTCCATCAAATGTTACAGGTAGGTCAGAGGACATTCAGGTTGTTTAAGCCTCTATAAATGACTCAGGCAGCAACAATTTACAACGTCTTTGTTTCTGCTATGCAGTGCCCTCCTGCTAGAGATGGCAAAAATGTGGGGAGGGCTTCAGAGCATTCTAAGCCTGGTATTTCTGGCTGGAATTTTTAAATCTCACTACAATCCTGACAAGAGACCACGACCTTAATCTCCCACGGCATGACTGGTTAGTCTTGATCGTAAGCCATATAATCAACACCCAAATGTGCATAACACATCTAAATAATGTCAAAACTACACTATATACCACGCAGGGGACCAGAAATCAATCTTTACCTCAAAAGGATAAGCTTCCAGGATGCAATAACATCCCCTTCCACCCTTTTCTACACCCTAAAACAGTAATATTCACGGTAACAGCAAAGCGGAAATCAGCTTTTCCTGAACATGTACTGAATTCTAGTCACATTCACACACGTTAATTCATTTAATTCCAGCCACAAGGTAGGCAGCCTCTGTTAACATTTTACAATTGTGAGAACGCAGAGATCTGGGACTGGCTCAAGGTGACACACTGCAGCAAGGAGTCAGAATTTGAATCCGAAGCAGTGTCCTTCCCCCTCGCAACAGCTGCGGCGTTACAAACACAGGTCAGCCACGGAGAAATTAATGACCCACAGCCATCCTTGCAGCTCTGCGCCATAACTGGGGAGACAAGCTGGTTCCCGTGACTCTTCAGTCTGTTTTCACCCAAGTGCATGACTGCGGGAGCAAAGCGACCACGTGAGCATCCCCCCCCCACCCCCCCGCTTCCCCCAGGCGAGGGACAGTGCCAGGCCAAGGACAAGTCACAGGTGCAACAACGTGCCAGAACTGGATCCGGAGCCCCAGGGCGCAAGATCTCCCGCAGCGTCACCCGGCAGAGGGACGGGTGTGGCCACCGGGCGCGGCAGGTCCTGCGTGCGCTGAAAGTGCGGCTGGAGGCGCGGACGGCTTTCCGGAGCCCCGAGAGAGGAGCTAGGAATGACTTTGGTCGCAGCCTCTGTAACCCCGCATGACGGCCTCTAGGGGGACAGCGAGGTCCCCCTCGATCTCTGGCTGTAATCAGCCGGCGGGGCCAGACGGTGCCGAGACTCCAGGGCGAGGCCGCAGGGAGGGGGCTGTCCCGCCCCACGTGGACCGGCTCCCCGCTGGGGGCGTGGCCGCCGAAGCGGGCCGGGCCAATGAGCGCCACCGTCGGGCTCACCCGGCTGGGCACGCCGGGCCGAGGAGGGCTGCGTCATGCCGGGGGCGGGGCTTCGGGGCCGGCGCGAGGCGCGGCGGGGTCACGCGGGTCGCTGCGCGGGCTATAAGTAGGGGCCGGCGGGGTGCTCCGCTGGAGTGATGGCTGCCGGCGCTCTCTGCGTGGTTCTTCTTCTCGGCCGCTGAAACCCCCGCGGCTGCTTCCTGGGAAGGTCGTGAGTCCCGCTGAGCTGTCCCCGGTGCCGCCGACCCGGGCCGTGTGCCCGTGGCTCCAGCCGCTGTCGCCTCGATCTCCTCGTCTCCCGCTCCGCCCTCCCTTTTCCCTGGTGAGTAGTGGCGCCGCCTCGTAAAGGCTCTTTCTTCTCCCCGGGGCCGGGCGCGGACGCCGTGGCGCTGGAGGCGGACGCCGTGGGCGGCGCGGCTGGCTTCTCTCTTCGCCGCTGGCCGCCTCCACTCCGCCCGTCTGCCCGCCCGCGGGCCTTTTTGGCGGTCCCCGGGCGGCGCGCGCGGGAACGGCCCTTTTCCGATTTTCGCGCGGAGGGCGCGCGCGGGCTGGCAGCGCAGGGGCTGGGCTGGGCGCGCGCGGGCCGCGGAGGACCCGGAGCCACGTGCCTCTCCTTCTCGCGCGTCCTACTGGGGATGGGGGTCTGGAGTAGCCGGCAGAGGCTATTGCGGGACCCCGGGCGCGTGGGTAGAGCGGGGTGCCCCACTGGCCCCCCAGGGGCACGCAGCTATTGTTATTTCCCCCCTCCCCCGCAGGATGAACTTGCGTCCTTTCTCTTCTCCGCCATGGAATTCTGCTCCGTGCTTTTAGCCCTCCTGAGCCAAAGAAACCCCAGACAACAGATGCCCATACGCAGCGTATAGCAGTAACTCCCCAGCTCGGTTTCTGTGCCGTAGTTTACAGTATTTAATTTTATATAATATATATTATTTATTATAGCATTTTTGATACCTCATATTCTGTTTACACATCTTGAAAGGCGCTCAGTAGTTCTCTTACTAAACAACCACTACTCCAGAGAATGGCAACGCTGATTACCAGTACTACAGCTGCTACCGCCGCTTCTGGTCCTTTGGTGGACTACCTATGGATGCTCATCCTGGGCTTCATTATTGCATTTGTCTTGGCATTCTCCGTGGGAGCCAATGATGTAGCAAATTCTTTTGGTACAGCTGTGGGCTCAGGTGTAGTGACCCTGAAGCAAGCCTGCATCCTAGCTAGCATCTTTGAAACAGTGGGCTCTGTCTTACTGGGGGCCAAAGTGAGCGAAACCATCCGGAAGGGCTTGATTGACGTGGAGATGTACAACTCGACTCAAGGGCTGCTGATGGCCGGCTCAGTCAGTGCTATGTTTGGTAAGTTCTTTTTATGTTTTGTCCTCTTCGTGGTGGGTGAGCAAATTTGTATCATGGGTGGTTCCATTTTTGTGCATAACCTTTCCGATTAACCTTTCTGAATGTGCCACTTACATAATGGAATTTTGATATTTACTTAATAAAACTTTACTATGTTTCAGGTTCTGCTGTGTGGCAACTCGTGGCTTCGTTTTTGAAGCTCCCTATTTCTGGAACCCATTGTATTGTTGGTGCAACTATTGGTTTCTCCCTCGTGGCAAAGGGGCAGGAGGGTGTCAAGTGGTCTGAACTGATAAAAATTGGTATGTTTAATTCCAAACGGCTTCTTAATTTTCGTTTTCGTCATATGTTACCATGGCATTAGGTATGGGAGGATGTGTTCTAACGTCGAGGGACAGACCCAAGAATTTTGAACTCTTAAACATTTAAAGTGGTTTTTGGTTTCTGATTTTCATTATTTGATATTTTTTCTTAATGTGTTCTATTCCAGTGATGTCTTGGTTCGTGTCCCCACTGCTTTCTGGAATTATGTCTGGAATTTTATTCTTCCTGGTTCGTGCATTCATCCTCCATAAGGTAACCTTTCTCCCCCGTATGAAGACCTTTCATGGAGCACACCCAATCGATTTCAAACCCAGTGGTACTTTTGCAGATGTGATTGGTGTATAGGTATGCGGCCTTGGAAAATTTTAAAAAGCTCTTTGTTCTGTGCATTTCTTGTATGTTGTGGAGTTCTCTGAAAGCGAGTTTTTAATACTCAAGAGGGCAGTCAGGAAGGAAAAATTGAATACTATGATGTGCCAAGAAGTAGGAGAAACTGGGAGCAAAAAAATAAGGAAATTTATTTTGCGTGGTTTTGTGTAGCTGTATACACATTATTTGTTTAAACCACTGTTATATTCAGGCTAATATAATACGTAAACTTGGAGTTCAAGACAGTGTCCCCTGTGGCTTTTTTAACTAAGCTGCCAGTTAAATGGGTCTCTGCCGTGCTGATTATCATAACCAGTTTATAAGCTTCTAGATGAGGACTCTGCCTCCCATAGTGACTTGACTCCAATTTCTCAGAATAGTTGAAAAGAACCAGTTAAAGGTAGTTTTTGGCCCGCCCCCCAAAAAAACTTCAGGCAGCCATTTAATTTCCTGTCCATTTGAAAATCCCTTTTAAGTGACCCAGTTTGCATTTCTTTTATCAAGAAGTCTTGCTGGCTGCAAAATAAATGTTGACAAGGGATTATGTTGGCATAGGACTGAGTTACAGTGAGGATAAATGCATTTTTCTCAGGAAACAAAGTTGTCCTTTTTCTAAGGTGAATGGCTCTTAACAATCCATTGTAAGTTCTTAAAAGTGTTCCTAAACTGTAGAAATCTGAGGGAGATAGCATAAATCCCAGCAGGTAAGAATGTATTCAGACCCACTTGTCTGGTCTAGTTGTAAGCTTCTCTAGGGAAAGATTTGTCTCTTCTCTGTAGAAATTCTATGACTAGTAAAGTGATTCACTAATCACTGTTTTCCATAGCCAGAATCTGGCAGAATATAGCAGTTTAACACTTTGAAAACTTGAAATATCTTTAGCCTGGTATAATATGAGAGTAAACAGTTCATTGATATTTATGGACTCCTAAGTTTGGTACTGTTTTATTCAGCAGACAGGTACGATAAGCATCTACCTTCCCACTCCCTACAACTGTAGTGTATGATACTGGGATGCTTAAATTAGAGGCTCACCAGTAGTCATGGACCAGATTTTTTTGTTTTTTTTAGAGTTTTCATTAGAACTGTATATCTTGCTACTTAGCAGAGAGTCAGAAGCATTAGTAGGATCTCCTGTTGTGAATTCCTGCTTGGTAAAGGTTTATGCTGGCCCTGTGTTGATTATTGAGTAGCAGATCATTTTGTTTTTGGAGAGGGTTTGTGTGTTTCACCTCCACAAAACACTTATTCCCCGGAAGGGGAATGGTGGTGCTCTGAGGTGCAAAGAGGGATTCTCAGGTGCCCAGAACCTCTCATTTGAGGAATGCATACCCCCACGGTGTTATTGAGGGCTGAAGTTAGATACGGTAACTGATTTCTTAATTGTATATTTCCTATATGGGTATGGGAATGGGCATGATCAAATGATGAAGAATGATTGGCATAGTGTTTAAAACAATATTGACTTTGAGGATCTTCCCCCACTCTGTGCACGTGCACACACACACTCTTGCAGGCCAATCCCTCAGTAACAGGAGTTTTCAGTTGAGTATGAATATTTCTGCTTCCTTTTAGGAGTTAAATTTCAAGAAAATATCCTTAGACTGGTAAGCTTTTGGTATCTTAACTGCTAAAATCTGAATATTTGACCATTAAGATATATTCCAACTCTTAAATGTCTATCTTGAAAATTAAGATTAACATGACCTTTTTTTTTAATTTCAAAAAATTGCTTTTAAACATTTTCTATTCTCTGAATGTTTGTTCCAAGCATGTTGGGGATAGGTGGGAACAGACAGAATGGAGGTGAGGTACTTCTATTTAGGACTGGCATCGCACAGAAGGAATATGCTTCAGTGCTCCTGTTGAGTATTTTTAAATTCTAGTCAAAGAAAATAGGGCTTTTGGCATTCTCATTAGTTAGAAATATATTTAGGATGTCTTCCCTTTTCTTTAGACAAAACCAGAATATCCAATATGTAAAAGTGAACTATTCTGGTGAAGATGGGGGGTTTTGTGAAGACCTTTCCTGTCCCACATGACTAGACGATGAGGCATTCACATTATTTCCAGGTGAAGTTTTACTTGTGTGTTAGGTGGATCTCTACAATGATGAGACCTTTCTTGTTTTACCTTCTTCCTAGACTCTCTGGAACTTTTGATTTTTTTTTAACCATGAACCTGTATTTCACAATAAACTATTGGTATAGTAGTGTCATTCATACCCTACCCCATCCCCAACAACTTTGCGTAGAGAATACCTCAGATTTGTTTACCTCAGGGAATACTTAATTGGGCTATGCTATACAGGATAATAAATACACAGGCTGCTACTTCAGACTAGTCAATTACAATTTGATTTATGGATAATCATATTACGAAATATCTTTGAAAATCTATTGAGAAGTCCCCACATAATGTCTTTAAAACCCAGGAAATTTTTGGGGGTGGGAGTCTTGGGTTGGGTTTTTTGGAGCCTTTTTTTTTTTTTTTTGAGACGGAGTCTCACTCTGTTGCCCAGGCTGGAATGCAGTGGCACGATCTGGGCTTACTGCAACCTCCGCCTCTCGGGCTCAAGCAATTCTCCTGCCTCAGCCTCCTGAGTAGCTGGGATTACAGGCGCCACCACACCCGGCTAGTATTTTTGTATTTTTGGTAGAGACGGGGTTTCACCACGTTGGTCAAGCTGGTCTTGAACTCCTGACCTCAGGTGCTCTGTCCGTCTTGGCCTCCCAAAGTGCTGGGATTACAGGCTTGAGCCACTGCACCTGGCTTTTTTTTTTTCTTAAGCGAAGTCTCGCCTGTCACCCAGGCTGGAGTACGGTGACTTAATTGTAGCTCACTGCAGCCTTGACCTCCCAGGCTCAAGTGATCCTCCTGCCTCAGCCTCCAGAGTAGCTGGGACTATGGGTGTGTGCCACCACATCTGGCTAACTTTTTATATTTTATAGAGGTGGAGTCTTGCTCTGTTGCTTAAGTTGGTCTTGAACTTCTGGGCTCAAGCCATCCCCTGCCTCATCCTCCCAAAGTGCTAGGATTACAGACAGACATGAGCCACCACCACACCTGACCTGCATTTTCTTAAGACTAGTCTTTAGAATAAAAATACACACCTTAGTTTCCTAATCTTGTTGACTGCCCTCAGAGTTTGACCACCGTTGAGTTAGTTATTCAAGGATGCTTAACAGTTCTTGATTTCTGTATGCTATTGTTTTTGTTTTGGCTATTTCACTATCTGTTAACATTCTCTATTAAACTATAGATAAGAGTTAAATTTTAGAGTGGTTTTCAATGAGTGCTCATCTCTGCTAATTTGAAATGGTACCTTTACTTTACACATGGGTCTGAGCTTTCCCTTGTTTCACTGGTCTTAAGCTACTAACTTTCCAGTGTATTGATTATTGTTGGAAGCTGTAGGGTTTTACTTTCTGTTTTTCCTCCCCAAGATTTTCCACTGGAATTGTGATCAAGATAACATTAAACCTTTTAGGCTAAGGTCTTTATAAAGTTTTTAGCCTTCCCATATATGTATTCAGATCTTTGCTCCCAATTTTTTTTTTTTTCTGAGATGGAGTCTTACTCTGTTGCCCAGGCTGGAGTGAGGTGGCCCAGTCTCCACTGACTGCAACCTCTGTCTCCCAGGTTCAAGTGATTCTCCTGAGTCAGCCTCCAGAGTAGCTGGGACTACAGATGCTTGCCACCACATCCGGGCTAATTTTTTTGGTATTTTTAGTAGAGACAGGGTTTCACCGTATTACCCAGGATGGTCTCGATCTCCTGACCTCATGATTGTCCTGCCTCGGCCTCCCAAAGTGCTGGGATTACAGGTGTGAGCCACCGCGCCCAGCCTCCTCCCATTCTTTCGGTGTTTGACTTGGGTGTTCTCCTATAGAATTAATACATACTAGGTATGGTAGAATTCTTATTTTTAGTCACTGGCCTTACTGTTCCTTAAACATTTCAAGTTTTTGCCTTAGGGCCTTTGCATTTGCTGATATCTCTGTCTGGAACATTCAGCGCCCAAATAATCAGGTGGTTTGCCCCTTCTGTACCCATAGTTAATGTACACAGCTTGCTAGCTTACTACATTTATGTCATGCTTATTCCTTGACCCTCCCCACCCAAATGGTGCCCCCCCTTCCATCACTCTCCTCTTACCCTTCTTTATTTCTCTTCACAGCATTTGTCAGTACTTTACATTATTCCATACTAGAAGGTGAGTGTCAGTTCTATTAGAACAGGAACTTGGTCTTATTCCCTCCTATATTTCGGTGCCCAGAATAGCACTTGGCACACAGTCTTTTGAGTGAGTGGATGACCTTGTGCACAATCAGTTATTATCATTGAACTTCGGTAAAGCATTAATTGTGGCATCTTTGTCAGATGTTTAGATAAGATGGTTGGCGTACGCATAGTCTGCATGTTGTATTTTTAGTCTTTGAAGATATGAAGTCAGGTAAGCAACATCCTAACATAGTCTATTTCTTGACATCTCTTACAAACGTAGAGTATAGCCTATCCTCAGGTGTGTGCTGAAGTTTATATTAGGGCTTTTGGGTACCTTAGAATGTGGGTATTGCAATCTTTATTCAGGATGTTATCAGTCACTGGTACAGTTAGTCTTGTTATTAAAAGAAAAAAGAAAAAAAAACAGGTAGAAGTTGGAATTAGCCTTCGTAGGAAGAATTCCAGATGCAAATGCAGGAAAAACTCTGTTGTCCTTGGAAACTACTCTGGAGAGAGTTATTGGCACTATAATTCCCAAACCTACCCTGTTAAAAGATTCTGTGGAAATGGGTTAACCTTTATACCTTTTAAGATATTGATCTTAATGATGTTTTACAGGCAGATCCAGTTCCTAATGGTTTGCGAGCTTTGCCAGTTTTCTATGCCTGCACAGTTGGAATAAACCTCTTTTCCATCATGTATACTGGAGCACCGTGTAAGTACCTATCAAAATATTTAAATGTGAATTTAAAGTTGTTTACAAAACTTGCATTAAATGCCCAATTTACCCCTTTTTGCTTTACAGGGCTGAAATCTCCTAGAAGGTGGCTGGCCTGCGCCCATTTCAGAAGGCTGCAGGCTAGTGTACGCTGAGTTAACCTAGATAGTTTTTCAACCAAAGAGACCTGCTCAGATTCTAAATCACTACAGACCTTTCCTCTTTAGTCTTCACAGGATCCACTGATAATATGATCATCTCCTTCCCTTTCTCCTGTCTATGCTAAAAATGCTGGAATTAATACTGACCTCAACTACTGAAGTCATTAGTTATATCTGATCTTCAGTAATCAGTCATTTAGGACTGGTTTGCTGGATATTCTCATTTTTCTCTCCCAAATGGAGATACTATTGTTTCTAAGTACTAAACTTCCATGAATCTGCTTGAATGAGAAGAGTTGGGATGTTTACCACCTGCTCTAAGTGCACTTGGAAGAAGAAATTCATGCAGCTAAGAGGAAAAATAATTTGTGAGAATATAAAGGTTGAAATGTTGATGACTTTCATGTTTGGGACTAAGGCAAGGCATGGATTAAATTATGGCGCTACAAGTTTAATTTAGCAACAACAAAAGATTGGTAACTTGTAACTGGCAGGACAGTACAGTTTTGGTATCTAGACTCATTTGGCCTGATGGTCTGTGACTACATAGGCAGTGACTTTTATTCTTTATACTGTGACCCACTGGATGAAATACAGGACACACATGTATGTATGTAGAGAGAAAGATAACTGGAATAGTGTCATGAAGCCACTTAATGCTTACTATGTGCTATGCACCCATATTTTCAAATTCTCTCTTTTTTTTTTTCTTAACATTTGTTGTGGCCCACTGAAATGATTTCAGTTTTGAGTAATGGGTTGTGACTTGCTCTTAAACCTCACTGAAGTAGTAAGTTGCTGACCCAAAGTAGAGTTAGCTAAATATTTTTATTATTTATTTATTTTTTTGAGACAGTTTTGCTCTTGTTGCCCAGGCTGGAGTGCAATGGCATGATCTTGGCTCACCACAACCTCTACCTCCCGGGTTCAAGCAATTCTCCTGCTTCAGCCTCCCAAGTAACTGGGATTACAGGCGTGCACCACCAAGCCCGGCTGATTTTGTATTTTTAGTAGAGACGGGGTTTCTCCATGTTGGTCAGGCTGGTCTCCAACTCCTGACCTCAGGTGGTCCGCCTGCCTCAGCCTCCCAAAGTGCTGGGATTACAGACATGATCACCGCACCTCGCCAATATTTTAATTTTTTACCTTATTTTAGATTGAGGGATTATATGTGTATTTTGTTAGATGGAGCTAAGTATTTTTAATCTTGCTAATTAATTCTTGGAATAATCAGGAACGAAACAGACAACTTTAAGAAAATATTGTTCTTACTTAGACTATACTGAACTGCTATGTGCCGGTGAAGAGAAGTTTGTATGCCAGATTTCCATTGTAAACAGTTCTTTGTGATAAACTAAAAAGTCTCCCATGATGCTCTTAACACTCATTCTTTATGTGGTAGAAGCAAAGCTCAGAGATGAGTGAAATTAGAATCATTTTAAAAACAGAAACTTAGATATTTTCGTTGTGTCCTTTATGGATCATTTGTAAGAAAAACCAGTCTCTTTCCTTTTTGACTTGGAATGTAGACCAACTTAAATTGTGATAGACAGTAATTTCATGTATATTTTAGTTTGTGTGACCACATGATCAAAATTGAAAGCAGAATTTAAAATGAAAAGATACATAGTCACCATAGAATTGTAGTTTGGGGCCGGGCGCGGTGGCTCATGCTTGTAATCCCAGCACTTTGGGAGGCCGAGGTGGGTGGATCATGAGGTCAGGAGTTCAAGACCAGCCTGGCCAAGTTGGTGAAACCTCATCTCTACTAAAAACTAGAAAAACTAACCAGGTGCAGTGGCAGGCGCCTGTAATCCCAGCTACTTCGGAGGCTGAGGCAGGAGAATCACTTGAGCCTGGTAGGCGGAGGTTGCAGTGAGCCAAGATCGTGCCACTGTACTCCAGCCTGGGCGACAGAGTGCGATGCTGTCTCAAAAAAAAAAAAAAAAAGTTCAAAAACAAAAAAAGTTTTAGTTTTGAAGGGACCTCAATTTGTTTCTAATTTTTTTTTTTTTTTTTTTTTTGAGACAGAGTCTCGCCCTGTCACTCAGGTTGGAGTGCAGTGGTGCGAACTTGGGTGACTGCAACCACTACCTCCCGGGTTTGAGCGATTCTCCTGCTTCAGCCTCCCGAGTAGCTGGGATTACACATGTGCATCACCACGCCCAGCTAATTTTTGTATTTTTAGTAGATACGTGGTTTCACCGTGTTGGTCAGTCTGGTCTTGAACTCCCAACCTCAGGTGATCCACGGACCTCAGCCTCCCAAAGTGCTGGGATTACAGGCGTGAGCTGCCGCGTCTGGCCTTGTGTCTGATTTTTAAAGATTAATCATTTTGGGGTATGATAGAATTTCCAGTTTATAAGTACAAACAGTCCCTGACTTCATGGTTCAACCTTCAGTTATTTGACTTTTTGATGGGTTTATAGGTACATAACCTCATTGTAAGTTGAGGAGCATCTGTGATTTCGTACATAACAAGCAAAATAAAGCAAAACAAGCAGAAGTAACTAAGCTATTCCTAGATATCAACTACAGATCATTATAATATCTTTTATGGGTTTTTTTTTTTTTTTTTTACCTTTTTTGTTTTTCAGGGATGGGGTCTTGCTGTGTTGCCCAGGCTGGCCTTGTATTCCTGGGCTCAGGGTGTTCTCACACTTCAGTCTCCTGAGTAGCTAGAGATCATTATAACATCTGTTAGATTTAAATAGGATTGTATAGTGCTTTACTTCTTTTCGTTTGTTTTTGTGACGGAGTTTCGCTCTTGTCACCCAGGCTGGCTGGAGTGCAGTGGCACGATCTTGGCTCACTGCAACCTCGACCTCCTGGGTTCAAGTGATTCTCCTGCCTCAGCCTCCCAAGTAGCTGGGATTATAGAAGCCCACCACCACATCCAGCTGATTTTTTTAATTTTCAGTGGAGACGGGGTTTCACCATGTTGGCCAGGCTGGTCTTGAACTCGTGACCTCAGGTGCTCCACCTGTCTCAGCCTCCCAAAGTGCTGGGATTACAGGTGTGAGCCACTGTGCCTGGCCAGTGCTTTACTTCTGTCTTTAGTACAGGCTAATGGTTTGGAGCCTACTGGCGTGCATATGACAGTCAGATAATGACTAATATTACTCATTCTTAAACCATGTGAACAGTGTTGCTAGGCAAGTCTTTTTTTAAGGTAAGACTTGTAAGTGAAATTACCACTAAACTTTGTGTGTGAGAAAGACAAAACTTTTTTTTTTTTTTTTTTTTTTTTTGAGACAAAGTCTGACTTTGTCACCCAGGCTGGAGTGCAGTGGCGCAATCTCAGCTCACTGCAACCTCCGCCCTGCCAGGTTCAAGTGATTCTCCCACCTCAGCCTCCCGAGTAGCTGGGACTACAGGCGCCCACCACCATGCCCGGCTAATTTTTTTTTGTATTTTTAGTAGAGATGGGGTTTTGCCATGTTGGGCAGGCTGGTCTCGAACTCCTGACCTCAAGTGATCTGCCTGCCACGGCCTCCCAAAGTGCTGGGATTACAGGCATGAGCCACCGTGCCTGGCTGAAAGACAAAGCTTTTACAACTATTCTTAAATTATCAACTTTTGATAGATAATATCCTTGTTTTCTGTATCTTGCTTTGATACTGCTTTCAAGGAGATAATCTCATTAAAGCATTTTACTAAAGGCCAGTATAGTGAATGTAATCACTTTTACACAGAATTGTGTCAGCATGACAAATGTGACTACTGAGACATCATTCTGTTAACATTAAAATAAGTTTGTAGGTGGTAATGGAATATGTGGCAGTTACGATCATGAGCTAGGAGAGTGGAACACTTGCTGTCTTTTTCATAGCTAGTCATAGGTCCTTAGCGTGTAGTGATCTTTATTATCTTCCAAGGTGAAGAAAGGAAAAGGCTCGTATGTTGAGAAGCATAGGAACTTGAGTCCCGCAGGTGTTCAAGTGGGCTAGGCTGGTGTGGGTTTTCAGATGATCATTGAGTTTTTCTCCCAAATTTGTATAGGCACTAGCACAGTAATCCTGTGCACTTAAATCTGGCAGCAGCTGTCAGGGGTGATGGGCTGGTATGGGGAACCCCTCAGTCCCCAGAGGAGGGTTTACACAATATTGCAGGGGGCTGTTGCCCTGGGGTTTTCAAGATGCACCATTTTATCTCCTAGTGCTGGGCTTTGACAAACTTCCTCTGTGGGGTACCATCCTCATCTCGGTGGGATGTGCAGTTTTCTGTGCCCTTATCGTCTGGTTCTTTGTATGTCCCAGGATGAAGAGAAAAATTGAACGTAAGTAATAACTAAACAGCAGAAAAGTTTAACTACTAATGTTGTGTTTATTTTTTATTTGGCCACCTGTAAAAATCTATTAGAAGAGATTGGCAAAATAAGAGATTTTAAAGGGAAATTTGAGGATATGGGTTTGTTGTCCAAACTGTTTTTAGAAATGGACTTACATGACCTAAGACCTGTTCTTAAAAATGGACTTACATGACCTAAGACCTAGTGATAAAGAGTATTCAACCTATGCTGTAGAGACAATCTGGGGCATTGAATTTTTTTATGTTCCTTGATCAGTTGCCAGTGACATGATAGATAAATAGAGAAATCATAGCCTACATTTACTGAGAAGTAGAAGGATACCTTAATGAAAAATAAGGGGTAGATACAAGATATTTTCGTAGAGGAAATATTTACCCCAACTGCTTCTGTGTATAACTTCAGATTCAGACAAGCAAAGCTAAGTCTAATGTGTACATGTTGTATATAGGCTAGAATACATGTAGACATTGTATTGCAGTATACAATGCAAATACATATACAAACACACATTGTGTGTCTGCTAGAATTGTAGCACAGATTCTAGAAGTAAACATTTTCAAGTGTCAAGGAATCATTTAGGCCATTACCACACACTCATGTAATTAAATACTGAGTAAATTTTGGTTAGTATCGGACTTTTTTTTCCTTAAAATAATCATTTTCTGCCCTTTTCATCGATGTGAAGGCTGGGTTAGCAAGTTGAAGTTTATCGTTTCGAAGCTGAGGGATGCATAGACTGCAGTGGTGTTAGGAAGAACGCTGCGTCACCGCAGCTGAACCGAAGAGCCTCCGAGAGGTTCTGTGCTAGTCTGGCTGTGCCGAGTGCACGGTGGGAACCAGGCTTTCAGGACTCTCTGGCCTCATTTTCCCTCTCTGGGAGGAGTTGAGACAAGTCTTGCTTTATGTTAGTCAGTCTGTAGTTTGACTGAGGTGCCTGGATGGATAGGTCAGCATACTGAGCACTGGCATGAGAGAGGCAGAAGATACTCTGGTCTGCCTGTGGGATTTACAGCCATGATGCACATCTCTTTGTTTTATAGAGGTGGAAATTAAAGTTGTCGTCTTTAGTTCCCTGCATTGAGCTGTGCCACTTTGCTTGAATTGGTGGACTGAAATTTGAGAGAATCCTCTTTTGAAAAGAATAGAATTGGGTACAGTTCAGATTTTTAGTTTCAGCTTATCAGCCCCATGGTTGAGCTACTTTCCCCTACAGAATGAGTCAGCAGGGAGCTAAGAAGGGTTCTTATATCTGTAAAGGGTTGTAAAAATAAAAACAAAACAACAATGTGCTACAGAAGCCCGTAAAACCTAAAATATTTACAGAAAAATTTTGGGACCCCTGACATAGGGTGTTCTGCATTGCTGGTTGTTCCCAAGTGAGAGTTGCTGGCAAATGATAAAGCAGGCAGGAAAAATGTTCCTGAATGTTAATTGAAGTTCACATACATTCTTGTTTTGAGATGAGTTTTTTGGGGGTGGAGGAAAGGAGACGTGGAACAAAGTAGTATGGCCACAACCAAACCAAAAAAGACCCCCCTTTTTTTTCCTAGGAGAAATAAAGTGTAGTCCTTCTGAAAGCCCCTTAATGGAAAAAAAGAATAGCTTGAAAGAAGACCATGAAGAAACAAAGTTGTCTGTTGGTGATATTGAAAACAAGCATCCTGTTTCTGAGGTAGGGCCTGCCACTGTGCCCCTCCAGGCTGTGGTGGAGGAGAGAACAGTCTCATTCAAACTTGGAGATTTGGAGGAAGCTCCAGAGAGAGAGAGGCTTCCCAGCGTGGACTTGAAAGAGGAAACCAGCATAGATAGCACCGTGAATGGTGAGTTGGAATTCCTGGTTTCACTTTTGTTACCTGCAGTGGTGAGGAGGCTTATTGTTTTGGATTTGATGCTTTTTGTATTGAATGTCACCTTGGTGATCTTGACTAGGTGCAGTGCAGTTGCCTAATGGGAACCTTGTCCAGTTCAGTCAAGCCGTCAGCAACCAAATAAACTCCAGTGGCCACTACCAGTATCACACCGTGCATAAGGATTCCGGCCTGTACAAAGAGCTACTCCATAAATTACATCTTGCCAAGGTGGGAGATTGCATGGGAGACTCCGGTGACAAACCCTTAAGGCGCAATAATAGCTATACTTCCTATACCATGGCAATATGTGGCATGCCTCTGGATTCATTCCGTGCCAAAGAAGGTGAACAGAAGGGCGAAGAAATGGAGAAGCTGACATGGCCTAATGCAGACTCCAAGAAGCGAATTCGAATGGACAGTTACACCAGTTACTGCAATGCTGTGTCTGACCTTCACTCAGCATCTGAGATAGACATGAGTGTCAAGGCAGAGATGGGTCTAGGTGACAGAAAAGGAAGTAATGGCTCTCTAGAAGAATGGTATGACCAGGATAAGCCTGAAGTCTCTCTCCTCTTCCAGTTCCTGCAGATCCTTACAGCCTGCTTTGGGTCATTCGCCCATGGTGGCAATGACGTAAGGTCAGTTGACATTGATCTTAGTGTTGCTAACCCTATTTTTAAACCATTTATCCTTGTCACAGGCCTGTGCTTGTGGTAGTGGTACTCCTAGCATTTACAGGACCCCAAATAATACAAATAGGATGAGGTAATAGCAGTTATTGACATAATAAGACAGTACAGTTTTATTCTTCAGAGGAATTACAAAGAATGTTTATTTTTGTAGATGATAAATATAAACAGATACTCTTCACAGAGAAGGCTTTTGTCCATCAAGATGAGATTCAGTTCTTTGGTAGTGAATTGTGGGATGTAAGATGTAAGATGAAAAACTTAAAAGTTTTTCATATAGAATGATTTTGTAGTTTGGTTTGTAAACTGTTTATTGGAACCTGAGAGTTGCTTTAAGCTGCCTATAGGAGGAAAGAGGCCACCATTTGCCTGGCATTCCCTCCATCAGAGCTGTGTTCATTTTTCTGTTGTGTATGTTGGGGTTCCATTTATGTCTTTAGAAAGAAAGGCCCTTTTGCCAGATGAGCTTGAAAGCTGTACTTTAGACAACCTGGTAGATCATTCAGCAGATTGGGTCTTGCCAAGATCTAGTTCTGCCTGAAAAGTCACTTCTGCCCTCTTTGTTTCTTCCAGCAATGCCATTGGGCCTCTGGTTGCTTTATATTTGGTTTATGACACAGGAGATGTTTCTTCAAAAGTGGCAACACCAATATGGCTTCTACTCTATGGTGGTGTTGGTATCTGTGTTGGTCTGTGGGTTTGGGGAAGAAGAGTTATCCAGACCATGGGGAAGGATCTGACACCGATCACACCCTCTAGGTAAGTAGGTGGAGCAGGTTCTACAAATGTCAGTACTCATTTTTTTCAGAGATATAACACTGTCGAGTGCTAACACAAATCTCTAAAGTAACCAAGTTTGTATAAGTTCATGATGTTCTTATTGTCATTGTTCTTTTTAGATTTTACTTGTCTGGCCCTTAAACATTTTGGTCAGACATTTTACCCATTTAGCTCTGGTGGTCTCTGAAGAAAATGACTTTTCTGAGAAAGCTGTGTATGCTAAGAGCGGATAGTTATGTATACTTGCCTTTTATTTGTCTTGGGAGCTAAGACTCAATGTTTACCAAACTCTTCAAAATAAAAGTGCAAATTTTATTTAATAGTGGGATTCCAGAAAAACGTAAAACTGGAAGCCTTTGAATAAGGAAACTGGGCATCTGTGGCCTGATTTAAATAAAGTAGATCTTAGGGGTTATAGCAAATAAAGATGTCAGTGGAGGTTTTGTGACTGAGTAGAACAAAGCAGGACTGTGTTAACTTGAGGTGTAGTGTTAGCTTCTCAAAAAAGTCAAACTCACTTCCTGACAAGAATCCTTTTGTGTCTGTAGTGGCTTCAGTATTGAACTGGCATCTGCCCTCACTGTGGTGATTGCATCAAATATTGGCCTTCCCATCAGTACAACACATTGTAAAGTAAGTGTAATGCCAATGTGTGTCTTTCAAATGGTTCTTCTAATATGTAGGGTTTTTAGTTTTACTTCTCTGATACTTTGATTTAGAAAGTTTTGTGCAGTTGGAGTCTTGAAGAGTTCATAAGTTATTTCTTGTGTTTATTCTTATTTAAGCAATTAAATAGATATTCTCCCCAAATAATAGAAACATTGTTTTATATACAGCTTACTGTAGTTTCTGGCTACTAACCTCTTCCTTTGTTACTTTATCCTCCCTCATTGTAGTCTCTTTATAATAATTTTTTTTTTAATCTCAAGAGTCATTTCTACTTGGCACCATTATGTTTTATTTATTTATGTATGAGTTGGAGTCTTGCTGTGTCACCTGGGCTGGAGTTCAGTGGCACAATCTCGGCTCATTGCAACCTCCGCCTCCTGGGCTCAAGTGATTCTTGTGCTTCAGCCTCTCAAGTAGCTGGGATTATAGGCACCCGCCACCATGCCTGGCTAATTTTTGTATTTTTAGTAGACACAGGATTTCACCATGTTGGCCAAGCTGGTCATGAACTCCTAACCTCAGGTGATCCACCTGGCTCGGCCTCCCAAAGTGCTAGGATTACATGCGTGAGCCACCGCGCCCGGCCGACAGCATTATGTTCTTTGCCTTTGGGGAAGCCATTCAGAGCAGGGTAGGTGTATGCTTAGAAACTGGCAGGTGCTTTAATTCTGGCCAGGTGGGTTTCTGCTGCCATTTGTGGTGGCTGAAGGCCTGGTTCTAACAAGTCTGTGAGGCTTGCCAAAATGTTGGCAAAGCAGTTTATTTACAGAAGGCATATTTCAGGGCCTCTCAGGATTGAAATACTGAGAAACAAAACAAATCTTAAGGTTGTTTGATGACAATCTAATAATTATAGGAGAAGGAAGAAACTGGTTTCCTTAAGAGCATTTAAGCTGGTCCATCATGGATCCTGCTGAGTCATCTGTTTGCTACCCGGATGTGTCTCCAGACAATTGTTTATTAGGTTTAATATCAGCCACTCTGTAAATAATCTTAGGAAGACTTACAATGCAATTTGTTATTAAAAGCAGTGTATAGGCCAGGTGCAGTGGCTCATGCCTGTAATCCCAGCACTTTGGGAGGCCAAGGCAGGTGGATCACAAGGTCAGGAGTTTGAGACCAGCCTGGCCAACATAGTGAAACCCCATCTCTACTAAAAATACAAAAAATTAGCTAGGCGTGGTGGTGGGTGCCTGTAATCCCAGCACTTGGGAGGCTGAGGCAGGAGAATCACATGAAACCAGGAGGTGGAGGTTGCAGTGAGCCAAGATTGCGCCACTGTACTCCAGCCTGGGCGACAGTGCGAGACTCCGTCTCAAAAAATAAATAAATAAAAGCAGTATATATTCATTAAATTTTAGCAGTAGCTGAGAAGGGGAAAAGAAATAGTTCTTGTGTCCTTTTACTACCGTTAGTATAGATTATGATTGGATTTTCAAATTGCCTTCATTTTCCCAGCTTAACCTGTTGTAAACCAGCTTTCTTGGACTTTGTCTTGTCCAGGGGTCTGGGGCTCCTTGTCCAAACAGTCTCAGGTGTCTGTTTGCCAGAATACCACTGGCACTTCAATAACCTGTTTCCTTGGTCTGCTTCTCTTCTAGGTGGGCTCTGTTGTGTCTGTTGGCTGGCTCCGGTCCAAGAAGGCTGTTGACTGGCGTCTCTTTCGTAACATTTTTATGGCCTGGTTTGTCACAGTCCCCATTTCTGGAGTTATCAGTGCTGCCATCATGGCAATCTTCAGATATGTCATCCTCAGAATGTGAAGCTGTTTGAGATTAAAATTTGTGTCAATGTTTGGGACCATCTTAGGTATTCCTGCTCCCCTGAAGAATGATTACAGTGTTAACAGAAGACTGACAAGAGTCTTTTTATTTGGGAGCCAGAGGAGGGAAGTGTTACTTGTGCTATAACTGCTTTTGTGCTAAATATGAATTGTCTCAAAATTAGCTGTGTAAAATAGCCCGGGTTCCACTGGCTCCTGCTGAGGTCCCCTTTCCTTCTGGGCTGTGAATTCCTGTACATATTTCTCTACTTTTTGTATCAGGCTTCAATTCCATTATGTTTTAATGTTGTCTCTGAAGATGACTTGTGATTTTTTTTTCTTTTTTTTAAACCATGAAGAGCCGTTTGACAGAGCATGCTCTGCGTTGTTGGTTTCACCAGCTTCTGCCCTCACATGCACAGGGATTTAACAACAAAAATATAACTACAACTTCCCTTGTAGTCTCTTATATAAGTAGAGTCCTTGGTACTCTGCCCTCCTGTCAGTAGTGGCAGGATCTATTGGCATATTCGGGAGCTTCTTAGAGGGATGAGGTTCTTTGAACACAGTGAAAATTTAAATTAGTAACTTTTTTGCAAGCAGTTTATTGACTGTTATTGCTAAGAAGAAGTAAGAAAGAAAAAGCCTGTTGGCAATCTTGGTTATTTCTTTAAGATTTCTGGCAGTGTGGGATGGATGAATGAAGTGGAATGTGAACTTTGGGCAAGTTAAGTGGGACAGCCTTCCATGTTCATTTGTCTACCTCTTAACTGAATAAAAAAGCCTACAGTTTTTAGAAAATTTGTTCTCATGGTTTTCTTTCATACTCGAATCACCTGGGCTCCTGATCAGTTAGCCTAATATCATTCTTAGGTGATGTGAATATCTTAACAAGTGAGAGCTACTGTCCAACTTAAAGCTCCCAACCCCTCCCTGTATGCTTCTTGTGTGCCCAGAATATGCAAGACATTACTCCATAGGGACTGTGGTGGCAACTTGGCATTTTCCCTTTTAGTAGCACAGCCTGTACACTTTCATGTTAGCACACGGGTGTTTTTTTTGTTTTGTTTTTCCAGTTTTTTCTTTTGATACTTTTTGTTTTTTTTTTTGAGACGGAGTCTCGCTGTGTCACCAGGCTGGAGTGCAGTGGTGTGATCTCGGCTCACTGCAACCTCCACCTCCTGGGTTCAAGCAATTCTCCTGCCTCAGCCTCCTGAGTAGCTGGGACTACAGGCGCCCACCACCACATCTGGCTAATTTTTAGTAGAGACAAGCTTTCAGCATGTTGGCCAGGCTGGTCTCAAACTCCTGACCTCAAGTGATCCGCCTGTGTTGGCCTCCCAAAGTGCTGGGATTATAGCCATGAGCCACTGCGTCTGGCCTACTCATGGTTTTTCACAGCCAAAGATTTACTGTTGAATGGACAGCTTTATTTTACTATTTTATGTAGATTGTTTTTAGCTTTGGTATTACGGTAAACCCTTGAACAGTGTGGAGGTTGGACACCAACCCCCATGCAGTCAAAAAACCATGTATAACTTTTGACTCCAAAAACTTGACTACCAGTAGCCTACGGTTGACCAGAAGCTTTAGCAATAACATAAACAGTTGTGAACACATATTTTACGTGTTATATGTATGTATTATATACTGTACTACGATAATGTAAGCTAGAGAAAAGGAAATAAAACCATAAGGAAGATACATTTACTATTCATTAAGTGGAAATGGATCATAAAGGTTTTCATCCTTGTCATCTTGAGTTGACTGAGGAGGAAAGGAGGAGTTGGTCTTGCTGTCTCAGGGATGGCAGAGGTGAAAGTAAGTCTGTGTATAAGTGGATTCTGCAGTTCAGACTAGTGTTCAAAGGACATCAGTACAAGGAAAGCAAAAATGAGTGGGAGGCAATGTGTAGCTAAGTTTTGTTTAAAAGTTCTCAGTATGGGATTCTTCAGTTCTGACCCATTATATTTTTGCCCCTGATCAGAAGTTAATGAAAAGTACATTTCTTGGCAAACTAGATTGATAGTTCCTGTCCTGAGGGTTTGGAACAATACTTTTGAATTTTGAGTTTATTTGGAGCGTTTCACTAGAAACCAACACTAAGAATCGAACAGGGTAAGGCAGTGCCTAGTCTAACCTGTGCCTGCAAGGTTAGGCCACTGGCTGGGTACATGCCGTTGCATCCTGCTGTCAGTTTAATGGTCTTGCAGAAGACTACATTTAATCCTCATGGCCTTTTGTGGTAGATCTTATCCTGATTTTGTACATGATGAAACTGGCGTGGAGAACATCTGTATTTGCCCAGTATTGTCAGTTAGCAGAGGGTGCCCGTTACTTGTAGCCTTTGGGGCTGGGTGAAACTAGCTTTATGACTTGTTACTTGAGGGAAGGGAGGGTAGGGGGCTGTTGTAAAGGGCGACCGAGCATTAGGCCTTGAACTGAGGGTCTGGGAGGAGACCCTCAGAGTTCTGGCACTGCCTTCCCTTCGTGCTGAATGACCTCACAAAAGCCCAGATCCTTTCAGAGCCCAGTGATTACATGGAGAAGAGGAACCTCCCTGGCACTTTCACTTGGCTCAGGACAGAACAGCTGAGAAAATACTTAGACCAAGCTTGTCCAGCTACAGACAATTTTTCCAGTGTGGCCCAGGGAAGTGAAAAGATTGAACACACCAAGGATGTGTTTCTGTAGGCAGAGCAGGTAGACCTGGGGAGAGGAGCCTCTAGAGCTAGGGAAGGGACCAGAGGAGCGGTTATATTTCTACTTTAGTTGTCTGCCATGGGGCAGGGACACATGGTGAGAACCCTGGCCCCCCCCTTTTTTTTCGGCATAGATATTGCCTTTTCTTTTTTTGAGACAGAGTTTCGCTCTTGTCACCCAGTTGGAGTGCAATGGCGCGATGTCGGCTCACTGCAATCTCTGCCTCCCAGGGTTCAAGCGATTTTCCTGCCTCAACCTCCTGAGTAGCTGGGATTACAGGCTTGCGCCACCACGCCCGACTAATTTTTGTATTTTTAGTAGAGACAGAGTTTCACCACGTTGGCCGGGCTGGTCTCAAACTCCTGACCTTAGGTGATCCACCCACCTCAGCCTCCCAAAGTGCTGGGATTACAGGCGTGAGCCACCACGGCTCAGCTGACATTGCCTTTTCTTAACTAAAAGTTTTTTGAAAATCAAGGTTGGGCAAATTGAAGAGCCAGCTGGTCCAACAAGGCTTGTTAACAAAAACAGGTCTGCCAACATTTCCCTTTCCTGAGGCAACCACTTTCAATTCTTTTGGTATTTGTCTCTTTATATCTAAATAATATACTTGTGTTACTATTTCCCTCTCGCATTTTTTGGCTGAGTGCGGGTGACACTTCTGGGACTACTGGGCCTTTGTCTTGGGTAGGAGTTCTCCACCAGGGGTGACTTTTGCTGTCCCCAGTCCCCATTTGTGACTCTCCCTTGTCCCATTTATGGTAGTAATATTTGGAGACATTTTTGGTTGTCACAATTGGGGGATGGTACTGACCAGAGATGCTGCTGTAAGCGTCCTACAGTACACAGGGCAACTCCACAACAGAAAATACCTGGGCTGAAATGTCAGTAGTGCTGAGGTTGCAGAACCCTGACATAGGGTGATCTGGTTGGGCTCTTTCCTTGGAGGAACCCCAGAAAAGCTTCAGAAGGCTAAAAGCCTAACTAATGAACGTTCTAGGACTCAGAGGGGGAAGTGGTCACCACATATTTTAACCTCACTGTTTTCAGCCTAGACAGCCCATCCTTAGGGTGGCTTCAATAGGCACCGGTTTAGTTACCGCAGTTTAGGTAAATACCAGTCCCCTGACAGCACAGCTCATATTTCAGTTACCGTGGTCTACTAACTGAGTAACTATAAAGCAAAGCCTTCACTGTTAGCTCTTCAGTCCACAGATCACCTTTAGAAAAGAATGGGCACATCATGATGGGTGATCTGTCATGTCACTTCCTTCAAAGTCTGTTGGTGATTGGCTACTGTACATCTGTTACTCAGTTCACTCCAGATGAGAAAGCTTTTGGTTGTGTTGCCTTCTTATCTTCCAGTGGGAGAGATACTACTATAGACTTTCAGTGCTACTGTGGGATTATGCTCCAGTTCTTTTGGGGGCTTGAATGAAAATGAAAATTTGCTTTTTACCATCAAACACTACTTTCATTAATCCAGCCAATGCACAAACAGATAATTTTGATATTTTTTTTGTTTTTTGAGGCAGTGGCTCGCTCTGTCACCCAAGCTGGAGTGCAGTGGTGCGATCTTGGCTCACTGCAACCTCTCCTTCCCAGTTCAAACGATTCTCCTGCCTCAGCTTCCCGAGTAGCTGGGATTACAGGTGAGCACCACCACACCTGGCTAAGTTTTTTTTTTATTTTTAATTTTTTTTTTTGAGACAGAGTCTTATTCTGTCACCCAGGCTGGAGTACAGTGGTGCGATCTTGGCTCACTGCAACCTCTGCCTCCTGGGTTCCAGTGATTCTCCTGTCTCAACCTCCCAGGTAGCTGGGACTACAGGTGCACGCCACCATGCCTGGCTAATTTTTGTACTTTTAGTAGAGACAGGGTTTCACCATGTGGGCCAGGCTGGTCTCAAACTCCTGACCTCGTGATCTGCCTGCCTCAGCTTATCACAGTGCTGGGATTACAGGCATGAGCCACCACGCCTGGCCACACCCAGCTAATTTTTAAACTTTTAGTAGAGACGTTTAGTAGAGACGTTTAGAGATGTTGGCCAGGCTGGTCTTGAACTCCTGACCTCAAGTGAGTCACCTGCCTTGGCCAGGGTGGTCTTGAACTCCTGACCTCAAGTGATCCACCCGCCTTGGCCTCCCAAAATGCTGGGATTACAGGTGTTAGCCACTGTGCCTAGCCATTATTTTGATTTTTAAAGCTCATTATCTTCTATGGAGTTTTGATAGGCCATTGATGCTACATCCAGAGATCTTGCTTTTTTTATTTTTATTTTTTTTATGAGATGGAGTCTCACTCTGTCGCCCAGGCTGGAGTGCAGTGCTGCGATCTCGGCTCACTGCAACCTCCACCTCCCAGGTTCAAATGATTCTCCTGCCTCAGCCTCCCGAGTAGCTGGGACTACAGGCGTGTGCCACCATGCCAGGCTAATTTATTGTGTTTTTAATAGAGATGGGGTTTCACCATGTTAGCCAGGATGGTCTCGATCTCCTGACCTCGTGATCCACCCACCTCGACCTCACAATTTTTTTTTTTTTTTTTTTTTTTTTTGAGATGGAGTCTCGCTCTATTGCCCAGGCTGGAGTGCTCTGGGGGTGTCTTGGCTCACTGGAACCTCTGCCTCCTGGGTTCAAGCAATTCTGCTCCAGCCTCCTGAGTAGCTGGGACTACAGATGTGTGACACCATGCCTGGCTAATTTGTTGTATTTTTAGTAGAGACAGGGTTTCATCATGCTGGCCAGGCTGGTCTCGAACTCCCCGCCTCGAGTGATCCGCCTGCCTCAGCATCCCAAAGTGCTGAGATTACAGGTGTGAGCCACTGCGCCTGGCCAGATCTTGCAATTTCTTTAGCTGAAGTTTGGAAGAAATGGAAAGCATCATGGCAGAAATTAACAGTAATATTCAATGTGGTAGAAACTTATATGCTGCAAGTAACTTTGCAGAATTCAAACTGCACATAAATTGAGTTACATTTGACCATGGGAAGTTGATCAGGCTGCTGTTTGAGAGATTCTAGACAGGCAGCCAGAGGAAGTTAGCGAAGGTAAATTTAACAACAAAAATGAAGAAAGTGATTGTGATAAAGAGAACATACGCGTCCCAGAGGCGATGCTGGCAAAAACTTCACCTTAACAGACCTCTTGGAGTTAATTTACAACACCGAGAGCCCAAAGGGCAAAATACTGGATGCTGATCCAAAAATGCTTAGTCCCAATATGTCTAATGTTTTAAATTACAGGTACTAAATAAATAGTGGTTTTGCTATTTTTAAATTTCCCTGTACATTTTTAACACAGTTTGTTGTTGTTGTTTTTGAGACAGAGTTTCGCTCTTGTTGCCCAGGCTGGAGTGCAATGGCGCGATCTCGGCTCACTGCAACCTCCGCCTCCTGGGTTCAAGTGATTCTCCTGCCTCAGCCTCCTGAGTAGCTGGGATTACAGGCATGCGCCACCACGCCTGGCTAATTTTGTATTTTTAGTAGAGACGGGGTTTCACCATATCGGCCAGGCTGGTCTTGAACTTCTGACCTCACGTGCCCAACCCACCTTGGCATCCCAAAGTGTTGGGATTACAGGTGTGAGCCATTGTGCCCGGCCCTACTAATTCTTTAATATCATCTGATACTCCATCTGGCCAAACTGCTTCTTAGACTTTCAGTCTTACTGGTTCTAGCCCATCCTTTGTTTCTCTTCCAAGTTACTTGAGACTCCAACTTCCGAGCCTTTTAGTGGCCAGCTTAGCTTCAGCCTTCTGGGGTCAGCCGAGTCTTTCCATCTGCTATCTAAGCTTCCACAATTTTGAGGTTTTGTTTCCTCGCCTGTTCACTATGCCTCTACAATATTCCTCCACTGCCCTAAGGGAGTGAAGGTAAATGTTTCAGTGTGTCTTCCCCTGGAAATTCTTGACTAGTTGGTATTTTAGTAGTATTTATTTATTTATTTATTGAGTTGGAATCCTGCTCTGTTGCCCAGGCTGGAGTGCAGAGGTGGAATCTCGGCTCATTGCAGCCTCTGACTCACAGGTTCAAGTGATTCTGCCTCAGCCTCCTGAGTAGCTGGGATTACAGGAGTCCACCACCACACCTGGCTTTTTTTTGTATTTTTAGTAGAGACAGGGTTTCACCATGTTGGCCAAGCTGGACCTGGACTCTTGACCTCAGGTGATCCACCTGACTCAGCCCCACAAAGTGCTGGGATTACAGGTGTGAGCCACTGTGCCCGGCTTTAGTAGTATTTTTTTTAAGTGAAACATTTATTGGAATGTTTACATTGAAAAGTTTTTTGAACAATTAGGTATAGAAAGTAGAGAATAGGCTGGGCGTGGTGGCTCACGCCTGTAATCCCAGCACTTTGGGAGGCTGAGGAGGGCAGATTGCTTGAGGTCAAGAGCTCAAGACCAGCCTGGCCAACATGGTGAATACAAAATACAAAATACTAAGAATACAAAAATTAGCTGGGTGTGGTGGTGCATGCCTATAATCCTAGCTACTCGGGAGTCTGAGACAGGAGAATCGCTTGAACTCAGGAGGCAGAGTTTGCAGTAAGCCGAGATCATGCCACTGCACTCCAGCCTGGGTGACAAAGTGGGACTCAGTCTCAAAAACCAAAAACAAACAAACAAAAAAAAGAAAGTAAAGAATGAATGAGTCTTGCTTGCTTTCCTGTTTCCTAGTCTCATTATCCAAAGGAAACCACTGGCAATAGTTGGCAAACCTTCATAGGCATTTTGTCTATGCATATGTGTACATATGCACACATACATACTTGCATGATCTTTCTGAGAGATGAAGCTGTTTATTAGTAAAGCCCCTGTGTTGTCTAGAAATTAAATAGTTTATTTCACAGAATAAATATCAGTGTTGAATCATCTGGTTAACCTCCTGTAGTCACTGAGAACTAGATAGTCAAGTTGGTGCAATAGTAATTGCGGTTCTTGCCATTGAAGGTAATGGCAAAAACCGCAATTACTTTTGCACCAATCTAAATAGATGTTACACAATCATGCACGTGTTTACCTGCAAGTTACCATAAGTGTTACAAGCTGGAGGTAAACTTTGGGCCAAGCTAGGGCTTTCAACAAATCATTTCCTGATTGGGGGAAATAAAAGGATTTGTTCTCACTGTATACCTCTTTCACCTTCATGTAATATAAAGCTGCTTAAAGACCAAAGGTACAAAGTTAGACTTATTCATTAAAGCTGAGTTGTAGTGTCCTCTGTAAAATCTAATGGTATGGGGATGCCTAGTCTATGAAAACCCTTTCTCCATTGTAATGTTTGTGCGGGGTATATAGAGCAAATATCTTAGTAACCAATGGGTTTTCTCTTGGCTCACACCAAAATCTTAATTTAGTGCTCCAAATTTTGATGAGGTTACTGAACTGATACCCCATGGTGTGAAAGTTGTTTCTCTTTTTAACACTGTTCTCTGCCTTATCTTTACCTCTGCTTGAGAGAGATCTAAATTCTTCAAGCTTCCATTGTTTTGCCTCACATACAATGAAGTACTGTATTTGAAGAGCCAGGGAAGGCCAGCTAGCTGGAGATTGTGGAGGTGCTCAGCCCAAACTTCCTTTTGTGACAGGTGGAGACTTTTGAGACATTATTAATGGTTTTTTTTTTTTTTTTTTTTTTTTTTTTTGAGACAGAGTCTCATTCTGTCACCCAGGCTGGAGTGCAGTGGCATGATCTGGGCTCACTGCAACCTCCACCTCCCAGGTTCAAGCGATCCTCCTGCCTCAGTCTCCCGAGTAGCTGGGACTACAGGCACGTGCCACCATGCCCAGCTAATTTTTGCATTTTTAGTAGAAACGGGGTTTCACCATGTTGGCCAGGTTGGTCTCAAACTCTTGACCTCACGATTCGCCTGCCTTGGCCTCCCAAAGTGCTGGGATTACAGGCGTGAGCCACTGTGCCCAGCTATTAATAGATTTTTAAAACAACTATAAAATAAAACATTAGAGCTGCTCATCGGCAGTTGTACTTACCTTTCTAATGATAAGGGTTTTGTGTAAACCCCTTTTGTTGCTGGATTTCTTAGTTTCTTCCTAACACACTGTGGTGCACTGGAGAATGATACTGCATTTATTAAAAGGAGCAAGATGCTTATTTTCTGGGAACTGCTGAAATGGTAGCAAGATCTCCCCTCCCAGGATATTATTGCCGAAGACCTAGATAGCAGGTCTCTACTTCCCATTCATTCTATTTCTAGAAGCAAGCAAATGTTCTCTAATTGCAGGCTTGGGATGAATGTCTCAGCAGTGTTTCCTGCTGTGCTAATTGGAAAAATACAATTTTCAACTAACTGTGTCCTGCTTTGCAAAATAATAGTTGGCATCCCAGTTGCCAGTTTGGTTCCTAATGTGAACTAGTACTTTTTAGTTTAGCACTGAAGATAATAGAACTTTGGAAATCCCGGGGAGAGCTGTGCTGTATACAAGGCCCATTGGAGATCTCATGTCAGCCCATAAGAATAAGTGCCTATTGATCTCTTTTTCTAGAAGCCTTTATTGAATTAAATTTTAATTTGAAAATTTTGGGGGGCCGTGTTCTGGGAATAATAATCGATATTGTCCATTAGTTGAACAGTCCTGTGATGGACCTTATGTGTACCTTATTGATTTGGAACGGAGGTTAATTTTCTTTTAGCTAAGATCTTGGCTTCTGGCAAGCTCTTCGTCAGCCTAAATGTGGTTGGCCTTGCCAGCTTTTTGGAAAAACTGTCAGCTTGGGAATAGAGATTTGGTCAGAGTAACTTCTGTTTAGAATCTTTTTTTTTATACTGGTTGTCTTGTTTCATGTAGAATTACTTTCTCACATAGAGAAAGGGTTTAAATTTTTTTTTTTTTAATTGAGATGGGGGCCTCACTCTGTCACCTAGGCTGGAATGCAGTGGTGCCATCTTGGCTCACTGCAGCCTCTGCCTCCCAGGCTCAAGTGGTCCTCCCACCTCAGCCTCCCAAGTAGCTGGGTCCACAAGTGCACGTCAACATGCCCAGCTAATTTTTGTATTTTTGGTGGAGACGGGGTTTCTCTGTGTTGCCCAGGTTGGTCTTGAACTCCTGAGCTTAAACAATAGGCCCACATTGATCTCCCAAAGTGCTGGGATTACAGCTATGAGCCACTGCACCTGGCAAGGCTTTACATTCTAAGTTTCCACTGGTGGCAGAGATCTTAATGTCAGTTGATTAAGTTGAGTTGATTAACTCAGCCTACCTGAGTTCTGATTCCATCTCTACTACTTACAAGTTGCATGGCATGGGATGTTGTTTAATCTTTCCAACCTTCAGTCCTCTTGTCTAAGGACTGGTGATGATAACAGTGCCTTATGTCAGAGGATTTTCATGAGGATTAAATAAAATAATGCATGTAATGTGTGTAGTGCCTGACTTCATAAGCACTTCATAGTGTTTATTAACTGACCTCATTCTCCATATAAATATATGTAATTTTTCTTGACATGGTAATATTCCACTTGACATTGATTCTCTAAGGTACCTTTTCCTGCCTGTGGTGTGACAAGTAATTTTCCTTCACTGTAACTTCATTTCTTAAGTCTAAAATAAATTTAATTTTGGTGAATTTGCCTTTAAATGCCCTATATTAATTAGGATTAGATTGAGCTGCGAGTGACAGAAAACTGCAATAACAAAGAACAGAAAGTTTATTTCTCTCCTACATAAATAAAAGAAGCCCAGGCCTATTATGGTGGCTCCATGGTCATCAGGATGGAAACACAGACTCTTTCTATCTTGTTCCATCCTCAACATGTGGTTGCGACTTCGAGACCCAAGGACCCAGAGATATCAGTTGTCTCATTGTTGGTGATATTAAGGTGTTCACATCACTAATAGCAAGGAATTTGGATGCCTTAGTAAGATATATTTCCATGCCAGAGGGTGGCATATAAATCCCACTCCTGATTCCAATTTCTGCATCAGGATCCAGTCAGGAGACAGAAATCTGAGTTATTTTAACAGAGCCTTTAATGAGAGTTGTTAGCTAGGTGTAAAGTGTTAACCAGGTAACTGAAGTGGCAAGAAACAAACATTAAGGTGTTATGGAGGTAGCAATCACTGAGGCTATAAGAGCTGAGGAAGCGTCACTCCCTGGCTGGAGCTGCTGTGTTGGCTTGGAAGGGTCCTGTGGGCCTGGGCCCTGGCTGCTGAGGAGGGCAGGCAGGCAGCTGGTGACTTGAAAAGGTGCATGAAGGGGTTGGTTTGGTGAGAGCTGAAGAACCACACACAGCACCCAACTGCTATGTCAGAAAGAACTGCTGGCCGGGCGTGCTGGCTCACGCCTGTAATCCCAGCACTTTGAGAGGCTGAGGTAGGAGGATCGCTTGAGGTCAGGAGTTCGAGACCAGCCTGGTCAACATGGTGAAACTACTAAAAATACAAAATTAGCCGGGCATGGTGGCGGGTGTCTGTAATCCCAGCTACTCAGGAGGCTGAGGCAGGAGAATCGTTTGAACTCAGGAGGCTGAGGTTACAGTGAGCCGAGATTGTGCCACTGCACTCCAACCTGGGCGACAGAGCAAGTCTCCATCTCAAACAAAAAAAAAAAAAAAAAAAAAAGGAAGGAACTGCTGCTATCAGAGTGAAGAAATGTGAGGTCACCCTTTGCGGGAACAGGAGGCGAGCCGGAGGAAGTTCCTTTTCCTCTCTCCAGCCTCGCCGTCTCAGCAGAGCGAAACAGGGGAGCCCCTGGCAAGCAAATGTTGGAAGGTTCCCAGCCCAGCGTCACAGCAGAGCAGAGAGGGTAGGGTTTGGAGCTGAGATATGATTGCTTCACAGCCCACAAAGGCGGTGTCTGCCAGGTTTCTCCATTGTGGAAGTGTCTTTTCCCCTTGGAATGAATGCATTCTCTGGGGGTCGGGGGTGGCGATGCTTTGAGATTGTGTGAATGTCACATGCTGCCACAGTCTTTCTGCCAATGGCCTTAGTATCTACTAATGAATCTCACCTGAATCAGTTATTATGAAGGTGGTTGTAAAATTATTTTCTATTTCTCTCATTCCTTGTACATCCGTTAGTTGGCATTCTTTGGTAAAGAAGAGCTTTCCCTTCTCCCTGGCCCCCATCCCTGGGAAATGTGGTTTTTAAGTGGATGGGCCACATACCCAGCCAAAGTTGGAGTTCTATCTATAAGGACTTGGGGGAGAGCAAGTACTGGTGTCCATGGCTAGCACTCTGTCACAGGGCTAAGCCCAGAGAGTCTTACTACTGCAGTTGAATCCACGATTGACTTGAATTGTAAAAACTTAAAGTAAAAAGAAGGAATTAGTGCTTCACACATGGAAGGATGGGAAAAGATAACCTGAATTCACAGGTGGTGTCTGGTGTTTCAGGACTGTCATTGTCCTGGGGGATTAACTGGGCCAGTGGTTCTCAACCTTGGCTGCTGACATAGTTTGGATGTTTGTCTCCTCCAAATCTCATGTGGAAAAGTGATCCCCAAGGTTTGAGGTGGGGCCTAGTGGGAGGTGTTTGGGTCATGGGGTCAGATCCCTTGTGAATGGGTGACCTGCCCTTGGTAATGAGTTAGTTCTTGTTCTATTAGTTCATCAACAGTTGGTTGTTAAAAAGGATATGGGGGCTGGGCGTGGTGGCTCATGCCTGTAATCCCAGCACTTTGGGAGGCCGAAGCAGGCAGATTACCTGAGGTCAGGAGTTTGAGACCATCCTGGCCAACATGATGAAACCCCGTCTCTACTAAAAATACAAAAATTAGCCAGGCGTCATGGCCTGTGCCTGTAATCCCAGCTACTTGGGAGGCTGAGGCAGGAGAATTGTTTGAACTCAGGAGGTGGAGGTTGCAGTGAGCCGAGACTGCGCCACTGCACTCTAGCTTGGGTGACAGAGTGAGACTCCATCTTAAAAAAAAAAAAAAAAAAAAAAGCCAGGCTCGTTGACTGACACCTGTAATCCCAGCACTTTGGGAGGCTGAGGCAGGTGGATTGTCTGAGGTCGGGAGTTAGAGACCAGCCTGATCAACATGGAGAAACCCCATCTCTATTAAAAATACAAAATTAGCCAGGTATGGTGGCTCGTGCCTTTAATCCCAGCTACTCGGGAGGCTGAGGCAGGAGAATCGCTTGAACCCAGGAGGCAGAGGTTGTGGTGAGCCGAGATCGCACCATTCCACTCCAGCCTGGGCAACAAGAGGGAAACTCTATCTCAAAAAAAAAAAAAAAAAAAAAAAGAGAATATGGGGGCTTGGCGTGGTGGCTCATGCCTGCAATTTCAGCCCTTTAAGAGGCTGAGGCGGGAGGATCGCTTGAGCCCAGGAGTTTGAGACCAGCCTGGGCAATATAATGAGACCTAATCTCTAAAAAAATTAAACAAAAAAGGATCTGGGACCCCCTGCTCTCTCTCTTGCTCCCTTTCTCATTGTGTGACATGTCTGTTCCCCTTTTGCCTTCTTCTATGAGTGAAAGCTTCCTGTAGCCTCACTAGAAGCCGAACAGATGCTGGTGCCACGTTTGTACAGCCTGCAGAACTGTGAGCCAAATAAACCTCTCTTCTTTATAAATTACCCAGCCTCAGGTATTCCTTTATAGCAATGCAAAATGGACTAACACAGCTGTGCATTAGACTTACCTGCGGAGCTTAGGCCTGGGTCCCATCCAAGGGCATTGTGATTTGATTGATATAGTTGTAGACTGAACATCGAGATTTTCAAAAGCTCTCTTGGGCATTCCAATATGCTTGCAGAGTTGAGAAGCTTGAAACAGGCAGCCTAAATTGGCCACACAGGGTAAATTAGTGCTCCTTGTTTCAATCCGTTGGATAGAAATGAAAGGACTGAACCAGGAAGATTGGCATGTCTTGCTTTCAAATCAGCACTTTCAAAAATCTGTCCATCGTTAGTGTTTGACCACATGGCATATTTATACATTAGATTGCTCACCTTCAAAAAAAAAAGTGACTGTTCTCAAAATCCAATTTAACTCAGCTGGTCCGATCCAGGTAACCAGATTTAGAGTGCTTTTCATGACTTCAGTCACAAGCTCATTTGAGCTGTTGTAAAAATGGAAACGACTTTTTCTATCTTAAGGATGGAGTGAAGGAGAGGATTCTGAAGCTGCAGAAGTGACAAGGGGTGGTCTCAGTAGAAATGACAGCAGTTGCTACTGTGCCTTGAACCTTGGCCACAGTCCCAGCATTGTGCCACATGCTTAATATAAAGTAGGTCCTTAAAACTTTTAAAAGTTGTGAAATATTCCAGACATAGAAAAGGCATAAAGAATAATGGCCAGGTGTGGTGGCTCATGCCTGTAATTCTAGCACTTTGAGAGGCCAAGGCGGGCGGAGCACCTGAGGTCAGGGTTTCCAGACCAGCCTGGCTAACATGGTGAAAACCCATCTCTACTAAAAAATACAAAAATTAGCTGGGCATGGTGGCGGGCGCCTGTAATCCCAGCTACTGTGGAGGCTGAGGCGGAAGAATTGCTTGAACCCAGGAGGCGGAGGTTGCAGTGAGCCGAGATCATGCCACTGCACTCCAGCCTGGGTGGCAAAGCAAAACTCCATCTCAGAAAAAAAAAAAAAAAGAAAGAATAAAATAATGAACACTTTGGTTCCCACCATACAGCTTAAGATTCCAGAGCTAGGCCGGGTGCGGTGGCTCACGTCTGTACTCCCAGCACTTTGGGAGGCCGAGGTGGATGGATCATTTGAGGTTAGGAGTTCAAGACCAGCCTGACCAACAGGGTGAAACGCTGTCTCTACTAGAAATACAAAAAAAATGAGCCAGGCGTAGTGGCGCATGCCTGTAATCCCAGATACTCAGGAGGCTGAGGCACGAGAATCGCTTGAACCCGGGAAGCGGAGGTTGCGGTGAGCCGGCATCAGGCCATTGCACTCCAACCTGGGCAACAAGAGCGAAATTCCATCTCAAAAAAAAAAAAAAAAAAATTCCAGGGCTTAGATTGGTTTTGACTGAATTTGGTGTTTATTATTTCTTTTTACTTTTATCACACACATATATATATAGCTAAATATATAAGATAAATATGTATATTATGTATAGTTATATATAAAATATATATTGGTTATATCCATATAACTAAATAAAATATCACACTCTTTTGCATGTTTTAAGCCACGTGTAAATGATCTCACACTATATGTATTGTTGTACAATTTACTTGTTTTTGCTTAGCATTGTAGTGAGATTCTTTTAATTTCAATTAAAGAGTACTTTCCTTACCATTCTTATATGGGGTTCCTTGGACACCTGTTTCAGAGTTTCTCTAAAATCTAAATCTAGGAGTAGAATTGTTGTATTATATTGTAATATAATACAGTAAGGCTGGGCACGGTGGCTCATGCCTGTAATCCCAGCACTTTGGGAGGCCGAGGCAGGCGGATCACTTCAGCTTACAAGTTCAAGACCAGTCTGAGCAACATGGCAAAACCCTATCTCTACAAAAAATGCATAAAATTAGCCAGGTGTGGTGGTGCATGCCTGTAGTCCCAGCTATTTGGGAGGCTGAGGTGGGAGGATGGCTTCAGCCTGGGTGGCAGAGGTTGCAGTGAGCCGAGACGGCACCACTGCACTCCAGCTTGGATGATAGAGCCAGACCCTGTTTCAAAAAACAAACAAACAAAAAAACCATCAAAACCTAGTATATATTATATGCGTATATAGTATATACTGTACTATAGTATATGTTCATTTATAATCTTATCAGATATTGCCAAATAGGTCAGAAAATTGAACCAGTTTAAACTCTCATTAGCAGTGTGTAAGAGTTTCAGTTCTATGCCTTTACCAACACTTGGTATTGTCAGACTTAAACATTTTTGCCAAATACATTATTTCTAAATTCTCCCAACAATCCTATGATACCTCATAGGATATAAGTTTTATTTCAGGCAAAGAAACTATGTGTCAGATATTAAGCAACTTTTCCAGGGACACAGCAAATAATTAAAAGAGTTGGTTCTAACCCATGTCTGCCAGATTCCAAAGCTCTTGAGCTGCATGAAGTCACTGGAACACAGTAGAGCTTCTGAACCTGTAGCTGGAGATGAGTATCACCAGGTATGAGAGAAGGGTCAAGGACCAGGAGTTAGGAAGGAGTAATAGGAATGGGGGAGAAAGCACATAAAGAAGTATGTAAGGCAAGAAATGCTGGCAATGGCCTGTCTGTGGCACCAGCAGGCAAGGCTGGCACAAGAAAAGGATAACTGACCGGGCACAGTGGCTCACGCCTGTAATCCCAGCACTTTGGGAGGCTGATTCGGGTGGATCGCTTGAGGTCAGGAGTTCGAGAACAGCCTGGCCAATATGGTGAAACCCCGTCTCTAATAAAAATACAAAAATTCACTGGGTGTGGTGGCAGGTGCCTGTAATCCCAGCTACTTGGGAGGCTGAACCCAAGAGGCGGAGGTAGCAGTGAGCCGAGATCACGCCATTGCTCTCCAACTTGGGTGACAGAGCCAGACTCTGTCTCAAAAAAAGAAAAAAAAAAAAGGAAAGGAAAGAAAAGAATAACTATGACAATTAAAAAAAATTTTTTTAAAGAGATGAGGTCTCACTGTGTTGTCCAGGCTGGAGTGCAGTAGTGCCATCACAGCTTACTGCAGACTCCAACTCCTGGGCTCAAGCGATCCTCCCATTTCAGCCTCCCAAGTAGCTGAGGCTACAGGTGTGCCACGGTGCCTGGCTAACTGTGACAATTTAAGAATGGCCAGTTTCTTTGACACTCTTCCCATAGAGGTGGGATCTATGTCCCCGCTCCTTAAAACTGGATGGGCTCTAACTGCTGTGAGTCATAGAATTTGGTAGAAGCGACTGCCAGTTTCCAGGTTCAGGTCTTAGGAGTCTGGCAGCTTCCACTTCCTGTGTCTTGGAACACTTGCCCTGGGGAAAAGTAGCTTCCATAAAAGAAGCCTGACTACCCTGAGACTGCTGTGTTGTGAGGTAGTCCAAGCAGATTCATGGAGAGGAATCAAGATCTCTTTCCCCTTCTCTCTCCAGCCAACATCCTTGGCAGAGCTGTGAGCCAACAGCCAGCCCCAGCCTGCCAGCCGTGTGAGCAAGCAGTCTTGGAAGGTGATTCTACAGCCCCAGCTGAAACACTCCAACTGATGCCATGTGAGCCGAGAAGAGCAGCCAAACTGAGCCCTTCTCAAATCCCTGATCCTCCAAATGTAGGCAAAATAAATTGCTGGTTTTAAGCCACTAAGTTTTGATATAGATTGTTATGTAATAATAGATATCAGAGCTCTAGCTAAGGCAGGTGCTGAAGGGAAGATGTTTTTATCATTCATAGATATCACAAAATATGTATATTTAATGCATTTCAAAATTTTAGTTCTAACCAATACAATTCTTTGGAGTTTACTTTTCCCGTTATAGAAATGGTACATTATAAATCACCTACCTGCGAGTCTCAATCTACTCTTGTTATTTTTCTATGTTCCGTTCTAGTATTTGCTTTAAGTGCATATTTAATTTGTAATTAAATATGTAATTATGAAATAGATATAATTTAGATTTCTCGTGTCATGTCATTTTTAGATGGGATTGGCCAATGGAAATCAGACAGTAATTACAGTGGTATGAAATTAGTCATAGCTTGCCTTAATTAATTTTTTGTTTATTTTTTTTTTTGAGGCAGAGTTTCGCTCTTGTCACCTGGGCTGTAGTGCAGTGGCATGATCTTGGCTCACTGCAACCTCCGCCTCCCAGGTTCAAGCAGTTCTCCTGCCTCAGACTCCCGAGTAGCTGTGATTACAGGAGTGTACCACCAAGCCTGGCTACTTTTTGCATTTTTAGTAGAGATAGGGTTTCACCATGTTGGCCAGGCTGGTCTCAAACTCCTGACCTCAGGTGATCCCCCTCCTCAGCCTCCCAAAGTGCTGGGATTACAGGCATGAGCCACCTCACCTGGCCTGCTTTAATTTAACACTCATTTGCTTTCACTTATTTACTCTTTGCAATAACTCAATCTGGAAGTTTGATCTTACAGATGAGAGGACTAAGGCATTGTAGAGGTAAAGAAGGCAATCCAAGGTCACACGGCCAGAACATTAGGGAATGTACCAGTGCAGTGGTGGGGAAAGTGAAAGCAAAGCGGAGACAGTTTACCAGGTGCCCACACACAGAGAAAACTTCCAACCAGTAAGGTGGGAGCATTTCCAAATCTAAGACAAATGAGACTACTAGATGCCAATTGGATTGCTCCTCCTAAGGAGAATCTGAGTGCATGGAAAATTATTTACGGACCATTGAAACCATTTTGGTGTGTGCTTTGGCAATAGCTCCTCCTGAAAAGCATGCAGCCGGCAGAAGATCTGGATACCACAGAGACTGAGATTCTACATGTGTTCAGAGACCGGAGTCCCTACCACAGAACCTGTGACCTGTGCTTCTAGGGTCTTCAAAGTCAATAAAAATCAGCAGGTGATTGAAGGAGAAGGAAAATAAAGCACAAGGGAGGTGATTTGGGGCTTTGTAGAAATGCCTCTGTTACCCATTTCTGGGGTTTTATTGCTGGAGCCTTGTACTCTTGGTGAGATCTCCTAAGGTGAAGTGTTGGATTTAAAACAGTCTGATAGGCCAGGCGCGGCGGCTCACACCTGTAATCCCAGCACTTTGGGAGGCCAAGGTGGGCGGCTCACTTGAAGTCAGAAGTTTGAGACCAGGCCAACATGGTAAAACCCCGTCTCCACTGAAAATAGAACAATTAGCTGGGCATGGTGGTGGGAGCTTGTAATCCCAGCTACTCGGGAGGCTAGGCAGGAGAATTGCTTGAACCCGGGAGGCAGAGGTTGCAGTGAGCCGAGACTGCACCACTGCACTCCAGCCTGAGCAAAACTCTGTCTCAAAAAATAAAATAAAATAAATAAACAAATAAATAAAACAGTCTGATAGGCCAGCCTGGTGGCACAGGCCTATAGTCCCAGTTACTTGGGAAGTGAGGAGGGAGGACTACTTGAGCCCAGGAGTTTGAGGCCGCAGTGAGCCGAGATCACACCACTGCACTCCAGCCTGGGTGACAGAGTGGAACCCTGTCTCAAAAAAACGAACAAAACAAAACAGTCTTGAGGTGCAAGCATAATTAAAATGGCATTGATATTGCTGCCGTTTTCTGAATGCCTGGCATGCAATGCTGGCTTTCCCAGTGCAACCCATTGCCTGTAGCAGCTTGGTCTACCCTGACCGCTGAGGGAATCTTCAGGCATGCTGGTACCATAACAGGTCAAGCCTTGCTTTGCCCCCTGCCTCTGTGAAAGAGAGGGCTCATCTTCTATCCTTTTGGCCTCCACCACACCTTGCAGAACTTTATGCCGAGCAGAGCAGATGTCATGGGTAGGAGCTGCTGATCTACTTGATGGTGACACAAAACTGCTGGGACCTGTGTTGAGAAACATGTTTTGGAGAGCAGCAGAGGCTGTCCAGGCATTACCTTTGCAAAGCCACTGGGCTGGCGCTAGGCTAGGACTTGCTTCATTGCTGGGTTCCTCCTGAGGAGCCCTCCTGTCACCCAGGCGCAGCCAAGCATCTCAGGAAGGCAGTGGCTATGGCAGACCAGCTTGCTTCATCAGGGCACTTTTTGCTGTAATAGCCACAATTATTTCCCAGAAAAAACATTTGTCACGGGAACCCCGTCACTTAGAGCTTTGTGTGTGCGCTTCATTGAGGGACTGGCCAGCACGTGCAGCAAGAACCTGGCTTTGCCTGACAGAGGCAGATGATATTAGGAGACTGTTGAAGACATAGGAAGCAAAGCTTCTCGAATGACACCAGTATTTGGAGACTGCTTCCTTTTGTGTCTCTTTGGGAAGTTTGATGCAGTGGATACTTGTGGATATCCCGGCATCTGTTCCCTCTTCCCTTTCCCCTTCCCAGCAGGCTCAGACTTCCAGTGGGGGTGTTGCTGGATGATTTAGGAACCAGGGATACCGAGGGGTTGAGGAGGATTTATTATTATTATTTAGGTGCATCGGCCCAGTCAGATTAACATTTTAAAAGACTGAGCCCCGAACAAAGAGTCAATCCCTTTGGGAAGTTTGATGCAGTGGACACTTGTGGATATCCCGGCATCCGTTCCCTCTTCCTTTTCCCCTTCCCAACAGGCTCAGACTTCCAGTGGGGGACTTCAGTGATTCCAGCTCTAAGCCCATCAAGGCATGCCAATTCTGTCTTCCGGGATGGGCATGTGAACAACTCTAGTCCATTCAGGGTGAATCTCAGGACTTTTGCGGGGATTTTGGAGCAAAGAACTTTCTGCTGCTTTTTTTTTGAAATGGAGTCTCGCTCTGTCGCCCAGGCTGGAGGGCAGTGGTGCGACCTCGGCTCACTGCGAGCTCCGCCTCCCGGGTTCACGCCATTCTCCTGCCTCAGCCTCCAGAGTAGCTGGGACTACAGGTGCCCGCCACCATGCCCGGCTAATTTATTGTATTTTTAGTAGAGACGGGGTTTCACCATGTTAGTCAGGATGGTCTCGATCTCCTGAACTCATGATCCGCCCTCCTCGGCCTCCCAAAGTGCTGGGATTACAGGCGTGAGCCACCGCGCCCGGCTCTGCTGCTTTTAAAAGGAGAGCATGCAGCCCCAGGTGTTCCTCTGGAGAACACAGGAGTCCAGGCCTGTACCCAGGATGCCACTCCCATGGGGAAGACAGCAGGGAGCCAAGGAAAGCAATGGGTCCTGGCAACATCATTGAGCTGTTGGATGAAGCCTTCCTGCGGACTTTTCTGTGATGTGGGCCTATACATTTCTTTTATTGTTTAAGCCAGTTTGAGTTGTGCTTTTCGTTTCTTGAAACTGAAACCATCCTAACTGGTACCCCTGGGATACCAGTCACTACTTCTCTCTGAGCTGTTGGATGGTCAGAGACAAAGCTCCAGCCCCTGGCATGGGGGAAACAACTTGGTAACAAAGGCTAGGCCCTTCTGAGAAGACAGAACTGAAATGCTGGCAGCCCTTGCTGTGGGCTCCTCGGGACAGGCCGCCCTGAGCTGCACATCCCAGTAGTTGCTGGAAGAGGTGGGACCGTCCCTTCCAGACATGAGGGGGACCGAAATTCCCTGTCCTGAGGGAGTGTACCATCAGTCATGCCCATTAGACATAACTGAGGCTTGAACGGTTAATTCCCTAGTGGGCTTTATTTAACTACTTGTGAAACAACGGAAGCCTAGATACCCTGTAAATAATCACAAAGATCCTGTCCTCCCATCCCCATTCTTTCTCCATCCTGACTTAGTAATACCAGCAGCTCAAAACACTGCCCCACTTCCTGTTTTTGTTTTCTGTAGCTCCTTCCCGCCAGGTTTACCAGATGACCCTGGAGATAGGCTTCCAGGTCCTATCAGGCGCCCTTTCTCCTATCAGCCTCAGGCAGCTATGCGCCTGCTGGTCCCACCCAATGTGCAACTCCCTGACTCGAAGGTGGGGCTCTCCCTTGCCCCAGATTCTGCGTGGGTCTCTCTTGTTGCATTCTCACCTGATAGCTCAAAAAGATTAACTGTCCTCTGTGGTGGATTAAAAAAAAGAAAGAGGTGGGGAGAGCAAGAACATAAACTGATTTAAAAGTTAATACAAAACTGCAATAATGCAAACAGTTTGGTGCTACTAGTCCAAGAATAGACATCAACTCATTGGAACAGAATAGAAAGGCCTGAAATAGACGCAAGGATATATGATATATGGGAATTTACTGTGTGGTAAAAGTGATATTTTAAATCACTGGGAAAAGGAAAGATTCTCAACTGTGGGTGGTTTTGTCTCCCTGGGAGCACTTAGCAATGTCTGGAGACATTTTTGGTTGTCACAACTGAGGGGATGCAACTGGAATCTGATAGAGGTCAGAGGCGCTGCTAAACATCCTACAGTGCAAGAATAGCCTCCCACAGCAAAGAATTACCCAGCCCAAAACGTCCCACAGTGTCACTGTGGTGAAGTCTTGGGATACATGAGATAGTGGGAACAACTGGCTAGCCATTTGGGAGAGGAAAACGAAGTTAGATTCTGAATCATACCACAACTTAAATAATTTCAAGTCAGGTAAAACCTAAATTTTAATAAGTGGAATCATTAATAAGATCCATAATAAATTTAGAAGAAAACACAGATAAGTTCATCCTTATGGTGTAAAGATTTTTCTAACCACACAAAGCACAAACGTAAAGGAAGTACTCAGAGGTTTAACTCAATAATCATAAAAAAACACTACGCAGACAATATAAAAGACTAATAAGAGCTGCAGCATGTGAGACAAGGAATTAATGTCCTTAATATGCAAAGAGCTCATAGAAATGAGAAGACAATAGACTTCAGAAGAAAAAATGGGCAAAGAAAAGGTAGGATGAGGAAAGTTATTAAAAACTAAGACATATGGTCAGTAACCCAGGAACAAGTTTCAGTTTTCTGCAGTAAGCACAGAAGGGGAAGTTTTACCTATTAAACTGGCAAAGATGAAGAAAATGATAGAACCCCAATTGTATTAGGAAGGGTTGAAGAAATGGGTACTCTCATGTATTGCTGGAGGGGTGGAAAGTTACAACATTTTGGAGAGCAGTTGTCAAAATCATAAATAGCCCGGTGGCTCACGCCTGTTTGTTTATCTGCATTGAGGGGTGGGAAGTGGAGGTAGCTGGAGTATCTGACTCTTTCAGATGAAAAACCTAAGACTTTTATTTTGGACAGGGATTTTTCAAGCCTCCTTCTGCCTGTGCCACATTCTGCAAGATTCAAGGAGAAGAGAACAGAAGAAATAGAGTTCTAATAACTCCATCCATCCAAGTAGCTCATTGCTGTACCAGTACTGTCCAGTAGGAACATAATATGAGCCCATATGTAACTGTAATTTCTCTAGAAGCCACATTTTAAAAAGAAACAGGCAAGCTGGGTAAGGTGGCTCATGCCTGTAATCCTAGCACTTTTGGAGGCTGAGGTGGGAGGATTGCTTGAGCCCAGGAGTTTGAGCCAGACTGGGCAACATAGAGAGACCCCATCTCCACAGAAAAATTAGCTGGGTACAGTGACATGCCTTTAGTCCTAGCTACTCAGGAGGCTGAGATGGGAGGATTGCTTGAGTCCAGGAGTTGGAGTTTGCAGTGAGCTATGATCATGTCATTGCGCTCCAGCCTGTGCGACAGAGTGAGACCCTGTCTCAAAAACAAACAAACAAACAAACAAAACAGATGAAATTAATTATTATTATTATTTGAGACCGAGTTTCGCTCTTGTTGCCCAGCCTGGAGTGTAATGGTGCCATCTTGGCTCACCGCAACCTCCGCCTCCTGGGTTCAAGCGATTCTCCTGCCTCAGCCTCCCGAGTAGCTGGGATTACAGGCATGCACCACCATGCCCAGTTAATTTTGCATTTTTAGTAGAGATGGGGTTTCACCATGTTGGTCAGGCTGGTCTTGAACTCCTGACCTCAGGTGATCCATCTGCCTTGGCCTCCCAAAGTGTTAGGATTACAGGCGTGAGCCACTGTGTCTGGCGAGAATTAATTTTAATAATATGTGCTTTAACCTAATATATCAAAAATGTTATTTCAACACATAAGCAACATAAAAATTACTGAGGGACTTGATAACAGTTTTTGGTACCGGCCTTGAAATCTGGTGCATATTTTCCACTTAGAGCACATGTGAATTGGGACTAGCCACACTTCCCGGGCTCATTAGCCACAGTGGTTAGTGCTTACCATAATGGACAGTGCAGCTGTAAGCCTGATGAGGTAGGCAGGGCTTATTTCCCCCTTTTACAGATGGAAAAAGAGGTTCAGAAACCTACAGGTGTTCCTTGGCTGAGCAGGAACCCAGGGCCCAAGCCTTCCTGCTCCCCACAGGCGGCTCCTCCCATTCTCTGACTTCCTTCCACAGCCTGAAGCACAGTCCTGGCCTCCTTGCAGCTCACAGGCAATTGGAGAGGCAGAACCAACTTCAGCTCCAGCGTAAGGACTACCGTGACTGCAGTGGAGCGGGGCTTACCAAGCAGGGAGGGGGCCGTGAAGGCGGGAGGAGACAAGGCCAAGTTATCTCTCAGCGTCAGAATGACTTTGGCTATGAGCTTCGTGTAGGCAGGGCTCCCCAACAAGCTGCTCAGGCAGCAGATCTCCTGAGACCTTCCTGAGGAGCCATCTGCCAGCACTTTTTCTTTTTGTTTTGTAAGACAGGGTCTCGCTCTGTTGCCAAGGCTGGGCTCAAGTCCACCTACCTCAGCTTCCAAGTAGTTGGGACTACAGGCGCACACCAGCATGCCCTACTAATTTTTATTTATTTATTGTTTTTTAGAGATGGGGTCTTACTATGTTGCCCAGGCTGGTCTCAAACTCCTGAGCTCAAGCAGTCCTCCCACCTTTGCCTCCCAAATTGCTGGGATTACAGGTGTGAACCACCATGCCTCGCCTACCTGCCAGCTTTCTATACGTTTAACTCGTGGTGTTTGTCTGCACACAGCATTTCATGTTTCCATGAGACTTGGCCCCTCCAGAGAGACTCAAAGTGCCCGGCAGAAAGAAGACAAGGCATCCATTAAAATAACAATGATAACATTCCCACAAATATGGTAGCAGCGCGTGTCTACCCAGGGCAAAGTAGTTCTACCATTGACAGTGCCGTATTTCTCCAGCATCCCCGGGAGGCAGGTTGGATGTGCATTATTTCCCATTTTGGGGGCCATTCTCCACTGCCCCCAGGCCCTGTGTTGGCCTTCTGGAGTAGCACTGACTGCCCTCACGCCAGGGTCCTGCTGTCCACTCGGGGTCTGCAGGCTGGTTTTCCCTGGAAATGGCTAACTCAGAGATTATTTGATGTGATCCATAAATTTAGGTGCTTTTTCTAACAAAAGTTTTATTACAATAAAAGTAAATCCAGAAAAATTTTTTTGAAAAGCAAATACTGGCCAATCACAAGCTCTTAGCTCTACAGACAAACGTGTAAGCTAAGGGATGGCGTGGCCATGGGTTATACGCGGAGGCTGTGCTGCTGAGCAAGCCAGGGGAGGGCTGAGAATGAAAAGACAACATCTGAGCCTGGCCCTGCCACTCAACATAGAGACTTCAAAGATGTCTCTGTGGATGTCGCAAAGAGCTAAATATGTTTTAGTTAATTTCAATGCTATAGCCAATTATATCTAACGATGTCAAACAGTACTAGTCAATGAATTAGATCTTTAAAGTGCTTTTCTGAATTGATGCACAATTTTACAGCATGACCTTGAGCCTGGATAAAATATGTTCCCTGCTTTGAACCTTGCTGTGAAGATCAACTGTATTAGTTTAAAGGAAAGTGCTCTGTAAACCAGGAGGTTACAACAAATACATATAGGTTGTTATTATGATTAATCATCCTCATTAATTTTTCTTTAACTTAGCTGCAACTGGTATTCATCTTCGTAGTTTTTGTGAGAATCTTCTCATCAAAAAGCCTCTGTAGTCCTTTCAAAAAAATTTCCCCCCCCCCCCCACAGGCCCTCAGTAACAGTTTTTGAGACAGGGTCTGTCTGTCGCCCAGCGGGGAGTGCAGTGGTGCAATCTCAGCTCACTGCAACCTCTGCCTCCCTGGCTCAAGCAATCCTCCCGCCTTAGCCTCCCGGGTAGCTGGGACCACGGGCGTGCCCCACCATGTCTGGCTACCTTTTGCATTTTTATAGAGGCAGCAACTCAACACGTTGCCCAGGCTGGTCTCACACTTACGGGCTCAAGCGATCCCGCCACCTCACCCTCTGAAAGTGTTAGGATTATAAGCATGAGCCACCATGCCTGGCCAGCCTCTGCAGTCTTAAGTTTCCTGCATAAAAAATATTTATTTTTCCCTCAGCCCAGAACCCATCTTCTCATTCTGGCACCTAAGAACCAGGAGCAGGCTGGAGCAGGAACTGACTCACTGTGACCTTTCGCTCTTGACCACTCCTTTTTTTACAGTCAGGGTATGTTTCCACACACGCCTTTCCATGCCCTCTTCTCCCTGGGCCACCCTACCTTTCACCCCAGGCCCCAGTGATCAAGACAGGTGGGGACTGAGTTCATGGCTCCTGCCCTGGAGTGAAGAGGGAGTGAGTTGAGAGCAAAGGCCAGGGTCCCCCCCGGCCCCTCTCCCCACTGCCAGAGGAGAGTAGGGTCAGGCCAGAGCTCCAGGATTCTGCTGTTGGTGGGCTCTGACTACACAGTGGGGGGCACTCGCCGGAGGCATCGTCTGGAGGTGGAAAGTGGATCTGCCGACAGCCATCGTGGGTGTTCCGTCCTTGAGTCTGCTTTTCATGATGTTACTCATCTGTTTGCCTGTGGGGATGAACATCAAATTCCGAAAACAAAATGAAGCCAGTGGCCAGCCCACACCGCTGTGCCCTCCTGATGAAGATGCCCTGAGCTAGGCAGTTGGCCCGCCTCAGAGTGATGAAGGCAAGCTTGTTGTCACCCTCCTTTCCTGAGCCTGCCCAGGACCTGCAGGGAGAGTAGGCAGAGGAAGGCTACTTCACCCCCTCACCTGGACCTGGTCTCCTTTGATGCTGGCACAGAGGATGTGAGGAGTCTGATAGAGGCTGTCTGATTTTCTCTAGGGTCCTGAATATAAATGGACAACAACGGTGGTCATACTCTTCCATCATTCATTCATAAATACCCCCAAGCATACACACACAAGTAATTGTAACTGGGTGCACTGCTGCACACCTGAAGTCCCAGTTACTCTGGAGCCTGTAGTCCCAGTTACTCCAGAGTCTGTAGTTCCAGTTACTCTGGAGATTGAGGCAGGAGGATTGCTTAAGAACAGGAATTCACGTCCTAGATCCTGGGCAACATAGTGAGACCTCTGTGTAAACACACACACACACACACACACACACACACACATAAATATAACCTACATATCAAATTTTCACTCAAAACCTCCTCTTCTATTTATGTTTTTAAACCAGGCCAGGCAAGGTGGCTCACGCCTGTAATGCCAGCAACTCAGGAAGCTAAGGTGGGAGGATGGCTAGGAGTTTGAGACCTGCCTGGACAACATAGCAAGATCCTGTTCCTAAAAAAAGTTTTAAAAATTACCCGGGCATTGTGGTATGCACCTGTAGTCCCAGCTACTTGGGAGGCTGAGGTGGGAGGATCACTTGCGTCCAGGAGATTGAAGCTGCAGTGAATTTTGACCGTGACACTGCTCTCCAGCCTGGGCAACAGAGTGAGACCCTGTCTCTTAAAAAAAGAAAAGATATGCCAAATAAAAACTTTAAAAAAAGTCTGCAGTCCTGACAGCCCACCAAATTAAGATTCTCAGCTGACGTTAGCAGACTACCAGTTCCTCACCACCTGCTTCTTCCAAAGACTCTGCCTTTTGCCAGAATGCATATATTACTTTATCTTTTCTCTCATGTACACATTCTGATATATTTGTAGATGTATTACTTTTCTTTTAAAAATAATTATTTTAAACTTAAAAAATGTAAAGATAATACATGAATATGGTAAAAAAAAAATTCAAACAGCATGGAAAAATGTAAAATGAGAAGAAAAAGTCCTCCTCCCCATGGCATTCTCATTTCTCAGGGACAGCCACTGTGAACAGATTGGTGAGTATCTTTCCCAACATTCACAATGTCTGATATGCATGTTTGATGTCACCCCAATAAAACCGGGTGTCCATGCTCTTGCCTTAGCACAGTGACTGTGGAAAAGAAATACAAATCTGACCTCATGTTTGAACTAGTCTAGTTCTTTACTTAAGATCCCCGGAGGCCGGGCACAGTGGCTCATGCCTGTAATCCCAGCACTTTGGGAGGCCGAGGCGGGTGGATCGCGAGGTCAGGAGATCGAGACCATCCTGGCTAACACAGTGAAACCCCGTCTCTACTAAAAAATACAAAAAATTAGCTGGGCATGGTGGCGGGCGCCTGTAGTCCCGGCTACTCGGGAGGCTGAGGCAGGAGAATGGCGTGAGCCCAGGAGGTGGAGCTTGCAGTGAGCCGAGATTGCGCCACTGCCCTCCAGCCTGGGCGACAGAGTGAGACTCCATCTCAAAAAAAAAAAAAAAAAAAAAGATCCACGGAGAGTGCTAAGGACAGAGGCGCACAACACACATATATGTGTCTCAGGATTTGCAGCTGTAAGCAACGGCAATCACTGTTTTCTGTTAGACAATACTGGTGCTCATAGAATCTCTGGATAACTCACAGCTAGGAGGCTCTGCAGACGAGACCAACCCCCAGAATCATGTGGCAGATTGGTCTGGTTAGAATATGACCACAGACATAGGCACTGGTGGCTGCAGCTTGCAACACCACGACACCCACTCTGGGTCCTGGTTGCTGGCTGCGTGGACCGCTCCAACTGCCACCCAGGAGACTGGAGGTATTGCCACCACTGCCACCTCATGGACTGAGTGGGTTTTACAGAGTGCCTCATGTGACTAATTTCTTTTTCTTTCTTTTTTTGAGACAGGGTCTCGGCTCACTGTAGCCTCAACCTCCCAGGCTCAGGCAATCCTCCCACCTCAGCCTCCCAAGTAGCTGGGACCACAGGCACGCACCACCACGCCCAGCTAATTTTTGTATTTTACTGTGGAGACGGTTTCTCACCATGTTGCCCAGGCTCATGTGACTAATTTCTGATTCAGACACAGGGTGAGTACATTTGATTGGTGGAGTCACGAGTCCCAACCCTCCCTGCAAGGAAAACTGAGGACATGAGTCTCTGGCATTTTCAGCTTCTGCTGTGAAGGGAATTCTGCCTTCTGAAGACGGGGTTCCTTTAACAGACAGAGGATCAGACGCTGGGTGGCTCGAAAGAATGAAAATTGCCTTCTACAATACCACCCTACAAAGCTTCCTAAAAAAACTGTTTTTTCTCTGACCCCCAAGTGTCTTCCTCTCTCTTTCTCTTAGGTCCCCTCTCTCCTTGACTCTCCATCCTACCGTCTGCTTTTTCTACTGCCTTGTGGAGTTCCCTGATTCCTTAGAGGGTGGTGGGGAAACTGAACACTTCGGCTTTATATGTGTGCTCATATACATATGAGCAGGCCTAAAATATGTGTGCAGTTTTTACACAAGGGATGTCGTAGTCTGCCCAATGTTTGGCACCTTACTTTGAACAGCACAGATAAGGGATCACTCCATTTTCATACAGAGTGCTGCCTTATTATGTTAGATGGCTGAACAGTGAATGAACCATGATTTCTTCTTTTTTTTTTTTTTTTCCTGGAAGCATGCTAGATGGCTCACCATGATTTATTTAGTACATCTTCCCCTGATGGCCATTAGGTTGTTGGGAGCCTTTAGTAACTGAAACAGTACTGCACCCTGGTGCATGTGTATTACTCGTCTGTGTTAAGTAGGGATGTTGCTTAGCCCAGCTGGAGGAGAATTCTAGTTTTTAACACTCCTGGGTGTGAAGTCACAGTGGGCTGGATGGGCCTCCCAGCGCCTGCTTCCAGAGAAGTCTCTATATGCCTCGTGGGTGGATGTAGAACCTGGGAGTGAGGCTTGGCAGGAAATCTGCAGTGAGAAATGTCACAACCCAAACAGTAACTCATACACAGAGCTTCGCATGTCTCATTCCACAAGGATCAGCAGCTGGACCATTACCTGGAGCTATAGACTTGATGAAAGCCCCAGAAATGGCTAAGGCAGAGGAAGTGCCTGGGAGTTGTTTGGCAATTTGACACAATATCTTTTAGATATTTTTAAAGCCACTGAGCAAATCAAATCCTCAAGTTTAGGGATGGATTCAAAGGCCAGTCCTTTCACTATCGGACTGGAATGATTTTTAGTCATCTTACCTCTCAGCATTTACTCCTTTTCCCAGATGCAGCAGCCCCACCTCCTTCCAGGGAGTCACCTGTCCAGGTCAGGTGCCTCCTCAGGGGAAGCATCCCTCACCCGCCAGATTGCCAGGGCGTGTGACTCTATCTGGGCCAACCACATCCTCTCTCCTGGACTTTGACTGCTGCGAGGAGTGAGGCTAGAACCAGAGAAACCTAGCTGATGCTGACTCATGCTGGAGGTTCCTGCGGAGTGAGCATCAGAGCTCATGAGCTCATCTCCCTAGAAACCAGCATGCCTGAACTTGACCTCTGGCTTCTGCAGCCAGGCGGCAACTGTAACAACAGCAACTCCCTCCCTACTCCTCAGGGCCCATATCTGCCCAGCTTCTCCTGCCTTGGTCCAGTGTGGTCTGTACTCCTCCTGTGCTGTCCTCCCAGCCCCTCCACCATTCTGGCTTCCTGTTAGGTAGAGACCCCCTTGACCCATCCCATACCTCCCTCACTTCCATGCCCACCTGGGAGCTGCAACCAGAGCCAGCTAAAGCTCTGCATCCCCCAACCCAAGTACACCTTCATTGTCCCTCCAAAGCCCTGTCTCACCTCAATGAGATGCCTCACTGAGATGCTGGAACCATTTCATCCTCAGTAATTGGGGTCAGTTTCTCCCCAGTCCTGTGACTTCTGCCTCTTGTCACCCTGAGGGCAGGCAGGAGAGCCCTGGTGTGGCAAAGCTGGTTGGGGAGCAAATGGGCACAGGAGAGAAGAGGGAAGGTGTGGGAGGATGAGTCACTGGCAGAGTGGGCAGGGGCGCTAAGGAAGGGAATGAGTGCATGGACCTGGGCTTGATGGTTCAGCTACTGAACACCAAGATGCTGCAATTTGAGAGTTCCAGAAAGTTCTCCCTACTTAGCACTAGCTATTTTACCAGCCTGGGTTAATATAGGATCTTTAGATCCCTTGAGAAGATGAAAATATTTAAATTGTGACCCCATTAAAATCCAGGCACTATCATTTGGATTTGTTCATAACTCAGACCCAGCAAAGACCAAGCAGTAAGAGGATGAGACACCGGCCTGCTGGCTCCAGAAGAAGAAAAACAAATCAGAAAATCTGAATTTGAGGCCCGGTTTCCAATTTACTACTGAGCCACCTTAAGCAAGGTGTTTGATTTTTCTAAACACCAATTCTCTCATCCACATCAGGTCTCTCCTGCTGTCTGGAGAATGGGTCAAAGTGGGCGAGGGAAGGAATGACCCGGAAGTGAGGCTGGAGGGGCAGGAAAGGAGTGGAGTGCCAGCATTCCTGCTCCGCCCTGCGCTTCCCAGGCACCCCTTACACACACCTCCCTGTCCCCAAAGCCCCCAGCCATGTCTTCATGGAAACGAGGCAGGAAAGCGGAGCAGGCGCAGAGGTGCCCGTTGCTGTACATCTGTAGTTGCTGCATAGAGTGAGAGCAAACCTGGCGCTAAAATTGGTAGCAGGTAAATAGATAAATGAGATGGTCCCAGGAGAGAACTGCTCATGCTCTGAAAGACTCATGTCACCAAAAAGGGCAGACAGAGTGTCCTATTTTTTTTTTTTTTTTTGAGATGGAATCTCCCTCTGTCACCCAGGGTGGGGGGCAATGGTGCGATCTCGGCTCACTGCAAGCTCCGTCTCCTGGGTTCAAGCAGTTCTCCTGCCTCAGCCTCCTGAGTAGCTGGGATTACAGGCAGGTGCCACCACACCGAGCTAATTTTTGTATTTTTAGTAGAGTCAGGGTTTCGCTATGTTCGTCAGGCTGGTCTCGAACTCCTGATCTCAAGTGATCCGCCACCTTGGCCTCCCTAGGTGCTGGGATCACAGGCATGAGCCACCGCGCGCTGCCCACGGTGTCCTACTTAACAAGGCATCTGGCCCAGCCATCATTGGAAATCCACCTGGCTTCAGGTCAGCCCCCATGCAGGGCCCTTTCTGAACTCTTTAGACCCTAGGCTGCTGCCAGTTGGGGTGGGATGGGTGCGGGAGGTGGGTGCTGGGTTTTGTACACCCAGAAGTTTTCAAATGAAACCGTGTTCTAGACATTGGAATGCCCGTGAGGCCTTCAGTAGACCCCACATCATCACCTCTCAGTGCCTGCCCTGACAGGGACTAGGACACGTTGTGAATGTGAGGGGAGCATGGCCATGGGCTGAGCGTGAGCGGCTGTCCCCAGGCTGTCATGTTCAGAAGGCACCTAAGCTTTTAGGGTTTACTGGTTCTTTCCTCCTCCTGGAAGGCCTCCACTGATTTTAAACAAATGGTTAATGCATTTATTTATTTATCTATTTATTTATTTGATTGATTGATTGATTGAGACGGAGTCTCGCTCTATGGTCGCCCAGGCTGGAATGCAGTGGCTCGATCTCAGCTCACTGCAACCTCCACTTTCTGGGTTCAAGCGATTTTCCTGCCTCAGATTCCCAAGTAGCTGGAATTACAGACACCTACCACCATGCCAGGATGATTTTTTTTTTTTTTTTTTTGAGACGGAGTCTCGCTCTGTCACCCAGGCTGGAGTGCAGTGGTGCGATCTCGGCTCACTGCAGCCTTCGCCTCCCGGGCTCAAGCAATTCTCCTGCCTCAGCCTCCCCAGTAGCTGGGATTACAGGGCGCGCCACCACACCTGGCTAAGTTTTGTATTTTTAGTAGAGATGAGGTTTCACCATGTTGGCCAGGATGGTCTCAAACCCCTGACCTCAAGTGATCCACCCTTCGAAGATCCCTGCTCTCTCAGAATTTGTAATATAAACATAATGTTAATGAGAGGTACAACTTAGAGAACTTATCGAAGTCAAAAGAGTGAGATTTTAAAAATACAATACAGTTTTAGTTATAAAAATAATAGATGCAATGTGGAGAAATTGGAATCCTTGTGCACTGCTGGGGGGAATGTATTTTAATTTTAATTTTTAATTTTTTTTAGAAACAGGGTCTCACCGTGGCCCAGGCCGAGTGCAGCGGAGCCGTCATAGCACACTGAAGCCTTGAACTCCTGGGCACATGCGATCCTCCCACTTCATTGTTCCAAAGTGCTGAGATTACAGATGTGAGCCTGACTGGGAATATAAAATGGTATATAACCTCTGTGGAAGACAGTATGACAATTCCCAAAAAGTTAAACATAGATTCAACATATGATCCAACAATTCCTCATTTAGGTCTATACCTCAAAGAATTGAAAGCAGGGATTCAAACAGATAGATAGCTATACACCCATGCTCATAGCAGCATTATTCATGAGGGTCAAAAAGTGAAAACAACCCAAGTGTTTATCAACAGGTGAATAAATAAGCAAAATGTGTTGTATTCACACAATGGAAAGTTATGCAGCCTTAAAAAGAAAGGAAATTGGCTGAGCATGGTGGCGCATGCCTGTAATCCCAGCACTTTGGGAGGCTGAGTTGGGTGGATCACCTGAGGTCAAGAGTTCGAGACCAGCCTAGCCAACATGGTGAAACTCCCATCTCTACTAAAAAATACAAAAATCAGCTGGGCGTAGTGGCAGGTACCTGTAATCCCAGCTAATCGCTGGAACTGGGGAGGCGGAGGTCGCAGTGAGCCGAGATTGTGCCACTGCACTCCAGCCTGGGCAACAAGAGGGAAACTCCATCTCAAAAAAAAAAAAAAAAAAAAAGGAAGGAAATTTTTTGATACATGCTATAACATGGGTGAACCTTGAAAACAATTACACTAAGTGATATCAGCCAGACACAAAAGGAAAAATCCTGTATTATGATTCTATTTACATGAAGTACATAGGAAAATTCATAGAGAAAGAACATAGAATAGTGGTAACCAGAGCCTGAGGGGCAGGGGAAATGAGTTAGTGTCTAATGAGTACAGTTTCAGTGTTGGAAGATGAAATGTTCTGGAGATGGATGGTGGTGATGGTTGCACAGCAATGTGAATGTACTTAATGCCACTGAACCGTACACTTAAAAATGGTTAAGGCCCGGCGTGGTGGCTCACGCCTGTAATCCCAGCACTTTGGGAAGCCGAGTTGGGTGGATCACGAGGTCAGGAGATGGAGACCATCCTGGCTAACACGGTGAAACCCCGTCTCTACTAAAAATACAAAAATTAGCTGGGCGTGGTGGTGGGCGCCTGTAGTCCCAGCTACTCGGGAGGCTGAGGCAGGAGAATGACATGAACCTGGGCAGCGGAGCTTGCAGTGAGCCGAGATCGCACCACTGCACTCCAGCCTGGGCAACAGAGCGAGACTCCATCTAAAAAAAAATTAAAAAAAAAAAGGTTAAAAAGTGGCACATTTTATGTTGTGTATATTTCACCACAACAAAAGACAAAAAAGTGATGAATGCACATAGTAAACATAATTCATTCAAAAAAAGTGAATGTTTTCCAATTGGCTTTCCCACCCTGATTCCCAGTCTTGCTTCTCAGTTACCCATTGTTAGCAGATGCTGGTGGATCCTTCAAGACATGTTATCCCTACGCAAATAGAATCATGCTGTCTACAAAACCGCAACTTTTTTTTTCACTTGCTAATATCACAACCATCTTTCCAATTCAGTATAGGAGCATCAACCTCATTCTTCAGAAGGTTTCATTTTAGGATATTCCGTAATTTAACCAGCTCTTTCTTAATGAACATTTCGGTAATTTCCAGATTTTTGCTCTACAAACTATGCCACGTTACATATCTGTTTGTGCTGCATTAATTATCTTTTACATAGCTGTGGGAATATATCTGTTAGATAAATTCTCAGAAAAAGGATTTCTGGATCAAAGGGCATGTGTGCTAAAAATGTTGGTAGATATTGCAATATTGCCCCACAAAAAGAATACACTAATTTTAATTCCCGCCAATGGGCTAACTCACTGGCCATTCCTCTATTCCTCCCTCCCTCTCTCCATCCCTTCTCTCCCTCCCTTTATTTCCTTCCTTCTACCTAACAAACAGACAAGTAAAAAGTCCTTTTTTTGGCTGGGCGCCGTGACTCACGCCTGTAATCCCAGCACTTTGGGAGGCCAAGGTGGGTGGATCACTTGAGGTGAGGAGTTCGAGACCAGCCTGGGCAAAATGGTGAAGCCCAATCCCTACTAAAAATACAAAAAATTAGTCAGACATGGTGGCAAGTGCCTGTAATCCGAGCTACTTGGAAGGCTGGGGCAGGAGAATTGCTTGAACCCGGGAGGCGGAGGTTGCAGCCAGCCGAGATAGCGCCACTGCACTCCAGCCTGGGCCACAGAGCGAGACTCCATCTAAAAAAAAAAAATGCACTTTTTTTCAAGGTACATAACAGGAATAAAAATAAAATGTATACTGTTTCTCATAGTCTGATGATTCAGGTTTGGTGTGTTTATATGACAGATTATTTTGAAATGTTTGGGCCTTATGCATGATTTTTGTGTTGCCCATACACATTTAAAAAATATATTTTGTTTTAAGGAATGACTGTTGTGCTCAGGGTATAATTTTAGTTTTGGTTGTAATCACCCTTTCTTTATATGATTACTTATTTCCCTGAAGTTTTTAATTTTTTTGAATAGGTAATATATTTCCATGGCTCACAATTCAGAACTAGGAACCAATGTATTGTGAACAATTTATCTCTTTCTCTTATTTCCTGTCTCTAGTTCCTACCACCTTCTCTGTCCTCTGAAATCCTGTTTTTAGTTTCTTATATATTCCTCCAGTTTCTTTATGCAAATGGAAGAAACTTCAAATATAGATTCTTATTCCTCTTTTTTTAAATAAATAATTTCAACTTTTATTTTAGATTCAGGAGGTATATGTGCATGTTTGTTACCTGGATATATTGCGTGATGCTGAGGCTTAGGGTACAATTGATCCGGTTACTCAGGTAGTGAGCTTAGTACCCAATAGTTAGTTTTTCAACCCTTCCCCTCCTCCCTCCCTCCGTCCCTCCCTCCCCTCTCTAGTAGTCCCCAGTGCCTATTGTTGCCATTTTTGTGTCCATGTATATCCAATGGTTAGCTCTCACTTACAAGTGAGGAAATGTGGCATTGGTTTTCTGTTCCTGCATTAATTCACTTAGCATAATGTTCTCCAACTGTATCCATGTTGCTGTAAAGGATGTGTTTCACTCTTTTTTATGGCTGCTTAGTATTCCATACTGTAGAGGTACCACATTTTCTTTATCTAATCCATGGATGAGCACCAATCCATGATTTTGCTACTGTGAATAGCACTTTGATGAACATACAAGTACATGAGTCTTTTGGTAGAACTATTGTTTTCCTTTGGGTATATACCCAGTAATGGGACTGCTGGGTTGAATGGTAAGCTCAGCTTTAAGATCTTTGAGAAATCTCAAAATTACTTTCCACAGTGATTAAACTAATTTACATTCCCACTAACAGTGTCTAAACCTTTTATTTTCTCCACAGCCTCATCAGCTGGTTTTTTTTTAATTTTTTGACTTTGTAATAATAGCCATTCTGACTGGTGTGAGACGGTATCTCATTATGGATTCGATTCCCATTTTTCTGATGATCAGTGGGTGGAGCATTTTTTTCATATGTTTGTTGGCTCCGTGTGTATGTCTTCTTTGGAGAAGTGTTTGTTCATATCTCTTGCCTACTTTTTAATGGGGTTATTTTTGTTGTTGTTGTTACTCCCTTCTTTTTTTTTTTCATGCAGAATGTAGATACTATTTGTTCTGCAAACTTTTCCCCCACAGTTGTTGGTAAATCTTGGAGGTCTTTCCTTACTAGTAGATAGAAAGCTTCCTCATTCTTCTTTTTTTTTTAATTGAGGTATGATTGACATGCCAAAAAGCTGTACATATTCAGTTTGTACATCTTGATGAGTTGAAAATAAATATATACCCATGAAACTGTCACCATAAAAAAGCCATAAACATAACCATCAAATCTAAAAGTTTTCTCTCTTCCTCTTTTTTTGTGGGTGTGATAATGACATTTAATATGAGCTCTGTCCTCTTAACACCATTTTAAGTATACAATACAGTATTGTTAATTATATGTGCCATGCTGTACAGCAGATCTCTAGGACTTGTTCATCTTGAATAGCTGAAGCTTTGTACTTTTTGACCAGCATTTCCCTGTTTCCCTCTCCCCCCAGTCCCTGGTAACCTCACTTTTCAAAGTCGTATGTGTATAAAGTATTGCATTACTGTGGGGCCTTAACTTTATTTAACCAGCCTTCTATTGATGGATATATGCTACTTATTTTACTGTTATAAGCAGTGTTACCATGAGCAGCCTTATATATGTGGACATTTTGGATTTGTACAAATCAATCTGAAGTGTAAAAGTGGAATGGGTCAAAGAAAGGATTGATCTTTTTTTTTTTTTTTTTTTTTTGTAGAGTCAGTATCTTGCTGTGTTGCCCAGGCTGGAGTGCGGTGGCACCATCGTGGCTCACTATGGCCTCAAACTCCTGGGCCCAAGCAATCCTCCCACCTCAGCTTCTCAAGTAGTTAGGACTACATCACAGCCAACTAATTTTAAACATTTTTGGCAGAGATGGGGTATTGCTCTGTTGCCTGGGCTGGTCTCAAACTCTTGAGCTCAAAAGATCCTCCCGCCTCTGCCTCCCAGAGTGCTGGAATTATAGGCATGAGCCACCACACCTGGCTGATTTATCTTAATTTTGATAGATGCTGTCAGATTGCCTTCCAGAAGTGGTTGCATCCATTTACATTCCCACGAATAATGTTTGAAAGTTCCTCTTTCTCCACAGACTCACCAACAGAGAATATTATCAACTAGTTGGATTTTTGCCAATGTGATAGGTGAAAATTATCTGTAGTGTTAATTTGCAGTTATTTTATGAGAGATTTTGATGATCTTATACATTTAAGAGCCAGTTGTTTTCCTTTTCTTTGAATTGTTTGTTCATTTTTCTCTTATTTGGTTATTGATGTTTTTCTCAAAGCTCTTTATGTATTAGGGAGATTCACTCTTGTCTGTGTTACGAGTTGTAAGTTCCTCTTCCCACAGTGTCACATGCTTTTGGTTTTGCTTATGGTGTATTTCATCACTGCCTTCTGAATTATGATTGCTTAAATTTTTTTTTTTAATTTTGAAATAATTTATGACCCAAAGAGTTACAAAGATAGTACAGAGAGTTCCCTTAAATCCTTCTTTCAGCTTCCCCTACTGTCCTCCAGAATTATGGTACAATGACTTTCAGTCAGAAAGGTAACATTGACTCAGTGGAGTTAATTAATACATAGATTTCAGTTGGGTTTCCCTAGTATTCCACCTAATGTCCTTTTTCTGTCCAGCATCCAATCTAGGATCCTGTTTTGATTTAGTAATGATATCCTCTGAATCTCCCATCTGTCACAGTTTCTCAGTCTTTTCTTGCTTTTCATGACGTGGACAGTTTTTAACAGTAATGGTTGGGCATTTTGTAGAATCTTCCTCAATATAAGTCCATTCAATGTTTTCTCATGGTTATATGAAGGTTATGGATTTGGGGGGAGAATAATGCAGAAGTAATGTGCTTTTCTACCAGTGTACCATGTCAGGATACATGATATTAACTCTGATTGCTTGGCTAAGACAGTGTCCAGCTGGTTACTCCACTGTAAAGTTTCTATTTTCCCCCTTGTAATTAACAAGTATTTTGGGGGAGGTACTTTGAAGCTACTGAAATATCCTGATTTTTCTTAAGCTTCTGATGCAGGGCAAGTGAGCCTCCAAATTGGAGATTAGCCAGAGGGGGTTTTTGGCTTTGCTCAGGAAAGAATTCAAGAGTGAGCCAGTGGTGTGAGACAGCAACTTTTATAGATGCGGTAGTGAAGGGCAGCAGCAGAGGAACTGCTTCTTCTGGAGCACGGCTACCCATAGGCAATGTGCCCAGAGCAGCAGCTCAGGGGCAGTTCTGCGGTTATACTTATACGTACTTTATTTATTATCATTATTATTTTATTTTTTGACAGAGTCTCACTCTGTCGCCCAGGCTGGAGTGCGGTGGAGCGATCTCTGCCTCCCTGGTTCAAGCGATTCTCTTGCCTCAGCCTCCTGAGTAGCTGGGACTACAGGCATGTGCCACCACGCCCGGCTAATTTTTTATGTTTTTAGAAGAGATGGGATTTCACCATGTTGGCCAGGCTGGTCTTGAACTCCTGACCTCAAGTGATCCACCCGCCTCAGCCTCCCAAAGTGCTGGGATTACAGGCATGTGCCACCATGACTGGCCTGTATTTTATATACAAATTAAGTGATGGGTTATTCAGAAATTTCTAGAAAAGGAGTCATAACTTCCAGATGTTGCCATGGCAATGGTAAACTGTCATGGCACTGGTGGGTGAGTCTTATGGAAAGATATTTTTGGTGCCTCTTCTCTGTTTCAGCCAGTCTTCAATCTCATCTGGAGTCAAGTCCTGCCTCCTACCTCACTTCTACCCACTAATTTTAGCATTCTTATATGGATCTTGTTACAGACTGGGCCAGCTACATAATTTGTAGGTCTTAGCACAAAGCGAAAATGCTGGGATTGCAGGCCTGAGCCACCGTGCCCCATCAATCATTGCTGTTTTAAAATTAATAAACTTTATCTTTTAAAGCAGTTTTAGTTTCACAGCAAAACTGAGCAGAAGGTGCAGAGTTCCCATCCACCTCTCCCCACCCATGCACAACCTCCCACACTGTGGACATCCCCCACCAAAATATTAAAAATCGATGCACCTGCACTGACTCATCCTCGTCACCCAGAGTTCATAGTTTACATTAGACTTTGCTCTTGGTGCTGTACATTCCATGGGTTTTGACAAATGTATAATTACATGTATCCACCATTATAGGATCATGCAGAATAGTTTCCTGTCCTCAAAATCCTCTGTGCTCTGCCTGTTTGTCCCCTCCCTTCCCCCAACCCTTGGTAACCACTGACTTTTCTGCTGTCTCCATAGTTTTGCCTTTTGAGAATGTCATGTAGTTGGAATCATACTGTATGTATCTTTTTCGGCTGGCTTGTTTCACATAGTAATATGCATTGAAGTTTCCTCCCCGTCTTTCCATGGCTTGATAGCTAATTTCTTTTTAGCAGTAATATTCCATTGTCTTGATGTACCACAGTTTATTTATCCATTCACCTATTGTAGGATATCCTAGTTGCCTCTAAGTTTTGGCAATTATAACTAAATGTGCTGTAAACTTCGGTGTGCAGGTTTTTTTTTCTTTTAGACAGGGTCTCACTCTGTTGCCCAGGCTGGAATGCAGAGGCACAGTCATTGCTCACTGCAGCCTTGACCTGCTGGGCTCAAGCAATCCTCTCACCTCAGTGTCCCAAGTAGCTGGGACTACAGGCATATGTCACCATGCCTGGTTAATTTAAAAAATTGTTTTAGATATGTGATTTCCCTATGTTGCTCAGGCTGGTTTCAAACTCCTGGGCTCAAGCAATCCTCCAGCCTTGGCCTCCCAAAGTGTTGGGATTGCAGGTGTGAGCCACCATGCTTGGCCTCTCTGTGCGGATTTTTCTGTGGACATAAATTTTAAATTCATTTGAGCAAATATCAAGTAATGTGACTGCTGAAACATATAGTAAGAATATGTTTAGCTTTGCAAGAAACTGCCAAATTGTCTCCCAAAGTGGCTGTACCATTTTGCATTCCCCACCAAAAATGAATGAGAGTTCTTGCTGCTCCATATTTTCACCATTATTTGGTGTTGTCAGTGTTTTGGATTTTCGACATCCTAATAAGCATGTGGTGGTACCTCATTATTGTTTTAATTTACAATTTCCTAATGATATATAATGTTGAACATCTTCTCATATGCTTACTTTACCATCTGTGTATCCTGTTTGGTGAGGTGTCTGTTAAGACACCTGTTAAGGTTTTTTGTCCATTTAAAAAACGTTATTTTTTACTTTTTTAGAGACAGGATCTTGCTCCGTCACTTAGGCTGGAGTGCAGTGGCACAATTGTAGCTGACTGCAACCTTAAACTCCTGGGCTCAAGCGACGCTCCTGCCTCAGCCTCTTGAGTAGTTGGGATTACAGGTGCATGCCACTGTTCCTGGATAATAATAATGGTTATTATTATTAATTGTAGAGAAGGGGTCTCGCTATGTTGCTGGGCCTGGTCTTGAACTCCTGGCCTCAAAGTGATGCTCCCACCTTGGCCTCCCTAAGTGCTGGGATTACAGGTGTGAACCACTGCACCCAGCCTTTTGCCTATTTTTAAATTGAGTTGTTTGTTTTCTAGTTGTTGCATTTTAGGTCTTTTTTTTGTCGGGGGCAAAGGGGACGGGGTATCATTTTGTTGCCCAGGCTAGAGTCCAGTGGTACAGTCATGGCTCACTGCAAACTCAACCTCCTGGGCTCAAGCAGTCCTTCTGCCTCAGCCTCCTGAATAGCTGTAACTTTTTATTTTGTTTTGTAGAGATGGGGTCTCACTATGTTGGCCAGGTTGGTATTGAACCCCTAGTCTCAAGCAATCCACCCACCTCAGCCTCTCAAAGTGCTGGGATTACAGGAATGAGCTATGACGCCTGGCTAAGAGTTCTTTGTATAAAGTGGATAACAGTACTTTATCAGATGTGTCTTTTGCAAATGTTTTCTACCAATTCCTGGCTTCTCTACTCATTCTCTTGACATTGTCTTTCAATATTACTGCATTTTAATTAACCACTTTGAAACTCTATAGGGAATTTTTAAGTTCATTTTACTTATTTATTTTTTTGAGACGGAATCTTGCTCGGTCGCCCAGGCTGGAGTGCAGTGGTGCAATCTCAGCTCACTGCAGCCTCTGCCTGCCGGGTTCAAGTGATTCTCCTGCCTCAGCCTCCCCAGTAGTTGGGACTACAGGCATGTGCCACCATGCCCAGCTAATTTTTGTAGTTTTAGTAGAGATGGGGTTTCACCATGTTGACCAGGCTGGCCTCGAACTGCTGACCTCAGGTGATCCACCTGCCTCATCCTCCCGAAGTGCTGGGATTACAGGTGTGAGCCACTGCTCCCAGCCTTTAAGTTCATTTTTAAAAGTTGGTTTTTTTGTTTGTTTGTTTTGTTTTTTTGAGATGAAGTTTCACTCATGTTGCCCAGGCTGGTGTGCAATGGTGCGATCTTCACTCACTGCAGCCTCCGCCTCCTAGGTTCAAGTGATTCTCCTGCCTCGGCCTCCCGAGTAGCTGGGATTACAGGCATGCACCACCACGCCTGGCTCATTTTTGTTGCTGTTGTTGTATTTTTAGTAGAGATGGGGTTTTGCCATGTTGACCAGGCTGGTCTTGAACTCCTGACCGCGGGTGATCCGCCCTCCTCAGCGTCCCAAAGTTCTGGGATTACAGGTCTCAGCCTCTGCACCCGGTCTCATTTTTAAAAGTTTGAACTCATTTTTTTCCTTGTCCTTGAGTACGCTTTTCAGTCTCGGTCTTTGCCTTCTTCCCTCTTATATCTACTGTCTTCACCCTTTTTCACAGCTTGAGTCATTCAATAAATGTTGAGTGTGCACCTACTACATGCCAATCCCTGTAGATACTGTGGATATGCTATGGAACAAGAAAGACAAGCTCCGTGCTCTCTTGAGTCTTCCTGAAGGGTCACATCTACTATATACATAGAAATGTAAAAAGAAATACATGCTTGTTATTTTAAAAAAGAATAAAATAGAAGTGTATAAAGTAGGATGTGAATGTTTCCCCTCAGTCACCCTAATCCCACTCCTCTGTAGTCTCTATAGTTAATGGCTTGGGGTGTAGACTTCGATGGTACCTTTGGCTAAACCAAATCTGCATGATGTGGAGGTCTCAGGTTGTGGCAGACCTGGCAAAAGTATTTCCAGATGGAAATTGGCACTGGTTGGGATGTAAAAACCAAGCCAGAGTATCCCCATTTTCATTCCCAGAAGTTCTCTTTTCGATAGGCTTGCCTGATTGTTGCCTGCTGACCTTGGAAGTACTTGAGGCTTCCAAGATGTGTTCCTTGCAACCCTGGCTGGGATGCTGTTCTAAAAGATTCCATGGTCAAAGGAGTTTGAGATACACTCTCTATTATAATTCCCTTCTTGGGGGCTCATTATGCATATCAAAGCATCAAAACTCTGAGAAGTCCTGCAGTCATAAATCTTGTTTATTCCCATCTTCCCTAAATGTATTTAATCATGTCTTCTATTTGTTCCATGGAACTCTCGTAACTCCTTGTTGATCCCGGGTTCTGTGGAACTGACTCAGGGAGCCCAGGAGCCTGTGCTAGCCCATCTGCATATGGTTATTGCACCAATAGCTCAAGGAGGTAAGCAAGCAAAGTGTTCCAGATCAGTGACTGACACAGTGTCCTGTGCAAATGTGCTGTGAATACAGCATTTCTCCAGGGCATTTTGTATCTTTCTAGGGTGAGGCGAAGGCCTCCGAGGATGTGAGCTTCCCCTGAAAAAATTCACAGCAGATGACCAGTGATGCAGACCAACCTCGCCACCACTCATGCAAGAACATTCTATATTCATGACCTTTGCTTGTGAAACCCAGTGACCACTGTGGGCTCTAGGCTTATTTAGACATAAGCTTGGCTTGCACTCCAAATTCAATGCCTTCTAGAAATCCAAAGTACTCCTCAGAATTTCCACCATTTCCCTAGACACCATGCCCTCATGTTATCTCTGACTTTAGCTCCTGTTCCTATGGGTGCTGTCCTGGTTCCACGCCTCCAGATGGTAAAAATGTCAGCCCTTGAGATTTCTGCAAAGGGATCTCTTCACAGCAAGCATGTGGTGTATGGGAGGTTTGGAGCAGGAGTGGGCATGTGAAGAAGACAGAGGAGAGGTCTCGGCAGCCTATGGTATGGTAGGCAGCCCCATCTGTAGAGTCCCTGATCTTGGGGGCACCAGTGGCCTCCATCTCATCCAGTCCTGGCTTCCTTTGCACGTGTTGCTGCTCTCTTTCTGTCTCTTCCTTTCCTTCCCCTCTCTCCACCCCCTTTGCTGCAAAGACTCCTGACTCACGCAAGAGTTCAGCCCTATCTGCAGATCTCACCTTACTCAAAGGGGCTTATCAGGCCAGTGGTGAGGGAGTGTGGTCTGTACAACCACAGGAAGCGGGTTGGCCTGTTGGAGCATGAGCTCTTTTTTTGCTTTGTAGATCTTGGTATTTGTTCTTCTTGGATTTTCTAGTGCTTTCTGGAAACTCTGCTTTCTCAGGCTGTAGGAATGGGAATTCAGGGCATGTCCCAATGTGGGAGCAATGAAGGAAGCATAGACAGAGAGATATGTGATGTGCGTGAGAAAGGACAATTTTTAAAATTTTTAATGAGAACAAATTTCTTGGAAAAGATAATCTAAACAAAAGGAAAAAAAATCCAAGTTATAAGAAGAGTATACAGTGAAAAGCAAGCCTTCCTCCCCACTTTCAGTCCCTTAGTTCTTGTTCCTAAAATAGCCACTGTCACCAGCTTCTTATTGATCTTTTGGGAAATGTTTTATGTGTATATAAACAGAAATGTATATGTATTCTCCCCCAATAAAAAAAATAAATGATAGGCTGGACGCTGTTGCTCACGCCTATAATCCCAGCACTTTGGGAGACTGAGGTGGGTGGATCATTTGAGATCAGGAATTCGAGACCAGCTTGGCCAACATGATGAAACCCCGTTTCTACTAAAAATACAAAAATTAGCTGTGCATGGTGGCGGGTGCCTGTAATTCCAGCTACTCGAGAGGCTGAGGCAGTAGAATCGCTTGAACCTGGGACGTGGAGGTTACAGTGAGCTGAGATTGCGTCACTGCACTGCAGCCTGGGCGACAGAGTGAGACTCTGTCTCACAAAAACAAACAAACAAACAAACAATAAATAAATGGTAGCCTGTCATACATATAATTTTACTTTTGCCTTTTAAAAATTTAACAGCATATACCTTCACTATTTTACATGGAGCTACTTATAAATATATGTTCATAAACACACACAACACACGTATATTTTATTTTTTTCCTTTTATTGGCACAAAAGTCAAACCTAGGTGATCCTTCTCATCAGCCATTGGAGAAGGCTTCTAGGGCATGGGATTTTCCAGTATGAGGTGGTATTCTGGGTGCCAGAGATTCCTGACGTCAGATTTAGTGACGATGAACACTAAGCATCGTTTCCAACTGCTCATAGCTGTGGCAGATTGTATCCTTGTTCCCAGTTCTCTTCTGTCCACTCTGTAACAGGATCTGTCTGTATCACCCCAGGCCGCGGGACCTGGAGCACCTTCCCATGGGAGGAGTGTATTCCCTTGCTTCCTTGGCTTTAGGCTTGGAAGAGGGTGGGAGTTGTACACGCCAAGTCCAAGTCAAAGCTCTAAAGACCATTGTGGACTTCTGCTTTGTGTCTTTGTCCGTGACCATGAGGTTGGAGATAGGAGCTGGGCTGTTCCTTCAGCTTGGGTCTCAGACTAAGAAGACATGGAATAAAGCCACAGTTGACCCACATCTTTGAATGATGTGTGTGAGAAATAAACCGTGCTTGCTGTAATCCCCTAAAATTCTGGAGTTGTTGGTTACAGCAGCCTAACCTGGTGAAAGGTGACTCCTGCTAGGAGACAGTGTTGGCTGTGCTCAGTCACAAAGCACCAGACGGCTCTGAGGATCTGGTTCCTTGCTCGCAGTGTCCTCTGTTTGATCTGGATCAGCTGTCCGTTGATAAAGAAGCTGAGCTGTAATCACAGCACTTTGGGAGACCAAGGCAGGTGGATCACCTGAGGCCAGGAGTTTGATACCAGCCTGACCAACATGGTGAAGCCCCACCTCTGCTAAAAATACAAAATTAGCCAGGCGTGGCAGTGCATGCCTGTAATCGCAGCTACTTGGGAGGCTGAGGCAGGAGAATTACTTGAACCTAGGAGGTGGGGGTTACAGTGAGCTGAGGTCGCACCATTCCACTCCAGCCTGGGCAATGAGAGCGAAACTCTGTCTCAAAAAAAAAAAAAAAAAAGGAACCTCAGGTTGTTTTTACAGGAACCAAGATGTCCCACACTTAGGGACTTTTCTGTACTTTCTATATGATGTGGAAGTGCCAATAGCTGGGGATTTTCAGGAAGTTATTTGGCAATGCAAAACAAGAGTTCTAAATAATTTTCACTTCTAGAAATCAGCTCAAGATAATAATTAAAAATACACAGGGAGGTTCATGGTAGAGTTATTTGAAAAATTGGAAGCCACCTAAATGCCCCATTACAGGGCAACAGTGTATACACTATTCTATGTGATGGACATTATGAAGCCATTAAAAATCAAGTTGCTGAATATTTAATGACATAAAGGAGATGTTGGTTTTTAATATTGAATGAAACAAACAGGACACAGAACTGCATATGTATAACAGTCCTAATTTGCAGAACAAATTTAGGATTGTGCCGTTTATAATTTTATATATTTTTTTCACTTACACTTGTGAATAAACATTTCCCCTCAGTCGTCAAATAAGTAAATATGTATAAAAAGAAGACCAGGAAGGAAATAAGCAAAAATAGCGGTTATTTCTAGTAGAGAGCATTTCCTTTCCTGTACTTTCTATATTTTCTAAACATTCTACGATGAATGTGTACTACTTTTATAATAAAAAAAAGTGGCTGCTACTTAAAAATGAGAATTATTCCGGTCACCTCTAGGGCTGTGCCTTTGTGCTGTGCTTACCCAGGGGCCTTAACTGGGGCTCCTCGTCTAAGAATAAGCCTGTGTGTTTAATTAGGTCACTCTCCTGCCGACCTAGAATCTCCGCACAGGGCTTAGCTTGTGCTGCCCAGAACCCCCCAGGAGCCGCCCTCCGAGGGAACTCTCAGCTTCTCACAGACAGGCACTGCTTCTGCCTGCTGAGTGTGAATTTGAGACTTCTGTGAACTGTCACTCCTACAGAGCTGCCACTCTCAGGTCTCTCCAACCTATCTTCTTTAAAAATCAATTCAGACGGCCGGGCGCAGTGGCTCCCGCCTATAATCCCAGCACTTTGGGAGGTCAAGGCGGGCGGATCACTTGAGGTACAGAGTTCGAGACCAGCCTGGCCAACATGGTGAAACCCCGTCTCTACTTAAAAATACAAAAATTATCTGGGTGTGGTGGTATGCACCTGTAATCTCAGCTACTCGGGAGGCTGAGGCAGGAGAATCGCTTGAACCCAGGAGGCAGAGGTGGCGGTGAGCCGAGATCGTGCCACTGCACTCCAGTCTGGGTGACAGAACGAGACTCTGACTCAAAAAAAAAAATCAATTCAGACATAACTTATTGAAGAGAAAATGAAGACGGGAACATTTTAACCATTTTGGATGATGATAATTCATTAATTCAATAATGAACAATAGCTGCGGTGCCAGGCAGCTACTGTTCATTGTTTCCTATGGCCTTCCCTGTATGTCCTGTGTCACATGCATTCAGGCTCTGGAGTGACTGGTGTGTGGACAGAGGGAGAGGGAGAGTTCTCAGAAGTCAAGCTGGTGTGACAGCTGGAAAAGCCGCCTGGGAAGGAGCTCATCCCAAGGGCAAAAGGAGCTTGGCACAACCAGCTTGACCCAATAGAGAGGCCTTCAGTAGAGACTTCCTGGTCTGCTTCCCCACGTGCTGTTTCACTCACATCTTTATCCAGGTCTGGCCCTTGTGAGGGTGTGCAGTGTGCGGTGTGGGGTGCTGTGCGGTGTGGTGTGCATGTCTGAGTGTGAGTGAGTGAGAGTCCAGGGTCTAGTGTCCACGGGGGAAGCTGCAATGGAGTCAGGGAGCAGAATTGGGGACAGTTGGAGAAGGGGCAGCTGGGACTGGCAGCCTCATAGGGCAGAGTCTGTGAAAAAATAGTACAGCCCCATCCACTTTCAAAAATAGTCTTCTGTAACTGTTTTAGAATAACCCATGTGAACTGTTGGTGACACCTTGGACCTTGTCATCTCCCAGGCTGCTCCACATCTGAAACCTTACATTTTATCATCTTTCATGGTTTTAAATTCAGGTAGGAGGTACATACAGTGATGTACATGAATTCCTATGCCCACTGCTGGGTCTGTAAGATTCACGCATGTTATTGTGGGTAGCATGTTTGGTTTTTCTTCATTGCTGATTCCACTGGGTCGACACGTCACCATTTATTGACCCATTCTGGAACTGTTGAACATTTGGGTTGTTTTCAGTTTGCGACGATGTTGGATAAAGATGATGTGGCATTTTGCACACGTCTTTTGGTGGACACAAACCATTGTCTTTTTTTGCTTGCTTGTTTTGGGATGGTGTCTCACTCTGTCATCCAGGCTGGAGTGCAGTGGCAGGATCTCGGCTCACTGCAAACTCCACCGCCTGGCTTCAAGCGATTCTTCTGCCTCAGCCTCCTGAATAGGTGGGACTACAGGTGCCTGCCACCATGCCTGTCTAATTTTTGTATTTTAGTAGAGACAGGTTTTCACCATATTGTCCAGGCTGGTCTCAAACTCCTGACCTCAAGTGATCCGCCTGCCTCAGCCTCCCAAAGTGCTGGGGTTATAGGTATAAGCCACCGCAACCGTCCCACACCATTGTCTTTTAACCCACTTTCCTTCCTGTGGCCTCTTTGCTGCTCATTGAGACTCTGGTCCTTCAGCCCTGCTGGGTTTCTTGCCCATCAGTCTGGCTACTTGCCCTGAAGTCATTTCTTTCTTGGCTAAGACTCCTGCAAGGGTTGTCTTTCATAGGCTGTTCCCACGTCTGCACCCTCCTCTCCCTCCTGACTCCTGCCCTATCTCACCACTGACATCTCATCGGCCAGCCAAGGCCTCCTCTGACCTATTGCCTAGTGTAGGGGGCACTGGGGCCTTCTCTCCTTCTGCCTTTCTGCAGCACAGTGCCTGCTCCAGGGGCTTGGGCCAGCCTTTCTCTTCCTCCTCTTCCGCTCCTCTGCCTGCTTCCTCTTGGTCTTCTCTGCTGGGTCCTCTCCTGTCTCCATCCTACCTGGTTGTTCCCGGGGCTCCGTTCTTGCCTCTCTTTCTGTCCCTCTCCAAGGGTCCTGGTGCTCGATCTTTAGCTGCCATAGATGCCGATGCAACATCTCTCATCCTTGCTCCCTAGGTCCAAAAATCTAGGGGGTTTTCCAAACTCATTTGATGGAAAACCTTGATAGGCCTGGACAGGAGGTTATTTGCTGTCCCTATGTAGCCACTTCGTGTGAATGAATATTCATATGTTGGCTGCAGGAATGTCAATGTGTTTGACTGTGGGCTGCTGCCCCAGATCCCAACAAGGGTGTGATCGTGCATATATAGAGGAAATTATGTTTTACCTTCTTACATCCAGAAATTATTAAATCTAGCTGGGTATGGTGGCTTGTGCCTGTAATCCCAGCTAGAGGCTGAGACCAGTGTATTGCTTGAGCCCAGAAGTTCCAGACCAGTCTGAGCAACAGAGTGAGACCCCCGTCTCTAAAAAGATTTTTCTTAAAAGGAAAATACTGAGGCTGGGTGCAATGGTTCATGCCTGTAATCCCAGCACTTTGGGAGGCCAAGGCGGGCAGATGACCTGAGGTCAGGAGTTTGAGACCAGCCTAGCCAACATGGTGAAACCCTATTTCTATTAAAAATACAAAAAAATTAGCCAGGCATGGTGGCGGGCACCTGTAATCCCAGCTGCTTGGGAGGCTGAGGCAGGAGAATTGCTTGAACCAGGGAGGCGGAGGTTGCAGTGAGCCAAGATCGCACCATTGCACTCCAGCCTGGGCAACAAGAGCAAAACCCCGTCTCAAAAAAAGAAAAGAAAAGAAAAGATTGAATCTGAATATATCTGGCCCTAATGGGTTCAGATTAGGAATTGTAGACCTGCAACTCCCAAGTGTGCCTCAGCCCAGGCCTCCCCAGCTCATGAATGGGGCCGTTCACCCTCCTGACAAGCCCCCTTCCTTCTGGCATCCCTGGGTGGGTGACCCCATACTCCTCTGGCTCCTTAGAATCTAAGCCTCTTCCCTCACCAAGATCCCCTACGGCTGATCAGTTCTCAAGTGTTGACTAACGTAGTGTAGTGGGTCTCTGGGCTGTCCTCCCTTCTCTATTTTCCATCAATTCAGGCTCTCAGTAGTGCCTTCCTGGGCTACTGCAGTGACTTCTCAGCAGCTCTGCTTTATCTGAGCTTCCAATGCCTCCTTGAGCTGACCCCAGGGGCAGCTTTAGAAACATGGTGGAGCACATCCTCATCCTGCTCAAGATGCTGCCTGGCTCCCCACCACCTACAGGATCAAGGTCAAGCTCTTTAGTGGAACACAGGAGCCTCCCAATCTGGCCTTGCTCCCTGCTCGCATCTCCCATGGGTCCCTGGGGACTGGTTGTGGGCGGGTCACACCCCTTCTCCCTTTCACACTCACTGTTGTTCTGCTAAGAATTCTTCTTGTGGGTCTGCCCAGGGGGCTCCTGTTCAGCTTTCAAAAGAGAGTGGGCATCACCTTCTCCTGGAACTGTCTTCACCCCGGACCCCTACAAAGGCCAGGTTTTTGGTGAAATACAACTCTCCTGTTGATGTCCTGCTTCTATATTTTACGCCCAAAGCCCCGTGACTGTAATGCGGCCAGGGAGATCGACCCTTCTTGCACAGGGGATTAGGTCACTCTCCCTCTTGCCACTTTCCACATATGGTCTGTCACCTACAAGATAAAGTCCCTGGAGAGCCACTGCAGCATGCCCCAGCTCACCCCTCATGCCCTTCTGCTGCCTTCCCAGTCACGTGTGCCCCCCTCCGGCCAGGCCTGTCTGCTTGCGATTCCTGCCCACTGGCCAGTCTGTCGCTCAGCACCATTCGTGGACACCCTTGCATGAGTGCGGCTCCACCTGCCCTTGCCTGGTGGCTTATCCTTCAAGACTTCCTTCTCCGGAAAGCACTCCCTGATCCCCCTGGGTGCTCAAGGACATGGGCTCATCTTTTCACTGTTTCCTAGTAACATGTGTTTTCTGTCTCCTCCTGTACTGTGAACTCACTAAAGGACAAGTGACACATCTTACTCATAGTTTTGAACCCAGCTTCCAGCGTGGGCGTGGCGGAGGCAGATGCGTAATCAATGCATGTTGTCTGACTAGGATGGTTTATGAATAGGAGCTGCCTGGAATGCGCAGATCTCAGACTCCCACCAGCTTCCCCTTGCCTCTGAACTCTGCCCTGGCCCCTCCTCATCCCTTCCACATCCTGCTGTGTAGATACTCGTCCCTTCCGACTCTGAAGGTTGCAGGGAGGGGGCCCGTGGCTCTCTGTGGGAGAGGTGCCCCAGCTTTGGCTCTCGGCCTCCCCTGGCTGAACCTCAGTGGGAGCTGAGCAGGTTTGCCGTGGCCTTGGATGCCCTTCCTTCTGCCCCAGATCTTGCTTCGGTGCTCTCCTGCAAATCCCTGCCCTCTGCTGCTGGACTAGAGGCCTCCAGCACCCTCCCTGACATGTTCCTCCAGGAGAGGACACAGCTGTCTCCTGAGACTCCGGTGCCCTCCACCTCCGCGATCCTCAGATGCTTCCCTGGGGAGACACGACCTGTCAGGACTGCACAGCTGCTGAGATGAGGGACCCCTTGCTGTTCCAATTTAGGAGTAAATAAGGCTTCGCCCCCTCAGGGGTTAAAGAGGAGTCCCAAGAGCCTTGCACTGATGGCACTTTGGGGGAACTCTTGGCTCCTGGTCTCCCCTGCCTTCTCTGGGCTGTGTAATGACATTCTTGTCCCCACCTCTCTTCCACCTTTCCCTGAAACTGCAGGCTCCAAGGGCTCCAGCCCAAGCTTGGGGTCAGTGTCTGGCATGCCCTCTGCCCGGCCCTGGTCCCAGCATGCCCACCCAGGTCACACAGGCGCACCCCGTTACCCACCCACCCACCCACGCTCACACATGCATGCAGGCCATCATACAAGCTGACAGCCACACTCATGCACATGTGTGCACCTGCTCACGTGTGCACATATATCCACACTCACACATCCCCCACTCACAGATGGACTTACACACGCACCACAAACTCTTAGCAATGTCCATTGTTTTGATGGAAGGAGAGACAGGTTTTTGGAAATTTCCTAATCTCTTACCCCAAATCTCTCCCTCCATGACCCTGAGCCCCAAAAAGTGGCCAGCATTTGCCCTGGGTAAGGTAGAATTGAATCTGGACAATGGTGCCCCATGTCCCTGACTCATTCTCTGACCCCAGCCAGTAGAGACCACCCTTTGGTCACAGACTGGTCGGAGTCCCTCCCCAGCCAGCCTAGAACATGCCTTTTAGCAGTGTGGCCACATCAGAGGGGAGCAGACACCTGGGGACCATAGCATGGTTCAACGGCCATTGCCCTCAGGGCAGGTCCCATCCTTTGCTGTCCCGTGTGGTTCGTTTTCTTTCTGCCTCCCAGCACTGGGCTCCTTGCTGGCTATGTGAAATTCCTTTCTCTTCTAGACTAACTAATAAAAATCCTGCATTTTCTTTAATACCTCATCCAAGACTCTCCTCTGTTAAAAAGACTCCCTGGTGTACTGGTTAGGTCCCCCGCTCAATCCCTCTGTACCAGCTGCACCTGTGCAAGGAAGGCCCTGTCTGGAAGGAGGTTTCTGGTCACCTCAAGATGGTTTCTCCAAGCTCAGGAGAATGGAAGTTGCCCCATCCCCAGGCCACAGGTTCTGCACTGCTAAAGCTGTGGTGGATGCACTGTGGGGATCTGGAATTTTGCCTCTTACAGAAGGTGAGGGGAGACAGCCACGCCCTGCACTTGGTCCCTGCCCCACCATGCACCCCGGTTCTGGTGACCTCTTTGAGTGCAGGCAGTAGTGAACAGAGCCTGCTTGGCCTTGACACTTTTTTTTTTCAAGAGAATGGGTCTCGCTCTGTTGCCCTGACTGGAGTGCAGTGGTGAGACCATGGCTCACTGCAGCCTCCACCTCCTAGGCACAAGAGATCCTCCCCACTCAGCCTCCTGAGTAGCTGAGACTGCAGATGTGTGCCACCATGGCTAATTTTTTGAAATTTTTAAAGAGATAGGTCTTATTATGTTGCCCAGGCTGGTCTTGAGATTCTGGCCTCTAGTGATTCTCCTGCCTTGGCCTCCTGACTCACTGGGGATTATAGACGTGAGTCACCGTGCCCGGCAACACTTTTTAAATGGATACAGTCTAGGTAGAAGAATCAAGAGGAATGCTGGCTGGGTTGGTCCTGTTTCCACCTCCCTGTAATAAAGGAGAGCTGCCAAACTGGGGGCTCAGAAGAAGGTGGGAGGAAGAGGGGAAGAACTCCAGGATAGCAATAAGGAGGCTGGAAAAGGGGTCTTGGAACATAGACCTTCTTTTTTTTTTTTTTTTTTTTTTAGCTTTACACATTTTTTAACTTTACTCCAAAAGTGATATATTTTTATAAAAGTAATTTGTGCTTAATACAAAAAGATTAGAAAATAAAATGTGAAAGACAAATATATAAAAATCATCCATAATCCAATCACTGGAAATAAACATTTTGTTGTACATTCTTTAATATCATGTACTATATACATAATCACTATTTATTTGAAAAGTAAAAATAAACCTTTAATTTCTGGTGTGGAGGGCATTAGGTACTCTGAGAGACTCCTCCAAGGTAGAACAGCTAGACTGTAGACAGAACAAAGCAAAACTCATGAGCTGATTACAGAGTTAGTAGTAATGATATTTGGCTACACAGGGGCATGCAGATTGCCCTGCAGTTAGATTTTTTTTTTTAAATAACACTATAACAGGAAAACTGAGTCTTAAACTAGCATCAAAGTGTTAGTGTTTTAACTGTAACTCATTAAGCCAGGACATCAAGGATGGCTGAAGTTGTTATAAGTTCAGAAAGAAATCAAAGATTTCAGCAGAAGTAGACAAAAATCAACTCTACAAAAACAGTGATCTAATTTAAGCCATATAATTTGCACAGATGAAGGTCAAGCACCAAACTCACAATCAAGGACAATCCCAACATGTTAAAAAGGCAAGTCAGCATTTTTTTATGTTTTTTTTTTGCATCTTTTTTTTAAATTTTATTTTTTATTATTATACTTTAAGTTTTAGGGTACATGTGCACAACGTGCAGGTTTGTTACATATGTATACATGTGCCATGTTGGTGTGCTGTACCCATTAACTCATCATTTACATTAGGTATATCTCCTAATGCTATCCCTCCCCCCTCCCCCCACCCCACAACAGGCCCCGGTGTGTGATGTTCCCCTTCCTGTGTCCATGTGTTCTCATTGTTCAGTTCCCACCTATGAGTGAGAACATGCAGTGTTCGGTTTTTTGTCCTTGTGATAGTTTGCTGAGAATGATGGTTTCCAGCTTCATCCATGTCCCTACAAAGGACATGAACTCATCACTTTTTATGGCTGCATAGTATTCCATGGTGTATATGTGCCACATTTTCTTAATCCAGTCTATAATTGTTGGACATTTGGGTTGGTTCCAAGTCTTTGCTATTGTGAATAGTGCCACAATAAACATATGTGTGCATGTGTCTTTATAGCAGCATGATTTATAATCCTTTGGGTATATACCCAGTAATGGGATGGCTGGGTCAAATGGTATTTCTAGTTCTAGATCCCTGAGGAATCGCCACACCGACTTCCACAATGGTTGAACTAGTTTACAGTCCCACCAACAGTGTAAAAGTGTTCCTATTTCTCCACATCCTCTCCAGCACCTGTTGTTACCTGACTTTTTAATGATCGCCATTCTAACTGGTGTGAGATGGCATCTCATTGCGGTTTTGATTTGCATTTCTCTGATGGCCAGTGATGATGAGCATTTTTTCATGTGTTTTTTGGCTGCATAAATGTCTTCTTTTGAGAAGTGTCTGTTCATATCCTTCGCCCACTTTTTGATGGGGTTGTTTGTTTTTTTCTTGTAAATTTATTTGAGTTCATTGTAGATTCTGGATATTAGCCCTTTGTCAGATGAGTAGGTTGCAACATAGACCTTCTTTTTAAGAAATTTTGAAATTTGGAAGTAACTTCAAGTTTATGAAAAGTTTAAAGGTAAAAAATAGTACACAGACTGTCCTTACAGGCTTTACCAAGATGTACCTGTTGCTAACATTGTACTCTGTTTGCTTTGTTGTTTGTCCCCTGCTCTATATGAACACACATGGGTATGTATGTATGTATGTGTATGTATGTATATGTGTGTATGTATGCATGTATGTGTCCATCTGTCTGTATGTATGTGTATACACACAATTATTTTTCCTGAACCACTTGAAGGTAATTTACACTTATCATGAGCTTTATCCTAAATTCTTTAGTGAGTATTTCCCAGGAATAGGGATATTTTCTTACATTACCACAATATAGTCATCAAGTTCACAGGTTTACATTGAGACAGAACTTTCATCTAACCCACCACCCACACTGCAATCTTATTTGTTGACCCCATCATGTCCTTGGCACTATATGTGCCTGCAGTACAGGATTCTGCGTAGGCTTGAATATTGCGTTCATTCACCGTGGCTCTTTAGCCTCCTGTAATCTGGAACATTTCCTCCACCTTTCTTTGTCTTTAACGACATTGAAAAGTCAAGGGACTTTTGTGATGGGCCATGGGCAGAGGCGGTTTTGCCTACCGATTAAGAATACGGATGCTGGCACCCAGCTGCCTGGGCTCAGTCCCACTCTGCCATTTATCAGCCTGGTAAGTGTGGGAGAGTTGCTTAACCCTTCTGTGCCTCAGTTTGATCATTCATGAATCCAGTGAACAGTTAGCCTGTCTCGTGGGGCTGTTAGGAGGCTTGGCACACAGTAAAAATGGGCAACCATTTGCTTATTGTTATGGTGGCAAGTCTTTTCTTGAAGGGGCTCCCAGTGCATCAAGCCTCACAGGGGTGCCTTAGCATTGGCTCAGGAATCAGGACCAAGCGGGGCCTGTGGCAGCCTGCAGTCCTCCCTGACTGTACATGCGGTTAGCCTAAGGACTCTGTGGTCTGGACAAGCAGCCATATCCTAAGACGGTAGCAGAGACCATGCCAGCCAAAGACTCAACAGGGATGTGGCTACCTTAACAGACAGCAATGTGAGGACCTGGGACCCTCCAGGAAGTGAAGCCCTTCCCAATTACCAGTGTGGCTGCGGATAAGTCCCACACTGTCGAGTTGACCCCAGAAGAGGTACCTGGAGAAGGGACCCGAGAAACCACTGAAGTGATTCATCGTACCTGAACGTTGCTGGATGGCTTCACCACCCTCAGGTGCACAGAGCCTTCAAGATAGAGCCTAAGTTCAGCTATAGGAAAGGCAGGTTTTGTACAGCTGCCATGATGCCTCCCAGTGGAAGGGCTGAGCAACCCCTAGAGACTTCTCCTAACCAGGTATTACTCCTCCTTCTCTTTTCTGACCTAGAAAGGAGCCAGGCAATGTGGAAAAGGGGCTTAAAGGGCTCCCATGAGATGAGCAGAGCGCATGGAATAATGAGTGGAAGCGACTCCAGACAGCCTCCTGATTTCTGAAGCTCAGTTCTCCCCTGACACCTTCCGTGAAGGCTGCTGTATATAGCCTGCTAACCATCAGCCCGTCTATCCACGAATCTACCCATCCAACTGTCTGTCCATTCACTCATTCATGCATCCACCCATCTCTCCATCCATCCTCCATTCCTCCATCCGATGAGGAAACACATATCCTACAGCCTCCATATCCTTGCCTCACCATCTTAATACAGTCATGCGGGGCTTGACCACAGGGATCTGTTCTGAAAAACGTGTCATTAGTCGATTTCACCATTGTGTGATGTCATAGAGTGCACTTACACAAACCTAGATGGTACAGCCTACTACACACCTCGGCTGCAGGGTACAGCCTATTTCTCCTAGCCAGCATCACCACAAACATGTGAGTGATGCTTTGCATTATGATGGCGATGAGGTCACTAAGCCATAGGAGTTGTTGAGCTCCTTATCACCTTATGGGACTCAGTGGCATACGCAGTCCACTGTTGGGCGGAACATCGTTCCGCAGCACACAACTGTGCTTGCTCACCTGGCTTTGTCAAGGAAGGAGCTCTTCCATGGATATGTTTTTCTGTTGTTGTTCCAGATAACTTTTATCCTTTTAAGAGTGCCACCTTCATTTAGTTTAGTTTAGCCATTTTAGAGAGAAAGTGCTGAAACCGACTGTAAACTTGTCTGTCTTTTTTTTTTTTTTTTTTTTTTGAGACGGAGTCTTGCTGTGTTGCCCAGGCTGGAGTGCAGTGGCACGATCTTGGATGACTGCAACCTCTGCTTTCTGGGTTCAAGTGGTTCTCCCACCTCAGCCTCCTGAGTAGCTGGGATTACAGGCATGCGCAACCATGCCTGGTTAATCTTGGTATTGTTAGTAGAGATGGGGTTTCACCGTGCTGGCCAGGCTTGTCTCAAACTCCCGACCTAGTGATCTGCCCGCCTTGGCCTCCCAAAGTGCTGGGATTACAGGTGTGAGCCACTGCGCCAGGCCCTTTTCTTTCTTCCTTTCCTTTTCTTCATTTCCTTTCCTTTCCCTTCCTTCCTTCCTTCCCTCCCTCCCTCCCTCCCTCCCTCCTTTCTTTCTCTTTCTTTCTTTCCTTTCTTTCTTTCTTTTTCTTTCTTTCTTTCTTTCTCTTTCTTTCTTTCTTTCTTTCTTTCTTTCTTTCTTTCTTTCTTTCTTTCTTTCTTTCTTTCTTTTTCTTTTCTTTTCTTTTCTTTTCCCTTCCTTCCTTCCTTCCTTCCTTCTTTCTTCCTTTTTCTTTCCCTTTTTATTGACAGGATCTCACTCTGTTGCCCAGCCTGGAGTGCAGCAATCTCGGCTCATTGCAACCTCCAACCCCTGGGTTCAAGCAATTCTCCTGCCTCAGCCTCCCGAGAAGCTGCCAAGAGGCTAATTTTTTTTTTCTCCTGCCTCAGGCTCCCAAGAGGGCAATTTTTTTTTTCTTCGTATTTTTAGTAGAGACAGGGTTTCACCATCTTGGCCAGGCTGGTCTTGATCTCCTGACCACGTATCCACCCACCTTGGCCTCCCAAAGTGCTGGGATTACAGGCGTGAGCCACTGTGCCCAGCCTTGTCTTTCTTTTTAAAAGAGGGCCTGGCACTTCAGTTAAGTCTTTCTGGATGATCCAGGTCACCGCTCCAAATGGAAGTCACATGCTTGGTTGTGGAGCCAGTGGTATGGGCCCTCAGGGAGTATTTAGAACTCTACACTAAATGGCCCCAGTGGTTCTGCTTTTTGACACTTCCTTTTGTACTTTCTGCCACCCCCCCATTCTGAGATCCCAGTTATCTTCCCAATTCTTATAGCCCTTGGCATGCTTCTAGCAATGTCTTCTCTAAATGGCCTTGAGCTGGGAAATTTGATAACCAAATGTGTCAGAATTGTGCATAAAGCAAGAGTACTGAGTTATTTCTTTTATCATGAGTACAGTACGGAGCCTCCTGACTTTGTATCCCGTCATTTGCCTCATTCTGGGTTCTCCGCTACTCTCCAGGCCGCTGAGGTCCATGGATGCATAAGCCCTAGGAATGAGGAGGGTGCAGTGGACATGAATTGCTCTTCCTAGATCCTTGCTGCTTTTGCTCTAGAGAAAAGGATGGGATACCAGAGCCTGTCCTGGCTGACTCCTCCCTCAAAGGGGCTCGGGGGAGATGGGAGCACAGGGTGGGGCCAGCTGGGTCAGTGGTGCCTGAAGCTTCTGAGGGAGAGGAGAGTGGCTGGGCCCCACTGATAGTGTGCAGGAGGCTGAGGAAGGGACACTTGCCTCCTCCTCACTCTGGGTGACGATGGCCAGTGTAGACTGGAGAGAGCCGGAGGGACTGGTCTCCCCTCAAGGCCCGAAGCAGGACTGGCACCAGCGGTGAGATGGGCACCTGGGGTGGGGGCCAGGGGTCTCAGCCCATAAACACCCCACACGCCACAGCAGCACACAGGGGCTCCTTTAAATACACAGCTATGGGGACTCCCAAAATGCAGACGTACACTTGCACTCACAAGGGACGCACTTCCATAGCTGTAACAACCCATCAGGGAACTGACCACACACACTCCGGCGGGAGGTCCTCTTCACTTCCTTCCCTCCACGAAGATCTCTCCCCTTCACCACGGACACAGTGACATGTGCTATCCAATTGTGACAAACACATCATCTCTGAATTTGGACACTGGGGTCCCATTTCAGAAGGTGACAACCCTCACACCAACAACTGCACCTACTTTCTTACAGGGTTGGATGCCTATAACATGCCTGCATGGTGGGACAGCAAGCGGCTGATTGCCCGCACACACTCAGATGCACGCTTGCACACATGCTCACACATGCTTACATGCACACTCACACTTGCCTTCAGACACACATGGGTCCAGGCAGGGCCCTGGCTTGGCCTGACCTGCTTCCCCTGTGCTTTCTGCAGCTGCAGGGGGTGCTCTGCCCTCCTCTGCGGGGTTTCCACCCCCTCTGTCCTTGGGCCTTGGATTCTGGGGGGCTGGTGGACTGATGCCAACATCCTCCTCTCTCTCCCCAGGATTTTTGTCAACCGCAGCCTGGCGCTGGGGAAGATTCGTTGCTTTGGCTTCGACATGGACTACACTCTGGCTGGTAGAGAGGGCTGGAACACAGCGTATTGGGAGCTGGAGGGAGCAGGGGTGGGCAGCTGGGCACCAAAGCCCTGATTCTGTCCGGGCCTCTGCAGCCTACAAGTCCCCAGCTTATGAGGCCCTGACCTTCGAGCTGCTGCTGGAGCGCCTGGTGTGCATTGGGTACCCGCATGAGATCCTGCGCTACACCTACGACCCCACCTTCCCCACCAGGTGTGTGGCTCAGGACAGGTGGGAGGCCACCCGGCCTTGGTACCCCCACCCACAGTGCCCCCCGACCCCCCGTCTGCAGGCGGCTGGTGTTCGATGAACTCTATGGGAACCTGCTGAAGGTGGACGCCCACGGGAATGTGCTGCTGGGTGCCTATGGCTTCACCTTCCTCTCGGAGTAAGGGACAAAGGTGCCGGGAGAGTGGCAGGCCAGGAGGGGAGGACTGCTCACCTTGGGGGAGGACAGAGGGAGGGAGGGAGGAAGGACGCAGGCCCACGGTGGAGGCTCAGCACAGAAGGGATGCGTGGTGGTTGGAAGGGATGGCCAGAGCCTGGACAGGCCTCCAGGAGGCACTGGGGAGGGGTCATTGGCTGCACCCAGCCTACCCCTCCTCAGGGCAGAGATCTGGAGCTTCTACCCCAGCAAGTTCATTCAGAGGGACGACCTGCAGTGTTTCTACATACTCAACATGCTCTTCAACCTGCCTGGTGGGTGGAGGGTTGGGGGCACGGGAGGTGGTCCTGAGTTCCGGAGCTGAGGGTCCCAGCTCTGTCCTGGTGGAGAACTGTCTGGCTCCCTGGGCTGACAACTGACCATCCTGTCTGCCCCCAGAAACCTACCTCTATGCCTGCTTGGTGGACTTCTTCTCTGGCTGCTCCCGTTACACTAAGTGCGTCTTGTGCCCTGCCCAGCCCTGGGACGACCAGTAGGACACTGCTCAGGGACCAAACCCCAAAGAGGGGCCCCCCAAGGGCTCCCCAAGAGGCTGGAAGGGCTCCAGGAAGCTCAGTGGGAAGGCCTCTATTGCAGGCTAGCACACACCCTTAGCTCTGGGTGATGCCCCTCCCAGGATGTCTGGGACATAAGCCCAGTGAAGGCCCCAGTGTGGCTGGTGGGGTTGCTCTGGTGTGGGACTCAGGGTTGGAGGTCATTTCAGGCCCCCTTATTGGCCTCCCCGTCCCCTCTTTGCCTGCCCCAGTTGTGACACCGGCTATCAGCATGGGAACCTCTTCATGTCCTTCCGAAGCCTCTTCCAGGATGTGACTGATGCCATGAATAACATCCACCAGTCGGTGAGTGAGTGGTCCAGAACCCCCGGACCCCTGACCTGTCTGCTCTTGGTTCCCCGGGCAGCCTTCAGGCCTCCAGTCCCCATAGCGTTTCCATCCTCTTCCTACTGAGGACTGAGGTCTGGTCTGGGCTTCCCAGAGCCGCCCACTTTTCTCATCTTGGACACAGACATGTGGGTGGGTACACATGCACACACACACACACACACACACACACACACACAGGCACTTTGCTCCCTCCTGCAGGGCTGTCTCAAGAAGACCCTGGAGGACTTGGAGAAATATGTGAAGAAGGATGTGAGTGGCCACAGACCCAGGGCCATGGCCATCACCCCCAAAGCAGCAGGGCTGCCCCCGCAACCCTTCTCTGGCTTTCTTCGAGGTTTAGGCTGAGCTCTGCTCCCCGGATGGCTGGGGATCTTTCTATGGGGCCTGGTGCCTACCTGCCTGGGCTGGGGTGGGCTCCCAGAAGGCTGAAACCTGAGGAGAGGATCCCAGGGCAGCTCTGGGAGTCCCACCCCTGCAAGTCCCTCTATCTCTGCCCCAGCCACGCCTCCCCATCCTGCTGGGGAAGATGAAGGAGGTTGGGAAAGTGTTTCTGGCCACCAACAGCAGCTACAACTACACCAATGTGAGTATGTGTATGGAGGGGTGGACCGTCGGCCTCCTTCCTGGCCCCAGGGGACACAGTGGCACTGCAAGCAACAGGGAGGGGTGGGGCGGGGAGCCAAGACCCTCCTACCCCCACCACTGGGCTGGTCTCCTGGACTCCATTTCTTGGCCTTTCAAGGCCTCAGAAGAATGAGCAACTTTCTCACCATCTTGCTCCTGTGGCCACCAGTGTGCTGGGGGGATGGTGGGTGAGGGCAGAGGCAGGTGGTGGCCCAAGCTTGGTGCCCTGACGCTGCCTTGTCCTTGCCAGGCCATCATGACCTACCTGTTCAGCATCAGTGAGGTGAGTGTTGGAGTGTTGCGTGCACGGCTGGGGTGGGCTGTGCAAAGGGCCAGGGTGCCAGGCTGCACCACGATGCTGAGGGCCTCTCCCACGTCCAGCCTCCCTTTGAGGAAGACCTGAGTGTGTGAGTGGTCATTTCTCATGAGTGGAAGCTCCCCAGTGGGTAGGAGCCTGGTGACCTCAGCCAGGCCCTGGGAGGAGCCTTTGGGGGTGATAGGAGGCAGTCAGGTATGTGGGGACGGGCGGCAGAAAGTGGGTGAGACGAGGGCATGGCAGGTCAAAGGGAGGGGTGCTGGGAGTGACAGGTCCTGGGCACTGGGAGTGACCAGGTGTCACTGGGCAGGCAGCAGGGCCCTAACTAGGTAGCCGTGCTGGTGCCACCTGTCCCTGGGTCTCTGTGCTGTGAGGAGCTCTGGAGCCTGGCCTGAGGCTGCACATGATGTTCAACACCCACCTCCACAAGGTCCTTTTGAGCACTTCCTAGTGCCCAGCTTGGCTGGGGAAGCTGGGCAGCGAGACCGGGTTCCCAGGGGCTGAAGAGGTCTCATCCAGCTGGGAGGTTGGTGGGGAGAGGCAGGCTGTGGTGGGTGACTGGCTGTGGCAAGGTCAGATTTACCAGGCTGTGTGTGTGCAGCCCGTGTGCACCCCCAACAGGCTGAAGCCTCGGGCAGGCCCTGGAGGTCCTACTTTGACCTGATCGTGGTGGACACGCAGAAGCCCCACTTCTTTGCAGAGGGGTTGGTCCTGAGGCAGGTCAACACGGTAATGGCAGGTGCAGAGGTCAGTCCACCTGCACCCATGGACCACGGTTGGGGAGGGCAGCCTGCCTGCCCCTTAGACTTGACCTGCCTTTATAGCTGGCAGCTCTGCTGGCCTGTCTGTCCCTGGAGGCAGGGAACCCGAGGCCGCCTTCAGCGCCCTCTGCTGCCTCCTTCCTCCCACACCCCCCATGGTTACCTCTGCCACTCCCAGCTCCCTGCGACCCTCCCTAGCTAGAGACCAAAGATGTGGTTCTCCTGGCTCCAGGGCACCCCTCTGCCCCTCCAGGACTCAGGAAAGCTCCACGTGGGCACCTACACAGGGCCCCACCAGCACTGTGCTGTCTACTCTGGAGGTACCAGCTCCCACCATGCCCCATCACTCCTTGGGCACCCTCCTTCCCTCGACTAGGAGCCCAGGCCCCTCACCTGCCCCGAGTCACCTACCCCAAGGCAGGAAGGGCAAACGAGTGTCTGTCCTCCCCTTGGTGGGGCAGGCTCTTCGGACATGGTGTGCGAGCTGCTTGGGGTTCGGGGGATGGACATCCTGTACATTGGGGACCACATTTTTGGGGACATTCTCAAGTCCAAGAAGCGTCAGGGCTGGCGGACTTGCCTGGTGGTTCCTGAGCTGTCCTGGGAGCTGGACATCTGGGCCCAGGAGAAGGGTGAGCTGTTGGGGTCTGGAACAGTCAGAGGGGCACTGGCCTCCCATGCAGAGGCCCCAGCACTGCCTTCTCCTTTTTCCCGTGGGGGGTTAGTAGTTGTGACCAGGAATCCTGGCCACTCTGTTGTTTCTGAGGGAGGAAACAGACAAAGACATACAGACCCAGAGAGGCTAAGCGGCCTGCCCGAAGTCACACAGCCAGTAGGGGGAAAGCTGAGAGTCAAATCCACTTCTCCTGACCCAAGAATCCCGTGGTGTTTCTGCAGGCGGTGCCTTCCTCCTGCACCTGACCCCACCCTCCCCACCCACCCCAAGGATGTTCAGTGAGTGGAAGGTACACACCTTCCACCCAGGTATGACTTGAAGTCATCCTCCAGGGCAGGGAGTTGTGTGAGCCCACACAATTTGGGCTTTGTCCTGAGAGCTGAGGCTTTAGGTTTGAGTCATTGCCGTGTGACCTCAGGAAGGTCACCTGACTCCCTCACCTGTCCCATGGGGCCTACGGGGCCTATGCTGTCCCTGCCTCAGTCTGGGCAGAGTCTCACGTGATGTAAGGGGCCAGGGGTGTTATGCACACAGCTCAGGGTGTGCAAGTCCTCCGCTGGGCCAGGGCAGACACAGGCAGGCAGGGCCAGTGGGTGACACAGGCCGTCACTCACCCCCACTGACCCCTGGTGGCTTTTCAGAGCGGTTGGAGGAGCTGAAGAGACTGGACACGCACCTGGCAGACATATACCAGTGAGACCCTGGCCTTTCTGGGGGTGGGATGGGGCAGGGAGAGGTATGGAGGGGCAGTGGCTCACATCCCTGCCTGGCGGCGAGGTCCCGGCCAAGGTTGTCAGAACATCAAGATCTGTTTCAGGCTGGGCTTCCCTAGCAAACTGAATGTGGGGACCCCTCTCACCCCCTTGGGACTGCTCACACTCTGTGACCTCTAGGCCCTTCCTCTGAACCTATCCAGCACTCAGGGACCTGCCCTCGCACGCATGCACACACCCAGCCCGGCACCCCCACTGGATGCCCGCACGGTGTCCCCCCACCCGACCCCTGCTGGGGTCTAAGGAGACTGTCCTGGCACTCGGAGGCTCTGTGCCTCCCCTGGGTCACCTAGCTATTTTTGTACCAGGCACATGGATGGGAGCAGTTGTGAGCTGCAAGTCATCAACTTCACCAAGAGAGAGATCCAGGTGGGAGCTGGGTGGCGAGGGAAGGGACAGGCCCAGCAGGGGCGGAGCCGGGTTCACTTCCCCACTGCTTGCCTGTCGGCTTTGTCCTCGGTGCCAAAGGCCCAGTTACCCCATTCTCCTCAGCCTCGCCTGGGCTCCACCTGCCTTGTCAGCCAGCGCCCTCTGCTGGCCGACATTCCAAAGGGCAGCGGTACCCTCTTGAAGGGCTGAGTTGAGCCTGATTTGCAGGCTTTGCCTCCAGTCCCACAGTCTTTGCCAATCACCCTGCCCGGGAAGTGCCTGCGTGCTAGCTGGGCCCTTATTGACTGACTAGCCAGTTCTGATAGGAAATGTGATTTAGGGCCAGTGAGCCCAGGGTCCTTGGAAAAGAGAAGAAAAGACAGTGTTCCCTTGTGGCATTACTGACCGGCCACCAAAAAGCTGGAGGTGCCCATGGGTCAGCCAGGTGGAGGGAGTCAGGTCACTTGGTCATCCCAAGCCCAGCTGGGGCCGATCACAAAGGGTCTTTGCAGAGCCTTTTACAAAGCACAGCCGTTTGATCTTCCCCACAGCCTTAAGAGGTGGATGGAGCAGGGATTGTCACCTTTATTTTACAGATGAGGAAACTGAGGCTCAGAGAGAGGTCATCCTGGGAGTAAATGTTGGAACCATTCTCTAGGCTCTAAAAGCAGACAGGAAACAGGGCCTGGTGGCGGGGTGGGGCCTGCCAGGATAGTAGGAGCGAGGCTGGGGGTGTCGCCTTGCCAAGTCCTCTGTTGGACTCAGATGGTAAATGAAGCTGTGGGTTTAGTCCTGGGTGGTCCATCTTCAGGGCCAGGCAGGTAACTGTGATGGAAAGCTGCAGCGGGGCCTGTGGCAAAGTGAGGAGCTGCCCCACCTCCAAAAGCCAAGTGTGCAGCCTGTGGGTCTACAACATGCTGCTCCTTCCTACAGAGAGTCACAGGTTTCAATGTCCCCCGGTGAGAGGCCCAGAGAGGCCAGGGTTGCCCAGAAAGGGAGTAGGCCAGGTCAGGCCTAAGCGGGCTGGGATTTCAATTCAGTGTGTTGCCCCTCTGGCCAGAGGGTCACCCAGGAGCTGGACCTGTGCTACAGCACCATGGGCAGCTTGTTCCGCTGCGGTTTCCGCCAGACACTCTTCTCCAGCCAGCTGATGCGCTATGCCGACCTCTACACTGCCGCCTGCCTCGACCTCCTGTACTTCCGAGTGAGCTCAGCTCTCTCGGGCGGCCCCGGAGTTGGTGGGTCCCTGCGGAATCTCCACGGCTGTTTGTGAACATTTATCCTAGAAGGACCCACTGGTCCCCAGCCTTGCTAGGAGCTTGCAAGGTCACCAGCCCTAATCTCCCACCTTCAGACTCAGTGGGATCACAGTCTTGCAGATAACTGTCTGTGTCTTAACAGACGCATGGGAAGAGTTAGGTTTATACAGATAAGATGCCTCGGCAGGGATGTTCTTCCTCATGCCCAACCTTAACTCCTGCTTTAGATTGAGACCACACTATCTCGTCATTTCCTTGGTAGAAAGGATATCAGTTGCAAGGAGGAAGGCACAGTCCTCCTACCCTCAGTAAACATACAGTGGCTTCCGAAGGGGTGGAGGAGGCAGCAGATGATACAGTAAACACTCTGGCTGGTTTTCCTCTGGGAGACCGGAGGATGCTTCTGGGTTAAAAACAGGGTGGTAGAGGTGGCTACGATGGCACTGGGCAAGGGTTAGTAGGAGTCATGGGACTGGCCAGCTCAGGGCTTCCCTGGAACCTGCACGTGTCAGTCCTCCCAAGTTGGCATCATCATTTCCATTTGATAAGACGTAGAGCTTGCAGTTTAGGATCTGAACTTGAAGCTAGACCTCTGAGGCTCCCTGTCGCCTGCCTTCCCTGCTGCCCTTGGCTGCCTTCCAGACGTTTGAGAGGGGAAAACCATTTATTGAGTGTCTGCTGTGTTTCCTGCACTGGGCTGGGTGCTTTTCATCGATTATGCTTAATGCTCAATATAACTCAGCAAAGTAGGTTTTATCTTCCTCATTTTATCATTGATGAGGAAGCACAGAGAATCTAAGTGACTTGCCATCACACAGCTAGTGGACCACACAGCTGGGATGTGAGCCTGTCAAGCTCCAGGGGTCACACTGTGTCTCCTGCACTGTGCTGCCACACACATGGGGGAACTGGCTTTCACCGGGCGGCCTCATCTCATCTCTGGACTCTTAGATGGGCTGGCCCAGACCGCTCCTGTGGGCAAAGCTGGGGGTCCAGGCATAGCCCTCTGTGCTGGTAGATATTATTGTTAAAGTAGAGACCAGACAGGTGAAGAACACACCAACCCCCCATCCCCAAAAGTGACAAGGCGAAACACTTAAAGAAATTTGACCTTGCCAATCTTCCTGGCTTGGGATTTTTTTTTTGGCCAAGTCTAGCTCTGCTGCCCAGGCTGGAGTGCAGTGGTGCAATCTCTGCTCAATGCAACCTCCACCTCCCGGGTTCAAGCAATTCTTGTGCCTCAGCCTCCCAAGTAGCTGGGATTACAGGCATGCACTACCATGCCCAGCTAATTTTTATGTTTTTATAGAGACAGGGTTTCACCATGTTGCCCAGGCTGGTCTTGAACCCCTGGGCTCAAGTGATCCGCCTGCCTCGGCCTCCCAAAGTGCTGGGATTACAGGCGTGAGCCACCGCGCCTGGCCTTGGCCTGGGATTTTTGAGGAAGTGAAGTCCAGCTGCCAGAACCTTCCTGCCCCTGCTGACCTTCCGAGGTTCCTTCCTCTGCAGCAACATCGTTGGGCAGGAAGTTGGCAGCTGTGGGCAGGGGAGCCTGTGCATAGCTGAGGAATCCTGGAAGGCCGTACCCGGGACGGAGTGCTTCACCTCCACCTGCATTTATCCCTACAGATGCCACATGAGTCAGTTGTGGAGCAAGAACAGGCCAATCTAGACCCTGCCTCCTGCCTCCTCTCCTGCAACCAGAGGGTGAGTGGCTGTGGCCGACGAACTCTGTGGCTTGGGGTCCCATGGGCTAGAGTAGTGGTTCCCAGTGGGGTTGTATCAACCCCAGGACGCATGAGGCAATTGGTGGGGGGGCTTGTGGGCTTGTTTTTGTCTGCAAGCATAGTCATTCCTCATTATTTATGTAAAAATGCGTATTATTTTATTGTAAAATGCTTTTCTCTTTATTTCTCCTTTGTTAGAGTATTATCTTGATACTTTAAATTATAGAGATGATAATTGTATCGATGAATTTCAATTCAGGATGGAAAAGTAGAAGCTAAATATTTGTTTTTAAAATGGGATATTGGAGCCAGGTGTGGTGTTTCACACCTGTAATCCCAGCACTTTGGGAGGCTGAGGCAAGTGGATCACCTGAGGGCAGGAGGTCGAGACCAGCCTGGCCAACATGGTGAAAACCCGTCTCTATTAAAAATACAAAAATTAGCTGGGCATGGTGGTGGAAGCCTCTAGTCCCAGCTACCCGGGAGGCTGAGGCAGGAGAATCACTTGAACCCAGGAGGCGGAGGTTGCGGTGAGCTGAGATTGCACCACTGCACTCCAACCTGGGCAACAGGGAAAGACTGTCTCAAAAAAAAAAAAAAAAAAAAAGCGACAGTTGGATCCAAAAGGGCGACAGGTTCTGCTCAGCAGTGCTTTGTGCACTGTTGGGCCCTGCACCCCTACGGACTGCTGTTGGCCAATCCATACACATTATTCCCTCCAGGGGAAGTTGCAGGATGTGCCCTCTTCCACATTGAGGCTTCCTCCCCAGACAGGCTTTGTTAACATTAATGACTAGTGGCTCTAGCTTCAGATCCCTTTGACACTTTGTGAGGCTTGACCCGCGTCTGAGCTGAGACAGGAGTGGATGCCTGGATTCCTCGTTGGGTTCTGCACCCCCAAAACCCTGCATAAATGTTCCTCTTTCTCCCTTGGCTTTCTGGGGGCTCACTTTAAAAGATGTGTATCCCATAGGTCCCCTTTAGCTGGGTTGTACCAGGCACAGTGTTTGTTCTTTCAACCAGTATTTACTGAGCACCTCCTGTGTGCCGGGCAGTTTAGAAAATAAAGTGTAAGTTACTTCATTCCTGCCTAGGAGAAGCTCAAAATTCAAGTGCATTCACAGGCTTTAATCAGTGGTTGGCAACTGTTTTTCTATCCTAGCCCAGCAGAGAGATGGACACACTCCTGTCAGTAACAGAGGCTTGCTGGGGAAGCCTGTGGTTTGATCCCTCTATATCCTCACCCCATCAGGATCCAGCCTAGGGCATTTTGACACATTATCTACCCCTGGTTGGGCGTCACTGTGTGAGCTTGGGAAGAAAATATCCATAGTCACTTTCTGTGTTTCTTATAAGGGTTAGGGCAAAGAGAGAAACGAGGATCAGGAAAGTTACATCGAGGCTGACGGAATCCTGGACATGGGCTGGCATCACGGGCCATCTTCTACTTGAGATATTTTTCAGATAACACAAGTATGGAAAAAGGAAAAAGCAACTGTATTGAAATCTCCTAAATGCAGCAGATTTGGAGCCTGCAAACACTTCTTTTAGGGAGGAGGCAGTATTGCTCTTAACCTAGAAGGCATCCTCAATGGTCTTTGAGACGTTTGGAAACGTGTGCACAAGTGAAATTATTTTACCTACTTCTCTTGAACGCATGATGTCTCATATCCAATTTTATTTCTAAACATTTCTTTTAAAAAATAGTTATTTCTGTGCACTTCTGATTCTGTTACTAGTAAGAACAGTAAAACCTGATTGGCTATATATTGCCTCACTAACTGCTCTTTCATTCTGGGTCACTACGAAAGATGTTAAATGAGATAGCCCAAATGTCTTTGAGTTTGTGTATACACATTAAAACACATAAAAAGTCATACTCATGATTTTAAAACTTGACTCTCGAATGTGTTAGAAGCTTCTCTGTGGTATTAAAGTGCTGAAGCATCATTGCTCTGATGTCACTGATTTCAGTTTACTCCTACAGTTTACTTTTTGTCTGTTAGTGGTATCATCTGGCATTCTGTGGAGACCTAGGTTGAATCTGCATGTTTGAAATGACAAAGTAAACCCTTGAAGGAACAGGTCTGAGGACACACTTCATTAGCTTCATTTTCTGTGGATAAACAATGGCAACACTTAGATACCTGAGGATAAATAAGGGACAACGGGCCATGGAATCAGAGAGTTTACTTTTTTTTTTTTTTTTTTTTTTTGAGACAGAGTCTCATTCTGTCACCCAGGCTGCAGTGCAGTGGCACGATCTCGGCTCCACCTCCTGGGTTCAAGCAATTCTTCTGCCTCAACCTCCGAGTAGTTGGGATTACAGGCATACTCCACCACACCTGGCTAATTTTTGTATTTTTAGTAGAGACAGGGTTTCACCATGTTGGCCAGGCTGGTCTCAAATTCCTGACCTCAAGTGATCCGCCTGCCTCGGCCTCTTAACGTGTAGGGATTACAGGCGAGAGCCACCGAGCCTGGCATTTTTTTTTTTAAAACATCTTCTTTGCATTTCAGAAGCTTCCAGGTTTGACACTGCCAAGGCCTTTTCTTCCTTTCCCTGGTTTGACTTTCAGGTCCCAGAGCCTGCAGGGGCAGGTTCTCCAGTAAATCCCAGGTCTCACTGGCCTGTGTCTTTACAGGGGCAGGTTCTCCAGTAAATCCCAGGTCTCACTGGCCTGTGTCTTTACAGGGGCAGGTTCTCCAGTAAATCCCAGGTCTCACTGGCCTGTGTCTTTACAGGGGCAGGTTCTCCAGTAAATCCCAGGTCTCACTGGCCTGTGTCTTTAAACGCTTGATTCTTAGTCAAGAGCTAAAGGATAGTATTTATCAGAAAAACTGCTCAGACCCTAGAGCCCATACTTTTCCGGAAAGGTCCTGAAATATAGTGTGGTAGCTAACACTACAAAAGTCAAATCTCAGAATTCCTACCCAGGGTAGAGAGGATACAGAAAAGGACTGAGGGATAAACAATCTGGCAGAAATGCTTTAGGGGATCCTAGCGAGGGAAAGGAGAGAGGTGGCCAAAGGGCCTTTCTTGTGCTTTTCCTATGTCTGGCCCATTCCCTGCCTCTTCTCCCTGTTACCTCCGCTCTCCCCTCAGCGAAGATCCCTGACTAGACCAGTTTCTCTTTAGTCCCTCGCTCATAGGCCTCTATTTCTCAGGACTTGGAGTCTTGCATTTGTGGTTCCTAGATTAACACGTGTCCTCACTAGACTCTCAGCTCCAAAAGGTAATGTCCTTTTGGCTCACCGTTGTGTCTCTGGCATCTACGTACCTGTGTATTTTATTGAAAGACACATGTCACCCAGTTTATTATTACTCTTGTAGAACTGCAGGGAAAGGGCAGGACAAAGAATATGAGAAAAAAGAAAGTGGAGAAAGGATATAGGGCTTTGGATTAGAATGCTACCTCCTACCCAGACACATTCATGAGAAAACTCATATCCTTAGACAAACTCCTAATTCTGTATCTGTCCTACCTCATGGGTAGGAGGTAGGACAGATACTTCTATTTGGGTAGTTTTTTTTTTTTTTTAAACTTAATGTCACCTCTACACTCCTGTTTTATCTATACCTTAGGGACAGAAGCACACCATTGCTTCCAAGACTGTGTGCAGACACTGACATTCATCTCCCATTTCTGGAAGAATTTTTAGCTGGGCATGTGGCCATCTGATACACATTTCCCTGCTTCTTTAGATGGGGTGGGAGGGGGGGACATGGGACCAAGTTCTGGCCCCTAAATTCTGGACAGAAGTAATGGTCCAACTTCCAATCCGTGACCTCAGGAGGGGCATACCTTCCCGTTCCTCTCTTCCCCCTTCCAGCTGGCTGGAGAGTGAAGTTGGGTGGGAGCCTTCTTTGGCCACATGGACGAGGCTGCCTCCAAGGGATGGTGGAGTCACAAGACAGACATAGGCTGGGCTTGGCAGTAGATTAGCATTGGGCTGTCACTTGGATGGCTGATGTGAGAGAGATGCATTTCCATTTGGGACTAGTGACAGCAGCTGAACTGACATCCTCATTCTGGCATCGTCTTGAGCAGTCAGGAAATGAAGAGAACAGAAGCAGCATCTCTGTGGTAGTGAACTAGTGGTAAAAATGTGATCATTTATTTGTAGAATAAATGACAGTACTTTGGCTGTCACAGTGATTCCTGCTTGGTAAACTGGGAACAGTTCAATAATTTATCTTGCTCAGATGTGTTTCCTTATCATCACCTTAGTCCTCATTTCCTTACTTTAAATAGAGATAGGAGTTAAAAGTTCTGAACCTGGAGCCAGACAGCCCTGACTTTGAAATTGCAGGACTGACATTTATTAACTACTCTATTTCCATAACCATGTCATAAAGCTATTATAAGGATATAGTGAGATAACGGACATGGAGCTTGGCCAGAGTAAGCACTAAATAAGTGTTTTCTATGCTATTATATATATGTGTGTGTGTGTGTGTGTGTGTGTGTGTGTGTACATTAGTCAGGATTTTTTCTTTAGCAACTGAAGGAAACCTAATGAAACTGGTTTGAGAAAAAACAGAATTTATTGGTTCATATAACTAAAAAGTCCAGGGTTAGCCCAGCTCCAGGCATAGCATTAACCAGGGAGTCAAATCAATGTCATTGGACATAGCTTGCTCTCTCCAACTCTCAAGTTTATTCCATGTTGGTACTATTCTCTGGCAGGTTTTGTCCATGAGGTTATAAGATGGCTGTTCCCAAACTCCAGATTTCTATCTTTATCTTTTCAGCAACTCTACCAGGAAGCATCTTTCTAATGAAAGTCTGGGAAATGATGCCTCACTGGTTGTGACACTATCCCATCCTCCAATCAATGCCACTGGCCAGGGAGATGCCAAGTTTGGCTTTGCCAGGACTGGGTCACATGCGCATACTGGGGTTGAGTCCATTCTTCTTAACCATGTAGATTGTCAGCAGGAAATGGGTGGTAGTAGGGAAATTGGGGTGCTTTTTTTGTGAGACAGAGTCTTGCTCCGTCGCCTAGGCTGGAATGCAGTGGTGTGATCTCAGTTCACTGCACCCTTTGTTTCCCGGGTTCAAGTGATCCTCCTGCCTCAGCCTCCCAAGTAGCTGGGACTACAGGCACACTCTACCACATCTGGCTAATTTTTGTATTTTTAGTAGAGACAGGGTTTCACTACGTTGGCCAGGCTGGTCTTGAACTCTTGGCCTCAAGTGATCTGCTCACCTCGGCCTCCCAAAGTGCTGGGATTATAGGCGTGAGCCACCGCACCCAGTCTGGGGTGCTTTTATTGGAAAAGGGAGTACATGCCAGGGAGGCAAGAACATTTTTTTTTTTTTTTTTTTTTTTGAGACTGAGTCTTGCTCTGTCACCCAGGCTGGGATGCAGTGGCATGATCTTGGCTCACTGCAACCTCTGCCTCCCAGGTTCAAGCAGTTCTCCTGCCTCAGCCTCCTGAGTAGCTGGGATTACAGGTGCGTACCCCCACGCCTGGATAACGCCTGTATTTTTAGTAGAGACAGGGTTTTGCCATGTTGGCCAGGCTGGTCTCAAACTCCCGACATCAAATGATCCACCCGCCTCGACTTCCCAAAGTGCTGGGATTACAGGCATGAGCCACCATGCCCAGCCTCAGGAACAGTATTTTATAGTATGTAAAAGACTCAGCCGAGTGCCTGGCATAGTGAGCACTAACAAATGTGAACCATCATGCCTCTCCTCTGTCTTCTGGTTCATGGTCATTCTGCACAGAGATGCTATATATAATCCTCCCCCCCCTTTTTTTCTTTCTTTAAAACTTGCTTTACACTCACCTCCTCTAAAAAGCCATCCCCGAACAACATTAGACTTATTTTTGCAAAGGCCCATATTTCCACTACAATTCCCTATGAATCTCCTTCCCAAATCATTAAGGGCCCACCTTCTTTCCTTCCCACTCTCCCTCCTTCCTGCTCCCTATGTCTAGGAGCAGCTATTTACTAAACAAGAGGGTTACTGAGTATCTACAAAGAGTCCCAGAATTAGGGTGCAGTTTTCTGCAGCTGCAGTACCATCCACAATCATTTCCACAACCTTTTGTGTCTGCAAGACTCTATAGTCTGACGAGGCTGATCGAAACCTCCAATGTGCCATTTTGAAACTTATAATTATTAGACACCAATAGTTCAACCTACACTGTTATTGTTGGTACCCAGGGTAATACTGTGAGACATCCTGCAAGGAACTAGCAATAAAGAAAATAAAACTGCTCTTTTGGGAACTAAGCTGTAATGTCAAGACAATGGTTTTGAGGAAAGACATAAAACCACCATAAAGAGACAACTGACTCCTAGGCCTGGGGTCAGGGGAGGGATTTAGGTAGCAAAGATGGACCACTCTAGAAGCCAGAAAAAAAGTAAGTGCACAAGCAATGGATGGCACTGCAGGATCGATCATGAGAACCTGGTCGACGGGCTTAGGACAGTGTCTGAGGTTCAAGGCAAGAATATTCCTAACACAGGACTCACTTCAGACTCTCTAAGCCTGGTGATTTTGAATATTTGATGCCTCTACGTCCTATGTTCAGATTTTGTGATCTCTAAGCAGCCCTCTGAGCATTACTTGGCTTCACAGGTAAAGTTAACTCTAATTCTTGCATTTTGGTGACAATTTTATTTTATTAGGTATATTTAAGATTTACAACATGATGTTATGGGATACATATAGATAATAAAATGGCTGCTATAGTGAAGCAGATTAACATTATCATCTCAGTTTTTTTGTGATAATAGCAGCTAAAATCTACTTATTTAACAAAAATCCCTAATACAATTGTATTAACTTTAGCCCTATCTCTAGACTTGTTCATTTTATCTGCTATTTTGTATCCTTGGCCTGCATCTCCCCATTTCCTCTTCCCCAATCTGTGGTAAGCACTTTCTCTGTGTACTTGAGCTCTTTCTTAAAAAATTAAATATTCCATATGTGAGATCATGCAGTATTTTTCCTTGGGTCTGGCTTATTTCACTTAGCATAATGTTCTCCAGGTCCATCTATGTTGTGGCAAATGGCAAGAACTCCCTCTTTTCCAAGGATGAATACTATTCCACGGCATGCATATGCCGTATTTTCTTTATTTGTCCATTGATGGGCATTTAGGTTGTTTCCACATCTTGGCTATTGAGAATAACACTGCCACAAACATGTGAGTGCAGATATCTTTATGAGGTGATGATTTCATCTTTTTTTTTTTTGAGATGGAGTCTTGCTCTGTAACCCAGGCTGGAGTGCAGTGACGCAATTTTGGCTCACTGCAACCTCCACCTCCCGAGTTCAAGTGATTCTTCTGCCTCAGCCTCCCAAGTAGCTGGGATTACAGGTGCCCGTCACCATGCCCGCCTACTTTTTGTATTTTTAGTAGAGACGGGGTTTCACCATGTTGGTCAAGCTGGTCTTGAACTCCTGACCTCAGGTGATTCACCCACTCCAAAGTGCTGGGATTACAGGTGTGAGTCACTGCGCCCAGCTGGTGATTTCATCTTCTTTGGGTACATACTTACTCAGAAGAGGGTCAGATAACAGTTCTATTTTTAATTTCTTTAGGAGCCTCCATACCGTTTTCCATAACGGCTGCCCCAGTCTACACGCCCACAAACAGTGTACTAGGGTTCTCTTTTCTCCACAATCTCATCAACATTTATCTCATGTCTTGTTAATAGCCATTCTTATAGATGTGAGGTGATAGCTCACAGTGGTTTTAATTTACATTATTCTTATGATTAATGATGCTGAACACCTTTTCATATCTATACCTACTGGCCATTTCTTATGTCTTCTTTGGAGAAATGTCTGCTCAGGTCCTTTGCCCATTTTTAATTATTAGTTTTTCCACAATTGAGTTGTAAGAGTCTCTTATTGAAAGTCTGCTGGTATTACAGGTTTATAGCTCAGTTTTTTGAGCTTTATTATAAATCTGACTTTCAGAAATAGATCTGCTTCCCTTAAAAAAATCTAGTTCCTGGATGAGGCTGATAGACCTTTGATCAAAGTCCATTCTCCTTGGTAATGAATGCTCCTTGTTTCTTAGGACAGCCAACTGGTATATCCTTAGACAAACTCCTAATTCTCTATGCAAAGCCATTATCATGGTTTTCTATAATAAATAAGATAAACAAGCAGGAACTAATAGAAATTTAATGTTGTTTTAAGATAATACTTAAATATTAAGAAAGCTAAAATTTAAAATGTGTTGACTAGGTTTTTCTACACAATTATATTTACATAATGACTAAGGTAAAACCTTTCCACAAATAGTTGCCCAGGAGGAAGAAAAAGCAACCTACAACAGTCTCTGGGGCTTGCACTGCCTTCTCAGGCCAGCTATACCCTAGCTGAGCAAAGAACTGAAGAAGCAAGTGTCCACTCCCCACCCCTCTCCCCTGCCCCCCTTTTGTTACTTGAAGTGTTTCTGAGTAACAAATGCAAAACTAGGTTTGAATATAAAAGCTAGACGACCATGCCAATTCAGGATTGTGTTTCATCTGAGGAGACCTGGCATAGAAAAAACAAGAATTCTCTCTCATTTACAAGGATACTGTGATGAAAGTCAAAGATCACACATAAATTTATGATCTCTGAGCAAAGGCACAGCTAGCATAAACTCATCTGTAAAATGAGGGGTTTTGACTTGGCCATCTGTCAAGGTCCATTCAGCCTGTCAAGCTAGCGTCAAAGTTCAGATCTTCCACGATGAAAGAACTTGCCCTCTGCTAAGGTGGATGCAGAAAGAAAAGTCCCATTATATTGTGGGACCAACCTTCTGATATAAAAAACTATGTTGGGATTAAAGTAGATCAATAAAGTATAAATATTTATCATAGTTGTAGGGTAAATATTCAAAAGTTTGAAATTTATGTATACTGTAAAACTGGCAAACTGGTCTTAAACACATAAAGCAAAGATTTTCCCATGGGGAGAGAAAATTTGAGAGTAAGCCCAGTGAATTACTTAAGTCCTGAGCGTCCATAATCTGCATCCATGATGCCTCTCTTTTTTTCCAGGTCACTTGGACAAGAATATTTCTTGTCTTATGTTGGTTCTGAAACACCTTTTTTAAAAAAAGCATCAAGAAATTATGATTCAGGGGTTTGAAACCCCAATGTTACAGGCAGCGCCTCATTTCTACGGAATATAAAACATTTTGTTTCTTCCACTTCTAACAGTTCATCAAGAGAAGCCACTACTAAATCGTGTTCCTGCAGCATTTCTGGGTAGCGGGACACTGCTCGCTCAATCCTCGACGAACGCCGTACAGGAGTGATAAATTTCATGTCTTGCACTTCCGGCATCCCATTTATTCTGAGAGACAGCAAGAGATGCATTAAAAACCTTATCATTTAAAAAAATTATCTTTATTATTTTTTGTTTCTTATTCAATAATAAAACAGGGAAGACATTTTAACATAGGGTGATACAAGAGATATGTCTAGAGCAGCTTTCATCTTCAGATGGCTTTTTCTAGGAGTTCGAGACCAGCCTGGGCAACATAGCAACACACTATCTTTACCAAAAAATATAAAAATTAGCTGGGCATGGTGGCACACACCTGTAATCCCAGCTACTCAGGAGGGTGAAGTGGGAGGACTGCTTGAGCCCAGAAGGTCAAGGCTGCAGTGAGCTATGATTATGCCATTGTACTCCAGTCTGGGCAACATGGCAAGACCCCAGTCTCAAAAAAAAGGCTTTTCCCTGATTTCCAGAATGTACTGGGTGGTGTCCATCTGTTCTTGGATGGTGTAAGCATAAGGATTTATTGAATGAAGTATGAAGTGTGGTTTTTATTTGAAGTCAAATATTTGGCAGTTGGTGTTCATTTATTCTATAAACTTTCAAAACAGATGACAAGTTTTAAGGAAATGGGGCCTAATACCAAATTTGGTTGAATTAATGAATTCCAAGATTCTTTCTAGCTTTTTCTTTTTAAAGACAGGGTCTCACTCTGTTGCCCAGGCTAGAGTCCAGTGGTGCAATCACAGCTCACTACAGCCTCAACCTCCTAGGATCAAGGCATCTGTCCACCTCAGCCTTTCAAGCTGGTGGGAGCACAAACGTATGCCAGCATGCCTGGCTAATTTTTTATTTTTCATAGAGTTGGGGTCTCCCTATGCTGCCCAGGCCACTCTTGAACTCCTAGGCTCAAGTAATCCTCCTGCCTCGGCCTACCAAAGTGACAGGATTACAGGCATGAGCCACCATGTGCCCAGCCTTTTCATTTTTTTTTTGAGATGGAGTTTCACTCTTGTTGCCCAGGCTGGAGTGCAATGGTGCAATCTTGGCAGACTTGCCTGCTAGTTTTCCTTAGGCTAATGTAATTAGTGGTTTTGTGAATTCTAGAGCCATTAAGAGGTAGTTTTTGGATTAACTGTTTTCATCTACTTATGAGCTGACTGTAGTTCATCCACTTATGAACTGAACTGTTTTCATCCTCTTATGAGCTGACTGTAGTGGGAAAATGGTGTGTGTCAGAGAGTTTAGGATTGGAAGAGATTCGGCTGTGCTTTCCAGGTAACTAAAACAAAGAACTGTTGTCTTGGTGCCCTTGTTTGGAATTCTTTCCAGATCATGATCAGAGAAGAGTGGTGCTACACTCACATTTTAGAAAATGACACTGACGCCCTGACATAGCTCCTTAAATTACTATGGATTCTGCCTTAAATTTATATTTGTTAAAAAATAAAACGTTTCTGACTTTATGAGCAGTCTCTGACTAGTACATACTCCACTGCTCTCCGTTCTTAGAGGGGTATTCACTGTCCCTTTTCTCCCACAGCTACAGAGTTTGCTCCCGCTTGGGACTTTGTGCCCCATCTTATCACCCCAACCATACCCAGCTGTGTCAGGACTTGCAGGAAAGGCAGATAGGATCTGCAAGTGCAGGACAAATGAGAGTGAAAAGGTAGGCGAGACCATAGGACGGGGGTGAATGCATTCTAATACCCCTCCTGACTCTGGCAGCACCTTCCTCACTGCAGGTCAGGTCTCAGTTACTCTAGATCTGTGAAGGAAAAATCGAGACTTGGACTAGAATTAAGTCTGTGAACACAAAGTCTGCTTTAGAGTTTGCTTACCTAGGGATTGGACCAATCTGTAATTTGATACCAGGATAATTATGCTGTTCTGCCTTGGCTATTCGGGGTGTCGCCGTGACTTGTTCCCTCTCTTTTGGAGAAAGACAAGACTTCACAGATTCCATCTTCTTGGCCAGCTCTTCCACTGATGTTATACTAGTTTCAGCAACTAAAGAGTCAGAAGTAATCCCTGTGTATGTAAGATCATGAAGGAAAGTAAGATTTACCAATTTAATACTTCAACTAGAAGTCAATAACATGAAAAATACATACATACAATGATTTCCCAGTGATCTTCATGGGCTCCACATACTGAATAGTGATTGATTTGAAGTGTGACTTATAACTTGTTTTTTCACGTTAAGCTCTGTAGCAGTGTCTTGCTACATCAGGCTACCCTCGTAGCCAGCCCCCGAGACTGCTGTACGTAGATTCTTGACACCCTTTCAAGACTCTGAACATATCTCCAGTCTCCTATTCACTCTCAAGAGAGCTCTCTTAGGGACTAATCACTGGCCTTCTACCCTTACACCACACCTTGGATCAATTTTCTTGACTCACTAAGGTTAACTCACACAACCTCCCAATCCCATTCCTCCCCAGGATGACCACATGGTTACTGCCTTGGACAGTGGGCAAAAACTGTCTTGCATTAATAGTTTTCATGGTAGCCCAAACACAATCACCAAAATGAAAGGAAGGAAATCAGACTGTGCCAGGCACACTGTGGCTAGAGGCTGACACCCTAAGTGAGGTCAATAGGGTGCAACAAAGGCATGGATTCCTGTCTTCTCTTTTTATTCCTTTTAAAACACTACCATGTTTTAACCAAATAACTGAATTGTAGCCTCATTCTCAAAGAATCTACTATTATCTATTTTATGTCCTTCTTACCACATGTAGTGGGTTACTTAGCTACATGACTTGATTGTTCCCCAGTTAAATCTACTCTTTTTTTTTGAGATGGAGTTTCGCTCTTGTTGTCCAGGCTGGAGTGCAGTGGCGTGATCTTCATTCACTCCAAATTCCACTTTCTGGGTTCAAACGATTCTCCTGCCTCAGCCTCCTGAGTATCTGGGATTACAAGCACGCACCACCACAACTGGCTAATTTTTCTTTTCTGTTTTTTTTTTTTTTTTTTTTTTTTTTTAAAGACAAGACAGGGTTTCACCACGTTGGTCAGGCTGGTCTCAAACTCCTGACCTCAGGTGATCCACCTGCCTTGGCCTCCCAAAGTGCCGGGATTACAGGCGTGAGCTACCGTATGCAGCCTAAATCTACTATTAAAGGAAAAAGATTTGTCACCTTTTAAGATAACAAGAAGAATCCAATTTATTTTCTAAAGATAGCTTGTTTTTTCTTTCCATTCATATAACAAGTATCGTAAGCAATTATAATGTCACTCGTGTTTGGCACAATATATGTCTCATAGAAGAGTCTTCTAAAGGTTATGACCACTGACAGTGATGGTCATCCAATTGAAGAGATTCCTGAGATAGCTATTTTTAAAGCGTAACACAAATTTAGATGAGTATGTTGGTGGGTTTATTATGATTAAACATGTAACTTAAGGCATTTCTCCTTTCTGCCTCAGTCTCTTCCAGCAAAGAGCTGTTTGTCTTCTGCCATCTAGGATTCCAAGGAAGTGGGACACTCCAGTCTAGGCTGTTTTGGTGGAAACAACCTTTGTTCAGTATTGAGTAGTGCATTTACTTGTAATAATACAAATAAGTCAGCTGATGACAATGGCTGAAAGGGCCAGGTCATGGAAACCAAGAAGTGAGAAGCATTTCAGGGGATGATTCTTTTCTTCTTTTTCCTATATGTCCTGGATGATTTTTACTGGTACAGCTAGAGAAGATGAATTTAAATTCAAAAATAATAGTACCTTCTGTGGTTCTGTTTGAGTCTTGCAAGATATTAAGAACAACTTTCCGCAACTCTTGTATTGGCTGGAAGGAAGGAAGAAAACATACAAAATCTTAAAAACATTCATGCAAAAAATTTGCTAAGGAACTTTAACTTCAAATACATGTTTTATAATAAAAGTTTCCTTTTAAAATCTCGTCTAACTATAAATCTTTTGTCTAGCTTGACAGTTTTATAGCTTCATGAGAAAAGTAAAGGAACAGAGAAAATTCTGATTAAGTGTTGGCACACTCGACTTAATGAACAGATGTATTTAAAGTTGTCCATAATGTAATTTGTCTACATCAAATTCTATTTTCCTATTGATTTGTATAATACTGTCAAATATGTATTCCTACATAAAAATTCTGGCCCAATGATGTAAAGCTAGCCACACAGAAAATGCATTTTATATATAGATATAGATATATTTTCTTGAGACAGAGTCTTACTCTGTCCCAGGCTGGAGTGCAGTGGCGCGATCTCGGCTCATTGCAAGCTCTGCCTCCTGGGTTCATGCCATTCTCCTGCCTCAGCCTCCCAAGTAGCTGGGACTACAGGCGCCCACCACCACGCCCAGCTAATTTTTTGTATTTTTAGTAGAGATGGGGTTTTACCGTGTTAGCCAGGATGGTCTCGATCTCCTGACATCGTGATCCACCCGCCTCGGCCTCCCAAACTGCTGGGATTACACGAGTGAGCCACTGTACCTGGCCCCAAACACAATGTTTTTTGAGATGGAGTCTCTGTCACCCAAGCTGGAGTGCAATGGTGCGGTATCGGCTCACCACAAACTCCACTTCCAGGGTTCAAGTGATTCTCCTGCCTCAGCCTCCCGAAGAGCTGGGATTACAGGCATGCGCCACCCCATCTGGCTAATTTTTCTATTTTTAGTAGAGACGGGGTTTCGCTACGTTGGCCAGGCTGGTCTCAAACTCCTGATCTCAAGTGATCCGCCTGCCTCAGCCTCCCAAAGTGCTGAGATTACAGGGGTAAGCCACTGTGCCTGGCCCAGATACAATCTTTGTAGGCATTTTGAGTAATTTTCTCCAGCTTTTCCTGTCTTTCTTCTTTTATTTGTTAACATACTTAGAAAAAAAAACCTTCATGGAAAAGTAATTTTCTGATAAAATTATCTGAGATAGGCTTTATTTTTCAAGTATGTAAACCATGCCATGAAGCAGAAGCTGCACTTTCCCACAAGAAAATTATAGTTGGAGGTTTGTCTTCCTTACCTGGAACTCTGTATCAAATAGATATAAACTGACAATAAAGCATAAAAGCAAAGCTTTCCGTACATTTTTTCAAAATCCAAAATAGAATTATGATTTCAGCTAAATGAATGGGAATAAATGTATAGAATATATTACAAAGAGTGAATTCTATACAACATTCATCAAGCATATTTTATATTTGTATAGCCTTCTGGTTAATGATGGTGGATTAAATATACGTTTATTTCTAATCTCTCTTGAAAATCGACTGAAAGGATAATAAAGGGATTAAGAAGAGGCAATAACCACAAAACATAGGAGAGAAGAAATGACAATAAGGTTTTGGAAGCTGCAGTGCAGAAGGAAGAGAGGTAAACAATTTGATCTACTTGAGAGAGTTGAATCCCAAGCTGGCAGTGTGGCTAAGAAACAACCTGACAGAAAGGCTAAGGAATGGGTGGTAGGGCCCAAATTAGGAGGACTCTTTAGCATCTGTTCAAAAAGCAGTCAGACCTCCAAATCCATCCTGCACCCCTAAACTCTATGCAGCCTAGTAACTGTGTCTGACTCCCTTCATCCTAACAGAAAACTGGGAATGTATTCTGCAAGTCTCTGAGGGATATCATGCAAGATTAGGATAGGGTGCTTTCTGAGAAAAGGAGATAAGCAAAAGTTTCTATGTTGAGGGTTGAGACTCCCTGCTCTCTTCTCTCCCACAGCACTGGCAGCCTGGTGTCTAGCTCCCAGGAAGGAGATTGGAACAGATTTCTCCAGATAACTTGACCAGCTTAAGAGGAAAGACCTAAAGATACTGATATTGAGGGTTTTCTAACTAGTCAACTCAGCCAGATCACCCTGTGTTGAAGCCCCATCCATGTGTCTCGGGCTTTAAATAAGCTTTTTCAGACCCACCTTTTATATGTGCAAACAGCCCAGTTTCACCAGCATCTGTGTAAAGCCTTTAAAGAATAATAGAGAACAAAACAAAAAGAACAAACAAACAATAACAAGAGAGAAAGAAATGAAAAACATTGGAGAAGAAATAGACAATGTAGGAAGAAGAAAACTAATATGGGTTCTAAAAACAAGGGATCCACCCAACTTAAGAAGGATGTAAAGGGAATCTAAAGGTGATGGTAAAGAGATCCCAGAAAGACAGCTGGTGAAGACGGCAGTAAAAAGTAACTTGTTCAGTCTGGAATAAGCCAGAAGGGTCTAGGAGAAAGCTCTTTATCTAAGAAAAAGGAATCAATAGAATATCTGATGTTTTCAAAGTATTGAGGAACTTAGACAATTAGCGAAGAGTTTGTGAATTAATTATATAATAAATACTCAGAAAACTAAGCAAAGGCAAAACAAGACAATAACTCCAGGAAAAGTAGAAAGTTGTGCTTGAAAGGCAAAGTAATCATAGTATATATTGCATGGCTCAACATATTCATGTATTTTTTTTTTTTTTTGAGACAGTCTTGCACTGTTGCCCAGGCTGGAGTGCAGTGGCCCGATCTCGGCTCACTGCAAGCTCTGCCTCCCAGGTTCATGCCATTCTCCTGCCTCAGCCTCCCGAGTAGCTGGGACTACAGGTGCCCGCCACCACGCCCGGCTAACTTTTTTGTATTTTTTAGTAGAGATGGGGTTTCACCATGTTAGCCAAAATGGTCTCGATCTCCTGACCTTGTGATCCACCTGCCTCGGCCTCCCCAAGTGCTGGGATTACAGGCGTGAAACACCGTGCCCAGCCCATATATTTCTTATATATTCATAACAATGTGAATGCTAAATAGTGACCAGAATTTCCATGACTCTAATGAAAGTATAAGGAATGGCAAAGGTCTATAAGGATGGTAAATAGGGGTGTGTATTTGTGTGTGCTGGGGATCTGTGTATGTATGTGTGAAAGAGGGCTAAATCTTCACTCTGCATAGCTGGAAGTCCATAAATCATATCTAAAACTGAAAAATCAAGAAACAGAAACACGTTTTCTGAAACTATAGAGGTTAATATAAAAATAAATCAGTTTGCTCTAGGAAGGGGAAAATGGGAGGGAAGGAAGGCAGAGGTCTTACTGAACGAAACTTATCAAACTACTTGACTGCTTAAACTATGTGCATGTACAATTCTGATTTTGAACCATTATGGAAAAAGGTATCACACAGAATACAGAACATGACATGGAAAATGACATTTTAAGGAAAAGCATTATAAAACTATTTGATGCAGTTTTTGTAAATAATAATTATATAGTTTTTTTTTCTAAATTTTAGAATTAAAAGTTATTTCATGCAATGGCTCTGAATTATTGATTTAAGGATGCTGACGTATTGGGTTTAATATATTTTTAAGTTCTTTATGGTAAGGTATGACTTTATAAGTGTTGGATATTGATGTTGCAAACTTCTAACCATCATATTACAAACAACAACAGAGAACTCACATGAAAGAGAATTTTAAGAAGTTACCCACCCAAGACAGATACTCACTGTTGCCCCATTTTTAATGGCCTCTTCATATAGCCCAATAACATCAAAGGTGCCTTTACTTGCCAACAACTTTGCTTTGCAGATCCAGAATTTAGCAAATTTTTCAGCTTCAGGAATGCTGGACAATATGTTAAGTATTTCATTAGAAGGTACACCCTGAAATAAACCAAAATATCCAGAGGTAATTATTACCATTTCACTGTTAGTCTCACATCTCCTAATATTTATTACAGCAGGTATGCAGAAATTGGTTTGATCACTAATATTTTTGAACTTTTAAAAAAATTTCAATTTTACTGAGGTACAATGTACATGTAATAAAATGCACCTGTTTTAATTATCCATTTTAATGATTTGAGATTAATAATAATTATTATTTTTTTTTTGAGATGGAGTCTTGCTCTGTCGTCCAGGCTGGAGTGCAATGGCGCGATCTCGGTTCACTGCAACCTCCACCTCCCAGGTTCAAGCAAGTCTCCTGCCTCAGCCTCCCCAGTAGCTGGGACTACAGGCACATGCCACCACATGCTCGGCTAATTTTTTGTATTTTTAGTAGAGATGGGGTTTCACCGTGTTAGCCAGGATGGTCTTGATCTCCTGACCTCGTGATCCGCCCACCTCAGCCTCTTAACGTGCTGGGATTACAGGCATGAGCCACCATGCCTGGCTTAATTTTTCTTTTTTTTTTTGAGACAAGGTCTTACTCTGTTGCCCAGGCTGGAGTGCAGTGGTACGATCACAACTCGCTGCAACCTCTACCTCCTGGGATCAAGCAATCCTCCCACCTTAGCCTCTCGAGTAGCTGAGACCACAGGCATGAGCCACTGAGCCTGGCTTCCTCATCATTAAATTTTAAGAGTTATATGAGACCAAATAGAAAATGTTTATCATAGCTGAAGGTAAGAAATATGTTCATTTTTACATGGTACAAAAACAAAACAAATCCTAGAGTAAACATTTACATATTCATAATATTCCATATTTATAATAACGAGAACACTGAGTAGTGATGAGAATTTCCATAGGACTAATAGCAGTGTAAAGAATGACACAGGCATGCGAAGGTCATAGGGGTGTATATGTGTAAGTGTCAGGGATTTATGCAGGTGTTTATGAAAGAGGGTTAAATCCCACAAAAAGATAATTTGAAATGGATTCACTGGTTTGGTTCCCTTCTGGCTTGTGCCGTAAGCAGGACAGTGACATGGACCCAACGAATGGGGAGCACTACCATGCCCAGAAATCCAGGTACTGGCACACTCAGCCAAGCAGCACCTTCTACTGCTAGAAATGGGGGAGACGCAAAGGTAAGTTCACAATTGAGAATCACTAACATTTGAGAAAACCAACACTACATGAAAGAGGCATAAAACTCAACAAACAAGAATGAACACTGGAGCAAAGAGGAATACTTTTAAGAGTATCACAGTCAATATCTTCAGAGTGATAAGAGAGAGTATTGCTATCCTAAAACTAGAATGGGCTGTTATGAAAAATAACCAACAGAAAGGCAGAACAACTGCATGGACAGCGCTGAAGAATACATCTGTGAGCTGAAAATTCAGCTGTGAAATCCTCCTAGAAACCAGTGTAATAAAACAATGAAGTGAACAGTATGAAAACAACATTTAGAGTTCTGAAGGATATATCCATTACTCAATAACTCCAATATCCATCTAAGAGAGTTTCTAGAAGGAAAAAAGTTCAACACACAAAGTGGTTGTAGAAGAAGAATTTCAAGAAATGAACAAAGAAACAGTTGTTCAGGTTGAAAAGGCTCTCAGATAGTTAAGCAGGATGAATGGGAGAAAAAAATATAATAGAAAACCAAAGATAAAAAGAAAATCGTACAAGCTTCCAGAGAGGGGGAAGAAAAGGATTACCTATAAAGGAATGAGAATCAGACTGACGTGAGACATTAACAAATCAACAACTCCAGATGCAAGAAAGAAAATGAAGCAGTCACTTAAATTTTTCCAGGGAAAACAAGCTGAAATTAAGAAATTTCCCCCAGCCAAACTATGATTCCAGCATGAAGGCAAATAACAAGTTTCACAAGAATACAGACTCAAAAGGTTTGCCATTCAAAAATCATAAAGTCACTAGTGAGTAAACTTTAGAATTCACATGAAAGACTTGAAATAAAAGTAACTGCAGGCCAGGTGCAGTGGGTGGTTCACACCTGTAATCCCAGCACTTTGGGAAGCTGAGGCAGAGGACTGCTTGAGGCTAGGAGTTTGAGACCAGCCTGGGCAACACAGTGAGACCCTGTGTCTACAAAAAAATGTAAACTATAATGGGTGTAGTGGTGTGTACCTGTAGTCCTAGCTACTCAGGAGGCTGAGGTGGAGGATCACTTGGGTCCACCCAGGAGGTTTAAAGTTGCAGTGAGCTATGATGGCATCACTGCACTCCAATCTAGGCAAAAGAGTGAAACCCTGTCTCTTAAAAAAAAAAAAAAAATGAAAAAAGGAACTGCAAGAAGAATATGATATATATTCTGCAAATCATGTTTGAGCTTACATCTATCACTTTATTTTCATTTCAGTGTATTATTTTATGAAATAAAACTAGATTAAACACAGAAATGAGGAAAAAATAATTCATGTAAGCTGAATTACAAAATAAAATAGCAGGCATAAGTTTAAACATACAAGTAATCATAATAAATGTGTACGAACTAAATTTGCTTTTTAAAAGCAGAGAGTTTCAAATTTGTTTAAAACATTTAACTGTGTGCATTTATATGAGACATACCTAAAATAAGTCAGCCCATGAAGGCTTAAAGTAAAGGGATGGAAAAAGAGCTACCAGAGCTACCAGACATATTCTAACAACAAAAAGCAGGTGTGGCAAGATTAATCAGACAAAAGAAATCAAAGCAAGTCATGAATCTTTCTGTACCTAACAACATAACTTTAAAAAATAGAAAGTAAAAATTGACAGACATATGAAGAGAAATTGTCAATGATTAATCACAGTGCCAGTGACAGACTTTGGCATATTTCTTTCAGAAAGCAATAGATCAAATAAACAAATAGGATATACATTATTTTCAAACACTTTTGGAACATTTACCAAGAATGATCAGATATTAAGGCCACAAAGAAAATTTCAACAAAATCCATCAAGTAGAGTACACATAGGCCACATTCACCAACTACAATGCAATATAATTAGAAATTAACAGCAGAAAAAAAAAATCTACACATCTGGAAATTAAAAGATACTTTTCTAAGATATTTTTTGGGTTAAAGAACTCAAAATGGGAATCTCAAGCTATTTAGAAATGAACAATGACAAGATATGTCAGTTATGAAGCTTTTGTCTATTGGCCCCAAACCCCATCCTCTGCTTTGTGATGCTGGGGATAAAACTCTGTAAAACTTTCTGCTGGGCAGCAGCTCCCTGCTCAGCTCTGCCAGCAGGGGGCACGAGAGGGAGGCTGCAGGGATGGAGAAGGAAGACACTTGCTTCTTCCTATTTGCTTTCATCACCCCAGCAACGGTCCCTCACCCTGGCAGTAACAGTTGGTTCTAGCATCTTTTTTTCCCCCTCAGAGCCCACCTCCCTGTGCAGCTTCAGAGCAGAAGCACCAAATGGATAGCATCTTTTCCTCAAAATCTGAGCCCCAGCCCTGCAGGGCCTCTCCTCCATCATCTGCTGGGTAGTATGCCTTCCTTACAGTTGGAGTCCCATTTCTACCAGGGTTTGTCTCTCCTGCTTCTTGGTTCTGATACCCTAACCTCTCTTTGTTCTCCTAGACCCAGTGGGTACAAGCTGCTTCCTACAGTTATCACATTACCTCAGGTTCCTGTGTGCTGTCAGCCCTGTGTGTAGCACCCACACTCCTTCTGATCCCTTCAGCATCTTGTGCACACAGGCTTACCGCGTGCTTTCACAGCCAGCATCTGTGCTCCCTCGTATGTGCCCAGAGAGTGAGAAGTGCCTGACAATTCTTGTCCGCCCGAGGCAGCCATGAATAAATGACCATGGAAGCTTTAACAATGTAGCTCCCTTGCCTCTGATCAGGATGACTCTGAGAGATGTGACCTACACTGTCTCCAGAGCTCCCCTGTGGGGCTGTGCCAGAGTCACCGTCCATGGATTCGCTTTTCTGATCCTACAACTTCACTCCCCTCCCAGTTTTCCCTGGAGTGTCTTCCTAATAAACTACTTTCACATGGATTCTCCTCTTAGGCTCCACCTCTAGAGAACCCACATAAGATACTGTGTAACCAATTACATTCTTTCTGTGGTTTGTTTTTCAGACTTGATCCTGACTGATAAAGAGTATTACTTAGTCAAATCTGAGGGATATGACCAAAGTAAAATTCAGAGGCAAATCTGCTATAGCACTGAACATATTTATAAAAAAAAAAAAAAGAAAGACTCACTTTTAAATGATCTAAGGTTTCAATTAAAAAGCTAGGAAAAGAGCAATAAATATAAAAATAGATGCAGACATTGATGCAAGAGAAAAAATAATCAATAAAACCTGAGGTCTTTTAAAAAGATTAATGAGAAAAAATCTTTGGCAATAAAACCTGAGATCTTTTAAAAAGATTGAGAAAAAATCCCTTTAAAAAGTCACAAAATTACTAAAGTTGACTCAAGATATATGAACTCTAGAACAATGACCCCATAACAAATTGAGAGGATATATACAAAATTATCCTCCAAAGAAACACGGTCCAGATGATTTTTATGGGCAAGTTTTTATCAAACCTTCAAAAAATAAAAATAATTCTCATGTCATACAAACTATTTTCAGTTTATAGGGCAAAAAGGAAAATACTCAACTCATCTGCCTAAGTCAGCATAACATTGGTACTAGGAAAACACAAGAAAAGACAACCAAAGTACACAAAAATGTGAATAAAAGAATTGCAACTCACAAAAATATAATACTTCATTTCTCGACATACCTATACTGTATGGACATGCATGAAAACAGAATGAATGACTGGCAATGGTGGTCACCTCCAGAGAGAAGTTTGGGATGCCTAAGTATGTATGTTTGTAGAGGGAGAGGGCTGATCATTTATCTGCATTACTTGAAATGATTTCAATAATAAAAAGGTACTCATTTTTAAATAATACAACAACAAAAAAAGAGGATAAGAAAAAGAACTCAAGTTCAATTCCACAAGGAGAAATAGTTAATATTTAACTGGATGTTGTGAAAATGTTGCCTGGAGTAGACTTAAACTGAACTTTTCCTTTTTTTTGCTGATGTTCAACATTACCAGCCAAAGGACTGAATGAGTTTTGCTCTAGGCAAGGATCTTAGAAGTTTATTCCATCATTTTTTATTAATATATTTTTCCTTCAGGAAAAATTTCTCCTAAGGATCATACTCTTTGCCTACCATCTATTTTATCCTTATCTGCAGAATCCAAGATAAAATTTAAATACTATTTGTAGCTACCCAGAGTATTCAGAATACTCCAACTTTACACAGAAACTTGCCTTCTGACCTCAGTTTCAATGTTAAATGTGTACTCTTCAGAACTTGATACCCAAAGAAAGCAAAGTTCCTTTTGGAGCCAGTTTGTTTGGATTAGTTTTCCAACTTCTTTGTGCCTCAGTTTTGTTTGTAAAGTGGTCATAGTAACAGTGGTTATGATAATTATGTGAGATAATCTTAGCTAAGTGCTTATAAAAGCACAGATACACAAAAGACACTGTTTATGGGCATGTCATTATTATTATTACTCTGTATTTACAAGAGTAGCTAAATTTCTACTTAGATGAAGGCTATCTCTCCTATATTATATTTAGGAATATGTTTAAAAATTATAAGACTTTGGGCCAAAGCTGGAGGAGCTTATCTTCTTCACTTACCCCTTCGATGAGGTTCAGACATTCTGTCAGAGTGTTGTTAATTTTACTGGACAGTTCGAGTTGTGCTTTCTTTTCTTCCTCTTCTTTTTCAATGCTCTTCCAGAATGAAATATTCATTTCCTTTATTACTTTTCTTTTTGTTTTAAGTTCCATAGGAGGCCGTTTATAGGTTTTTCCCTTAGATTTCTGCCATTCTTCTAGTTGTTTCCTGAAATTCAATTAAAGGGAGAGTGGTTTTATTTATTTTTAAACATAGTCAAGCTGCTAAAGTATATGATATGTATAGATAGAGTATAATTAAATACTTTCAACTACAGACAAAATCAGGAGAATGGAATTAAAAAACAATTTACAAATGGGTAATGGCAGCATTGGGTTGCGCCCACCCACGAGAAGGCAGACACCAAGATTCTAAGATCACACGTGGCCAGCACTTCAGACTTCAAATAGAATTCGTGATTATGCATTATTTTTCTCGGAAAGTTTTCACTTCACTATATGCTACTTGACACTTGCTTTCCTAAGACATCCCTCTATTTTTGAGATGACTAACTCAGCAATTCATTTCTCTCACGCATAAGCTGTCACTCAACCCAAACCCACCAAGCCTGCATTCTACCCTCAATAAGGTCTTGGTGTGTAAACTGACCCACTTCACCTAGTTCCTTAGCCCTCTCTTGACCAGACATGACTCTTTCATAAGCTAGACCTATAAAGTCAGGGCTCTTAAGTAGCTGATCTCTGATAGTGCCAAGTGTCCCCCACTGTTCACATTTTCCACTCCAGCTTCTAACAGGTGATAGACTGCTTTTTGGGGGTAGGGGCACCAAGACATATAGACCTCATGTTTGGATGTAGACACTCCAGTTTCTTTAAATTACAACTACATATTAATAATGACTTCCAAGTGTACATTTCAGTCCAGATCTCTCCCTGGATCCCCAAACTTTGTAAAACCCACCGCCTAGTTGATATCTTTTGATGTCTGACAGGCATTTCAAATTTAATACTGTCACAAACAAAGTTATTGATTTTCATCTCTGCATCTGTTACAAATTTTTCTTACTTTGGTAAATAGCACCCCAGGCTGTGTCACTGCCAAGAACTTTCCACAGCTCTTGGAATAAAATTCAAAATATTTTCCAAGGCAGAAAGGCACAGTGTAATCTGGCTCCTGCCTACCTCTCCAACCTCGTATCACACTAGTCTCCCTGTCACTCACCCCCTCCAGGAGCTCAGGTATCCTTAAAGTTTCTTTTCTTTTTTTTTTTTTTTTTTTTTGAGACAGTTTTGCTCTGTTGCCCAGGCTGGAGTGAAGTGGCATGATCTCAGGTCACTGCAACCTCCGCCTCCTGGGTTCAAGTGATTCTTGTGCCTCAGCCTCCCAAGTAGCTGCAATTACAGGCGCGTGCCACCACACCCGGCTAATTTTTGTATTTTTAGTAGAGATGGGGTTTCACAATGTTGGCTAAACCGGTCTCAAACTCCTGACCTCAAGTGATCTGACCACTTCAGCCTCCCAAGGTGCTGGGATTACAGGCGTGAACCATTGTACCCTGCCTCCTTGAAGTTTCTTGATCCAGACTCATTCCTGCCTTAAGGTCTTGCATCTTCAGTCCTCCCCTCAAATGACACCTCCATGAAGACGCAATTACCTGTAATTACCGTGTCTTATTTAGTCAATGTGTTGGTTTTCTGTCTCCTCCACTAGAGTGTAAGCTCTATGAAGGCAGAAACCTTGGCAGTCCAGTTCCCAGCACAGTGCCTAGCACACATAGGTATTTAATAACACACAGTAAAATTCACCTTTTAGTGTGCAATTCTGAGTTTTGACAAATGCATCAAGTCATTTAAGTCTGACTATTATCAAGCTATAAGATGGTTGCAACACTATCACTAATTCCCTCATGCTCCTTGGTAGTCAGTCTCACCCCTAACGCCCCCCTCCTGGCAATCACTGATCCGTTTTTTGTCTTTATAGTTTTGGTTTTTCCAGAATGCCAATAACTAAGTTTTGAATGAATGAATGCTATTAACTCTCATTTCTGACTCCAGAGCAACATCCATGCAATATTTATTATTTCAGCCCCAAATACTGCCCCCTCACCTTCACTCCAACCACCTACTTGATGATACAAGGTGAGACATTTGGCATGTGCTTCCTCCATGTTCCTAGCATTTTCCCTATCTCCTTAGCCTTCCTTCTAATCATAAACGAAGAGTGAACTTTCCCTTTCTAAAGGCAACTTACTCCTAGGACCTCGATGCCATAATTTTGTTTCTCTAGTACTTTCTATATATACACCAAACAATTAGCTCCAGAAAGGTAAAGACTCACTGTGTGCTCATCACTGTGTCTCCTAGCGCCTGGCACACTGCAGGTGCTGAAGAAACACCTACAGAATGAGTGAATGAATCTCTCCCTCTCTAGACTCCTTCTCTTTTGTAATCAAACATGTTCAACCTGCAACACAGTCTTATGACCAATCCTCTGTTGTCTGACCTAGGCTGAGCTCCAGGGCTGGGACCCTGACTTCCTTATTCACCACCTCAAGGTCTCTGCACTCACTTCTCTTTCTGCTCAGGATTGTTTTTCTTCTTGTCACCAGTCTTTTCTCAGACTTAGGTCTCAGCTCAGACATTGCTGTTGAAAGTACTTCTACTGATCCTTTTATCTAAAGCAGCCATTCCAGCCCTACTCTCTTGATCATAGCACCCTGAATTAAGTTGTTTACTTACTGTCTCTTCAGGAGGGCAAGGAGCTTGGTGGTGGTGTTCAGGGCTGTACCAAGCTGTACCTTGCTTCACCCTGCTACACTTTTTAGCAACCATCTAATTTTACATGCTCCCTTCACTCGTCAGAAATTTCCTTATTTTCTACTTCAAGCAGGTATACATATGTGCTTCTCCTGGGAGGCTCACCCACTTCATGAGACTACATTTGGTCCTGGGTAGAAAGTGTACAAAATCCACTGGCTCAGTTTTAATCAATGTATGTTAATATTAACCAACCTGAGATCTTGATTTCCACGCCTGGCTAATTTTGTATTTTTAGTAAAAACAGGGTTTCTCCATGTTGGTCAGGCTGGTCTCGAACTCCCGACCTCAGGTGATCCGCTCACCTCGGCCTCCCAAAGTGCTGGGACTACAGGCATGAGCCAGCGTGCCCGGCCTAAGATCTTGATTTCTACCATCTGAACTCTGTATTTGAACTGACTGCTCCTGCTTGAGCTTACTGGCCAAAACTTGGCCCACTCAGACTCACGGAAGTTTCTGGTTCTTCCCTGGTAACTTTTCTGAACTTAACCACTGGTTTGCTTGACAAGAGATTACCATCTTCTCACTTCCTAGCTATGTGAACTCACTTATCTGCTCTATTGCTGTTCAGTCTAGCACGGCACTTATTGAACGAGTGTCTACATCTGCACCCCCTACTTCTTACTCATCCATTCTGTTTCAATTTCTTAAAAAGAAAAAAAAAAAGCTATTGTAAACATACGATTACAGAAAATGATTTATAACATGTGTATGTACCACCTAGCCCTGTCAAGTCTTAATATTTGTTATATTTGCTTCAAATCTTTTTTCAGACTGTAGTTAAAAATTACTTAGGAGCCATTATTTATGGCCTATTTCCTGACCTAGTCTTCTTGATGGTCAATTTGCCTAATCATCTTAAGTTGCAAAAGCTTAGAATTAAAGCAAAGTACCTTCGATCCTCTGCTGTTGCCTTCTTTTTAATATTTGGGTTTGTTTGGGTCCCATTTACGGTTGTGACATCAGCTTGAGTTTTGGGAGCTGTCTTGTTCAGAAAATGGTTCTGGGGAACAGCCTTTTTCAACTTGGAGTCCAAAGTCTGTGCTTTTTGCTGAAAGCCATTATTGTTATGTTTATTACCACTGGTTCCATTTGGTCTTATGCTAGGGGTGCTTGGAATGGCTGAATTAAATCTGCCAACTGTCAAATTAGGCCTCTGGCTTATGGCTTTTGACTTTTGCAGTACACATGATGTCTGAGGTATACAAACTTGGCTGGACTTCTGATCTTGCTTGATGTTTGGATGTCTGTTGTTATATTCACCCTGAAGCAAACTGGGGTATGTTCTGGGTTTGGTGTGCTTCACTCTCTGTTCAGTAACAGGGTATGACCGTATCTTAGTTTCATTTGGTCTTTCATATTGACTCCTATTAACCTTTATATCTTTGATGTTCTTGACTACTGGTTTCTTTGATGACTGAACTTTACTAAGGGTCCGAATAAAGTGAGAGGGAACCGTCCTTGAGGGTTTTACTCCTGGTCTTGCAAGATCTGCTCCTCTAGAGAGTTGCTGTGATTTTACTGGGAAAGTCCTGCTTTGTGTTTCTCCAACAAATTGTTTATTAACCCTATCTTTCAGAACAGCACTATTAACTGAACTTTTGCCCAAGGCTTGTTTAGGAACTAAACTGTTCTTGGTTTGATTATAAGAGTCAGTCTTTGGCTTACTTCTGGTATATAATTTAGGATCTGGCTTCCTCTCAGGTTCTGTTAAGATATCGAGCAAGTTCTCTTTGTTTGTTTCTTTTAGAAAGTTATCCAAAGATTCGTTTTCAACATGGATATTATTCATAAAGTCTATACATTTACCATTTCCTTGATCTGTTAACTGCTGCTTTGTAGTTTTCAATTGCTCTATATTAAGTGACCCCACAGGTTTTCTTGACAGTTCTCCTGTTGTGGACGATCCAGCTTCACACTGTTGAAAACTCTTGCTAGAAGGCTTAGAGTATGGGTTAGAAGAAACACATTCTGAAGTCAGCCTTTTGCCCAGAAGTTTTGGTGGCTCCAACTTCGGCTTCTGGGACCCTGCAGTATTAGGTGGTCTGGGCTGGAGTTTAATGCTGATGGACCTTTTAGGTTTGACAGGCAAAACAACATGGTTGGTAACATCATTTTTGGGTCTAATAGTCTGAAAAAACAAAGAAAATACATATTAAAAAATCCTTAACATATCTTATTGTTTTTAAAATAATAACTGTGTTTAACACATGCTAAAAAAAATAATCATTTTTAGAATTTCATCTAAGAAAGTTGAATCCTCAGAAAGTAAAGAAAGACTCACTAATAGGTAGTTTTTGTGTTTTTTTTTTTTTTTTTTTTTTGAGACAGGATCTTGCTCTGTCACCCAGTCTGGTGTGCAGTGATGCAATCTTGGCTCATTGCAACCTCTGCCTCCTGGGTTGAAGCAATTCTCCCACCCCAACCTCGCAAGTGGCTGGACTACAGGCGCATGTCACTACACCTGGCTACTTTTTTGTATTTTTAGTAAAGTTGGGGTTTCACCATATTGGCCAGGTTGGTCTTGAAGTCCTGACCTCCAGTGATCCACGCACCTTGGCCTCCCAAAGTGCTGGGATAACAGGTATGAGCCACCACACCTGTCCTAACAGGTAGTTTTTACAACTTGAGTTCCTATCAGAAGTATATTAGAATCTTTTAGCTTGACAGAATTAAGCAGAGATGCAGTGAATATACAAAACTTGCTCTTTCAAAAATGAATTTGCCTCAAACAGTAGTTGTTGAATGCCTATTATATCCTAAGTGCCCTCCAAAGAACCCTGAAAAAATACATACATAATGAACTTATGTTAGGGTACCTCCCAACAAATCTCTCCTAGTACTTTGTATAGCCACACTATATGTTTTTTAAACCACTGCCTTTGTAAACATCACAGTATCACTCAAGAACCTCTGTCTCATCCCTGGAGATCAGTGACAAGGAGATAGGTGGCAGATGATGTGAGGCCTGAGATATGCTGCCACAGCTCTCAATAAACATGTAACATCTTAATAGTCATATTTGTAAAATCAGCCAGGACAGGGTTTTAAGGTTAGAGTCTATGTTAATAATAAACAAATGTTTAGTCATGTGATTTAAGTTTGGATAAGAAAGGTAGGACTCGATTACAGAGAATTTTGAAAACTAGGGAAGGGAGTTTAGAATTCATATGGTAAGTAATTGGGCAAGCCACTATGAATTCCTGAGCATCTCTCATGAAAGCAATTACTCAGAAAGGAGAATTTCACAGAGATTTATGGAATATGTTTCCAGGGTAAGATATGGGAATGCTAGAGTTACCACTCTATTTTTGATTTGACAAATATTGTGAAGAATCACTACATAAACTTGGCGAGTATGTAAAGGATTTCTAACCAGAACCATTTGGCATTGAGGGCAAAGAGATGTCTACTCTGGATGATAGCGGTGTGTGTGGTGTTACTAGGAGTGAAACAGCGGAGTTGGGAGTGGGAGGCAGAGAGATGGATGGTATACCCACAATGGCTATATCTGGATTAATCTTTGAGCACCAACATTTATATACACCTCGGATCTCTCCATCATTGCTTACTGAAGAGGTGGAGGGACGTTGGCATGAAAGCTTCCAAATGTGTTTTTTTAGTTGCTTTCTTATATATTAAAAACAAATTGATATAATCCACAAACCATAAAATTCACCATTTTAGTAAGTGCACACTTCTGTGGATTTTAGTATAGCCACACTATTATACAGCAATCACCACTGTCTAATTCCAGAACATATTCATCACCCTAGAAAGAAACTTGGTTTACTTGTTGGCAGTCACTCCCCATTTTCTGCTCCCTGCAGTTCTTGGCAACCGCTAGTCTACTTTCTGTCTCTGTATGTCTATAGATGTGCCTATTTTAGATGTGTCATATAAATGGAATCATGTAATATGTGGCCTTTTCTGTCTGGCTTCTTTCACTTAGCATAACGTTTTCAAGATTTACCCATGTTGTAGCATGTATCAGTACTTCATTACTTTTTAAAATTAACTTTTTTAGAGCAGGTTTAGATTCACAGCAAAATTAATAATAGTAAAAGTATCTATTATCTAGGAAGGATGCCATATATCCCGGTTTTCACAAGATAGTTTTGATTTATGCCTGTTGGTCAAAGAGTACTGCTTTTTACTCTCAAAGTGTCCTGGTTTGGACATTAAAGCATATGGCCAACTTCCTCACATGGTTGTTCTGAGTGAGGTAATGTATATAAACATGTCTGGGTGTTAGTTATTGTTGTCATGTATCGAAAGTGTTATATAAATTGTCAAGCATTATATAACTGTAATGATGACTATTATTTACATCGTGCTTTTAGTTTCTCCTAAATTCTGTAATTCCCTTCCTGAGTTCACTTTTTACTTTTACAACTGTGTAAAGCAGATAAGGTAGGTATCATCCTCATTTACGAGCTGATGTACTGAAGTCAGTATTGTCAACTTCCAGAGAAGCCTCTGGGAAGTCTGAATGAGGGCCCTTTCCAGTAGATTTTTCCTTAAGACTTGCATACTATACTGGTTCAATCTGCATAAAGTAAAAGTGTAACCCAGTGCTTCCCAAACGTTAAACCATTGTTCATAAATTTTGCCTTATATACATTTTGCTATCCTTCACAGTGTCTAATGATGTCATGTATACATACAACATATATATGTCTACATATGCATATGCATATGACTGAAATATGACTGAAGTGATTTGGTGAATCATTAAAACTTATTAAAATTCTCACCAGTGAGAATTTTTCACTTCAGGAAGCACTATTTTAGTTACATTTCAGAACACAGATAAAAACTTATATGTCTATATATGCATATGCATATGACTGAAATATGACTGAAGTGATTTGGTGAATCATTAAAACTTATTAAAATTCTCACCAGTGAGAATTTTTCACTTCAGGAAGCACTGTTTTAGTTACATTTCAGAACACAGATAAAAACTATGTTTTAAAAAACTAAAGGTGAGATTTTTATTGCAGATGAATAATCTGTGCCTCTTTCAGAGGGCTAATTTCTTCCATTTAAACTTTAAGTTAAGGATCCTTTACCATTCTATCTAATGTAGCTAAATTAAATTGATTAGGAAGCATATACTTGTTAAGTGGCTTGGAAGGTTCAATGCAAATGTTCTCTTTTAATGACTACTGAGCTATTTAACTTCATGGCAGCATACCAAAGTGGTTAAGATCACAGGCTCTCAGCTTTGTCACTTAATAGCTATACGACCTATTTAACCTTTCTGTGACTTAGTTTGCTTATCTGTAAAGTGGGGCTACTAATAGTAGCCTCATAAGATTGTGAGGACTCAGTGAGGTAATGCAAGTCAGAAAAGTATCAGGCACACAGTAAGCATTCAATAAATGTTAGCTATCAAGAGGACTAAAGTTCACTTGAGGCTTTTCTTGGTTAATAAAACTAAACTACTTTTCAAAAAATGTCATACTTTTCAAAAAATGATTGTCTCTTATTAAACCAAACTGTTTTTATATCTGTAAGAAATACCTTTCAAATACATGTTCTTTAGGTTGCTAACATCTTTATTATTTTTATTACTAATCATACTTATGAATGCATATTTTTAAAAAGACTAATTTCTACTTACAGATTTAGAAGGTGGTTGATTCTGGCAATTATTCTTGGATTTTAGATAAGGCCTATAAAAGACAAATTAAAATTAATCCTCAGCACAGAAGGATTCTAAGCTAAGCTTGGGAAGTACAGTGATTAAAAATTATGAATAGAATTTTAAATAATTAGAATTTCTGTAATGGCAAAATAATTCAAAATTATATTTAATAAAGTCTCCTTATCATCATTTCTTTAGTTCTGTATCCTCCCCCTTGGAGACCACCAACTGCTCCTACTCTTTTTTTTTTTGCCTTGTGATCCTTACAGAGACTGTCTATACATAAATCTAGCATTCTCACAATATTAATGAGATATATGTGTTTCCTTCATATTTATATAGTCTTACTCATTCACACATCATTCCTGGAGCACTGCAATGTGCCAGACACCGAAGACACAATGCCAAATAAAACCATTAACTGCTTCTTTAAAAAATTTCCGGCTGGGCGTAGTGGCTCACGCCTGTAATCCCAGCACTTTGGGAGGCCAAGGCAGGCGGATCATGAGATCAGGAAATAGAGACCATCCTGGCTAACACAGTGAAACCCCATCGCTACTAAAAATACAAAAAAATTAGCTGGGCATGGTGGCACATGCCTGTTGTCCCAGCTACTCGGGAGGCTGAGGCAGGAAAATGGCGTGAAACTGGGAGGCAGAGCTTGCAGTGAGCCAAGATTGCGCCACTGCACTCCAGCCTGGGCAACAGAGTGAGACTCCGTCTCAAAAAAAAAAAAAAAAAAAAAAAAAATTTCCTTGTTTTCAGTATCTTCAAATACTATCTCTTCTAACTTTAAGGGGGTAAAGAAATATTAAAAAAAAAAAAACCAAGACACACATGAAATATAGCTAGTGAGACAGGAAATGCAGAAAAAGGATTGGAAAACAGAGGTGAATTTAGAAGGAATCAATCTGCATGGACCAAAAACAATTGCTAGACTAACAAGGACTTTGATTATGACTTGTTTGATGTTTGTCTCTCCCATCTACAGCATAAGCCCTGGGAGGGCAGGAATGTCTGTCTTGTTAAGCGCCATTATCTCTAGCATCAGAAGTGACTGAGATGTTATAGGTACTAAATAAATATTTGTTGAATAAGTGAATTAGGTTCATTTAATCAAGGAAATAGAGGTGAGTAAACACCCAAGATAAAATAAAGGGTGAAAGCTAACTTTGTAAAAATTAATTTTCAAATAAATACTTAGCAACTCAAATGGGGAAAAAATTAATTAATGCTAAGAAAGGACAAATAACACGACAAAGATGGTAAGAATCTACAAAGGATAAAAATGAAGTGGACATGTTCTGTCTACCTTAACAGTAAATGCTAAGAGAATGACCCAAGAGCAGAGGGTATCACTCTGCTACGGAGGATTGATTGTAACTGGCTCTCCTGCCTTAGCAAGAAATGCCAGAACCATGGTCATTCAAGTTCTTGACCAAAAACTGCCTTCATGAGAATCAACTTCCCCAAGAAAAAAAAAGCAGAAACAGGCAAAGCTTCCAGCATGGTAGGTAATACTGACCCTTCTTCCCTCCTTCCTTTGGAGATTCACACAGTAATAATGCATAAAGCTTTGCCAATGGACTAAGCACTGCCCAGGGGTTTTTGTCATGCCTGGACTGAAATGCTCTTTTTGCGTTATCATAGAATCCCAGTGCAGTCTGAGTAGACTCTAAGCAAAAGGGACATTTTTCAAAAAGGCTTTAAATTGCTAGTACAAAGAAGGCAACAAAACTTGCGTAACTGTGGACAGATAAACTCACTTGGTGTTTTGGCTCTTCAGTTTTCCCTTGGCTGCAAGGTACTCCTGAAGCTTTCTCTGCCGCTCTTCTGCAACACAGGCAAGCAAACAAACGACATAACTTTAGTTCAAGATTTTAACCAGTTCATTAATATTCTAAAAGATGACACTTTTCTCTAGTGATTTTGCCTTTGCAACATAATGTTATAAAATCCCTAGTCCTATAAATGTGCCTTCAAGCTAACATCAACATCAACAATATCATTTATATGCCAGGCCTACACTAAGTTCTTTAAACTTACTACTTTTTTTTTTTTTTTTGAGACAGGGTCTTCCTCTGTCACTGAGGTTGGAGGGCAGTGGCACAACCACGGCTCACTGTTGACTTGATCTCCCAGGTTCTAGCAATCCTCACACCTCAGTCTCCTGAGTAGCTGGGAATACAGGCGTGTACCACCATGCTGGATAATTTTAAAAAAATTTTTTGTAGAGACAGGATCTCACTATGTTGCCAGGGGTGGTCTCAAATTCCTGAGCTCAAGTGACCCTCCTGCTTTGGCCTCCCAAAGTGCTAGGATTACAGGCGTAAGTCAAAGCACTCGGCCTAAATTTACATTATTGCTTTCAATCCACAAAACAATCCAATGAGTTTTTGCAATCTGAAATTCAGAGAGAGTAAATGTCATGCCCAAAGTTACCCAGCTAATATGTGGCAATTCCAGGACTTGAAAACAGGCTTTTCTAACCCTGGAGCTCACAGCCACTGTTCTCAGCTACAACAGTCTGTTTTGAAGAATTTCTGTTACTGGCCCACCTGAGCTGGTGAGCCAGGCCTGGTCTTACGTCTTTTGTTTTTTTACAGGGATGATGATTTTTACCCACAAACCCTTATATGGCTTCCTTTGTTGGTACTAAGGATAAAATACGCCCGGTCTGCTCACGGCAGACACCTATACTATGGTGACTTTCTACGCAAGCCATTTGTGAGGGGATGACAAGTCAATAATTTCTGCCTTCAAGAACTTTCAAACTAGTAGTGGAGATAAAATCAACACAGCAACAATTACAGTATAAGGTAAAATCTAAGGGCCATAAGAGACGAAAAGAAGTATGGGAGTTCAGAGGTAGGGCATAAATGAGGGGAGTAGGTGGCTAGAAAAGGTTAAAAGTAAATAATGATGTGAAGGAAGACAAAAAGACGACAGGGGTGCCAAACGACTCTTAACCTCATCTGAACGGAGTTGCCCTGTTTTGCTCTCTGATGCTCATGTATCTATCCTTAGAGACAGCTTGGCGGGCAATGTAGAGCGTAGGGGCTGACATAGGGGGTTGGAGTCCCACCTCCGTGACTTCTAGCAAATTAGCAAACTTTGCTGCTGCTAAGCCTATAAGGCGGACAGAAATGCCATCTTTAAAGCTTGTTATGTAAAGTGCCTAGGACCTCGTAGGCATCAACAGGAATAATGGATGAAACAAAACAACGGTGCGTATCTTGGAGAAAGTGGCATCTGAGCAGGAGTATTTTGAAAGGTAGGAAAGGGCTCCAAGCACATCTAAGAGATTAGGGAACGCAGAAGCCTTAGCCCTGGGTGCAGATTTAACCAATCAACTTCTAACCACCGCAGGCTGAGAGGTGTGGAGTGAGAGCCCCGCCAGAGGCAGGAGACCCGGGCTTCGGCCAGACCCCGCCTCCTGGCACAGAGGACCACGCCCGGCTCTGCCTGGAGCCAAATGTGGATCAAAACAGCGCGCAGCTTCCCACTGCTGGTGAAAACCCGAGCAAGGGGCCTCAGTTTCTTTATCCGGAACGTGGTGACAATGACATCTCTTTGCAAGGCTGCTGCAGGGCTTTCTGGAAATACGCCCGTGAGGTATCTGGGCCTGCGCACAGCCTCCCCCGCCCAGGACCCAGACGTCTACCTGGGGGTCCCGTCTGCGCTCCCGGGATGGAAAACGCCCAGGGGAAACTTAGGCAGGCGAGCGGACGGGCACCTCCCGCGGGACGAACTCACTCGGTGGCCTCCTACTTCCCCGGCCGTGTTCCAACGCCTGAGAATAACGGGAACAGCGGTCGTACTCACCGACAGCGGCAGCAGCGGTAGGCCCGGGCCCCACCATGACTCTTCAGTGACAGTTTTTCTTCAAACGCCGCGCCTGTAGCCAGGACCGGCGTGCCGCGCGTCCACGCGTCCTCATTGGCTCCTGCGGGTTTGAAACTCGCTAGTCGTCAGCACGGGAGGGCGGGACAACAGGCAATAGGCTCTTTGCGGTTGGCTCTGGCCTTGAGAACCCGACCTTGGGGCCCTTTGATTGGAAGAACGTGCAGCGCACCTCGGCATTGAGGGCGGCTTCCTCGGGGCGCGGCGCCGCCCGCCTCTGAGTGCGCCTGTGAGTGCGCCTCCGAGTGGGCGTGGGACCCTCCGTGGGGGCCTCAGCCGGGCTGGTGGTTGGGGGGCGGTTACGCTGAATCCAGCTGGGGTTGGCGCGCCGGGAGTCCCTGGGCGGAGAGACAGGGCGGTCCTCCCAGGATGCTGGGGCCGCTACCTGATTCTGTCCTTTCAAAGTCTCAGACTCACAGGAGCTGTGAAAAAATAATATTATAAAGAGGACATATGGGTCTTATGCATCTAAAGGCTCCTAGTTCTTAGTACTGCAGGGTGGCTCGTTTAATTGTGGTAAAATATGCATAACATCACATATACCATTTTAACCATTTTAAAGTGTTAAATTTTTCAAAAATGTGCAGTTTAGTGGTATTAAGTACCCTCACATTGTGGCACAGCCACCACTACTGTCCTTTCCAGAACTTTTTCATCTTCCCAAATGAAACCCTGTACCCGTCACTAACTCCGCACTCCTCCCTCCCCCAGCCCCAGGCAATCACCATTCTAGTTTCTGTCTCTATGGATTTGACAACTGTAGGTGCCATATAAGTAGAATCATGCAGTATTTGTTCTGTGACTGGCTTGTTTCACTTAGCATAAAGTATTCAAGGTTCATCCATGTGTAGCATGTGTCAGAATTTCCTTTCCTTTTAAGGGGGAATAGCATTTCGTTGTGTGGAGATGCCACATTTTGCTTCTTGGTCCATCCCTCTCCGGACACTTGAGTTGCTTCCACTTTTTGGCTATTGTGAATAATAATATGAACATGAATGCACAAATAACTCTTTGAGACTCTCCTTTTCATTCTTTTGGGTATATACCACGAAGTGGTATTGTTGGATCAAACGGCAATTCTATTTTTAATTTTTTGAGAAACTGCCTTACTCCTCTCACGGTGATCTCTTGTTCAAGGTATATTTTCGATTTCACCTGATCAGCTGACTATAAGGCCATAAGGCTAACGGAGAAACGCAGGCCTAGTTTCTCCTAGTTACTAGGAGATCGCAGGCCTCGTTGTCCTGAATCCCTAGACACACTTCATTCCCCTTGTTTTAATCCTAAATTTTTTTTCTTTTGAAGTTTGTCCTGTTTCATCTATTCTCCAGTTTCTTAAAGAGGTCTGGAAAATGCTTTTGGCTCCTTGTGTATGAAGGTTCCTCTTCCATGGATGCTGGAGAAGTCGTGTGTGGAGGGGCAGTCATATCTGGGCACCTGTTGGCCAGGTTCAGCTTACCAGTTGGGTACTCAGCAGGGCATGAAGCCACTGCAGCAGCCCTTCTCTTTAGCCGTAAATAGGGAGTTTGGAAGAGAGCCAGGGTTTCTGGATTTATGCATTTTGATATTTTCAATAGTGTATTAAATGTTTAAAATAGGAAAACTGATCATTATTTTTGTTAATGACTGAGAAAGGGACTCCTTCACCAACAGTTTCAGAAAAGTGAAGGCGGTTTTGTTTTGGTCTTTGTAGAATCTAGGTGGTTGAATGCATGTCAGTTGTAGAAGTCACCTTGCCTGATATCCCACGCAGTGCTGGAGTATTCCACAGACCCCATGTAGGTACTGCACCTTTGCAGGTATACTGCTGGTGTTGGTGAGCTGCCTTACCTGTCCTGTTATTGGAGACCCCTGCTTATTAGGAAACTTAAAATGAACTCAAATGAGCTTCCTTGCTTACTGGTCCTAGTCCTTTGGAGCAACATAGGCCAGTTCTGCCTCGTTTTTTTCCATCCTTTGGGTATTTGACGGTCTATTTTGTAGGACACAAAATGTGGGAAAATAGCTAGGCAGGTTTAAAAATTCTCAACTCTACCAAGCATGGTGGCTTATGTCTGTAATCAATCCCAGCACTTTGTGAAGCTGAGGCAAGAGGATTGCTTGAGCCTAGGAGTTTGAGACCAGACTGGGCAACATAGCAAGACCTCGTTTCTTAAAAAAAAAAAAAAAATTACAAAAATTAACCAGGCATGGTGGCACACACCTGTAGTCCCTTCTACTCAGGAGGCTGAGGTGGGAGGATCACTTGAGCCCAAAAGTTGAAGGCTGCAGTGCACTGTGGTCATGCCACCGCACTCCAGCATGGGAGGCAGAGCAAGACCCTGTCTCCAAATAAATAAATAAATTAAATTCTTAACTCATTCATCAAAGTATCCACTGTAGCTTTCCATGATCCTGGTGTTGTTTTTTTTAGAAGGATCTGGCTCCATTGCCCGGCTAGAGTGCAGTGGCATGATCTCAGCTCACTGCAGCCCCCACCTCTCTGGCTTAAGCGATCATCCCACTTCAGTCACCCATCTGGGTAATTTTTGTATTTTTTGTAGAGATGGGGTTTTGCCATGTTGCCCCAGGTTGGTCTTGAACTCCTGGCTCAAGCGATCCATCTGCCTCCATCTCCTAAAGTGTTGGGATTACAGGTGTGAGCCACCACACCAGGACAATCCTGGTGGCTTTTAACGGTTTTCCATTGCTCTCAGGCTAATGACCTATAAGCCCCTGCGGGCTTGGCCTTTTACTCCCTCAGCATTAGCCACCTCCCTTAGCCTTAGCCCACACTACTCTCCCCTTGCTCAGTGTTATCCAGACACTTTGTTTTTTCCTTTCCATACTCCTCTCTGTCTGGGAATCCAACCTTTCTTTCTCATTTCTCTAGTTGATTATTATTATTTTTACTCTAGCAGCCTTATTGAGATATTTACATACCGTACGATTCTCCCACTTACAGTGTACAATTCAATTTTCTAACATTTTCATCACCCCCTAAAGAAACCCTATACTCATTAGCAGTCACTCCCCATTCTCCCCTCCTCTCAGCCCCTAGAAACCATGAATCTACTATCCATCTCTATAGATTTGCCTTCTGGACATTTCATATGTATGAAATTATGCAATTTGTGGTCTCTGATGGGCTTCTTTTGTTACCAAAATATCATGGGTTTGATCTAGGTCCTGCTGCTCGCTGCACAGAAAGCCAGCCACTGAGATGACAAGTATTGCCAAGGAAGAAGGCTTTAGTCAGGTGCTGCAGCTGAGGAGATGGGGGCTCAATCTCAAATCCATCTCCCTGACCTAAAACCAGGGGTTTGGATAGCAGGGAAGAAATGTAACAATGCGTAAGAAAACAGGAACCAGGGAGGGGCAAGGAAGCAATCCTGATGAATGAGTGGTCCAAAGTCTCATTGCCTGGATGTGGTGATCTGGCGAGTTTCAGTTCTTTGATACTTTTTTTGAGAGGCCTGAAGTCTTTTCCCCAGGAAGGAACTCAAACAAAACAAATACAAGCTTCCAGCTTTAAGACCAGAAGCGTCAATTTCTATGTTTATCCGAAAGAACAGTCTATGGGACTATTGGTTAAGTTTCACTTTCACTTAGTATGCTGTTTTCAAGGTTTATCCACATAGCATGTGTCAGTACTTCATTCTTTTATGACTGGGTATTCTATTGTGCGGATATACAATATTTTATTTGCCATTCATCAGTTGATGGACATCTAGGTTCTTTCCACTTTTTGGCTATTATGAATAATGCTGTTATGAACTTTCATGTATAAGTTTTTGTGTAGACATATGTTTTCAACACTCATGGGTATATACCTAATGAGAGGAATTACTGTGTCATACGATAATTCTATCTTTAACCATTTGAGGAACTGCCAGACTGTTTTCCAAAGCAGCTGCAGCATTTTACATTCCTACCAGCAGTGTATGAAAGTTCCAGTTTCTTTACATCCTCAACAACACTTGTTATTGTCCATCTTTTAAATTACAACCATCCTAGTGGTTGTGAAATGGTATCACATTGTGGTTTTTATTTGTATTTCCTTGATGACTAATGATGTTAAGCATCTTTTTATGTGTTTACTGGCCATTTGTATATCTCTATTCAGAGTCTTTGCCAATTTTTAAATTGGGTCAGTTGTCTTCTTCCTTTTTTTTTGAGATGGAGCCTCACTCTGTTTCCCAGCTGGAATACAGTGGTGTGATCTCAGCTCACTGCAACTTCCACCTCCTGTGTTCAAGTGATTCTGGTGCCTCAGCCTCCCAAGTAGCTGGGATTACACGCACCTGCCACCATTCCCAGCTAATTTTTTTCTTTGTATTTTGAGTAGAGACGGGGTTTCACCATGTTGGCCAGGCTAGTCTCTTTGTTGACTCTTAACCATCCTTCAGTCTCAGACAAAACATCCCTTTCTCAAGGATTGTGATTAGCTTGATTATTTGCTTATCTTTCTCCCTGCTAGTCTGTAAACTGAGGGTAGGCCACTATATTCATTGTTCTTGGCACCAAATAGAAACTAAATTAATGTCTTTTGAATGAATAGGGCTTTCTCCTTTTAAAGATCCCTTCAATACAGTAACCACACTATATATAAGTAGCCACAAGCCCATTCAATAATACTACTAGCTCTTATAGCCCATATGTCTCTGCCTTGTCTACCACAATATCAGTAGAGACTTTGCTAAATGCAATGGTAAAAATCAAAATACAGGCTGGGTACGGTGGTTCATGCTTGTAATCCCAGCACTTTGGGAAGCCAAGGTGGCAGGATTGCTTGAAGCCAGGCATTTGAGACCAGCCTGGGAAACATAGAGAGACCCCATCTCTATGAACCACACCCCCAACCCTCCCAGAAAAGAAATAAGTATGGCTGGGTTGAAGTCACCAAAGATGGCTGACTGGCTGGTCAAGTAACTTTACCTGATGGTTTGTAGAATATTTACCTTCACCCAGGTGGGAGAATTGCTTGAGCCAACCCTCAGTGTGGATTCAGGAACTTGATTTAATTGGTATCGTGATTGTGGATTAGATTCTCAGGGATGCATTCACTAAGTAAAAGTGATAATAGCTACTTTTAAGTAAAATAATGAATGAATCAAACACTCTAAATCCATGGTGCTATGCTAAGCTCTTTCTGTATTTTATCTCATTTGATATTACAAATATTTGATGTGTTAATAGTAATGACTATCTCCATTTTTACAAGTAAGGAAACTGACATTGAGAGATTAAAAGACTAGCACAAATCACAAAGTAAATGAGATTTGAATCCGGTCTTGATTCCAAACTCTACAGTATTCTAAATTCAAGGAGACTAAATTATAAGATGGAGAGCCAATTTTACTTTATAACAGGGTTAGAATGGCAGAAGAGACCTGACATTCACACCTCTAGCCAGTGCATCATCTTCCTGTAGGCAAATATGCAGGAAATCTATAATAAGAACGTCCTTTGGTGAAGGCCAGGTGCAGGGGCTTACACTTGTAATTCCAGCACTTTGGGAGGTCAAGGTGGGAGGGTCGCTTGATGACAGGAGTTTGAGAACAGCCTGGGCAACATAGTGAGACCCTGTCTCTACAAACAAAAACAAACACAAAACAACTTCAAGAAAACTCCTTTGGTATGGATCAGAACAAGATGAATTATCTATCTGATCCAAATGCTTAATGACATTAAGCCACAGTCCACTCACTGCCACAATAGAGATATACCTGCCAATGCCACTCAGGTAATCCCATCAAAAGTGGTAATGAGGTCTGCAGCATGACTTGTTCTTAGTGATCCCAGCCTGAGACCTTGAGATTGCAGCATTTTATTCTACATATGCACAAAACATCTGTTGAAAAATCTTCTAAATTGATGCAATACATTCGTATCAAGAATACCTGTCTGTAATCTCCATAAACCCTCTCCTTTCTGTTTTAAAAAATAGTAACAGCATTTCTCCTTACATGACAAAGAAATGACTTCACCATCTACGAAATAGTGAATAGGAGCTGTGTGGAAGGAAATTAGCTCTACTTCTTGGTGGAGATGAGAAGGGAGTGTTCCTCTGAAAATCAAGGCTCTTGTCATGCTAGGAGCCAAAGTCGTTTTTTAGAGTGTGGACAGTTGAGAAGATAAGACAGGGACCATCCACTCATGTTTTTCTTATTCCATAGGCCTCTCTCAATTGGGCAAAGCACTCCAGACCTTTTGGAAGAGTGACACCAAAGGCAAGCACCTGCTTGGCAGGCCCCTCAGCTTCTACGCAAGTATAAGTGAGTATATAAAATGGGGGTACTTGTGCTGTTGAGTACCTTATTTCCAAATGAGGCCTGCCGGTGTCCCTGTGGCTGTGAGAAGGCCTCTACTGGATAGGTGGAAGTTGTGTGTTCTCATCTTTTCTAACCCTGGATTGACTTGCCCAAAAGGAAGCCATTATTAACACTATAATAAAACCATCCTTAATCTGGGACTCTCTTCATGCAGTGGTTCTTAACCAGTGATAAACATGAGAGTTACTTTTGGAGCTTAAAAAAATTAAGATGCTCAAGGTCTACCCAAACTGACTGAATCTCCAGAGGTGAGGCCCAGGGATGTATACTTTTGAGCCAGACCTCAGTTTACCCTGCAGAGCTCATAAGGTTGCATAACACCCTTTGTCAGCCACTCTGATAAAAAGAAAAATTGGTGAGGAATAAGTTTTAGAGAAGAAGGAGCAAAGGTGTTCTTGGCCAGTGAGAGCCAATGACAGGGAAATGCAAACAATGTATCCACAAGAAAGGTAAATTACCCTATAGAGCATTTTAGGATAAATGAACATCTCATGCCTAGGGTTGAGAGAGGGTACAAAAAAAAAAAAAAAAAAGACCACTCTGGATACACAACGCGATAAATGGAATAAAGAGTTTTTTCCTTGTAAATTAAAAAAAATCCTTTGTTACTGAGGTATAATTTAATCTATTTTATGTATAGTTCAATGAGGTGCTATAGATAATAAATTTTTTTTGTAAATTATTATATTGTCATATACTCATACATTCATTTTTAAAAGTCAGAAATGTATATAACCATTAAACTTATAAATCATTCAGTCATTCAGAGATATAGATACACGAGCATATTTTATATCCACCACAATAATTATTACCATCTCAACAATTCCATCACCCCTCAAATTTCAAGCGTAGGGGTTTTTAAATGTCAGAGGAGTCTACTCAGTGGGAGGAAGGTTAGGGAAATATCTTTTGGCTTTTTGCTTCTGTCCCTTGGGTTTAAAGGCAGGGATTTGGCTTTACTCTCATTGATTTGGAACTTGATATATAGGACTGTAAGAAAAGAAATAGACTGTAACAAGTTCTGTGCTAAGACTGTTGAGTCTCACCATGGTGACTCTCTTACTGTTTAGGCAATGAGGGAGGTGGGGCAGACCATAAGGATAGCTGGCCTGGGAGAATAACGCTCCAAGGCCATTTCTACAATGATTCCATATTTCACTGTTAATCAGAGACTGAGCAGCTATTATACTTTTTAAGATTTCTTGAATTTGTGTTGCTTGCTCAGTGTTTTGTATTTCCTTATTTCTTAAAATATATTAATATAAAAATAATTCTTTAATATTTCTTAAAACAAAAGGACATTAAGGAATCAAGTCTTACTTAGTCTTGCTCTAGCCAGACTTGGGCTAAGGAAACCCTAGGAAAGTCGTGGCTGCTAGAAAGAACAGGATGAGACAAATGAGAGACCAGTTCTCTGTGGTGCTCTGTATCAGTTAAGCTAGATTTGACTGCAAGTCATAGCAAACCCAGTGAAATGGCTTAATAACAGTAGCATTTCTTGTTTTCTTAAAATCTGGAGGTAGGTTCTCGGTGTAACAATGTTGTCAGAGATGCTGGCTCTTTTTCTCCTTCCACTCTGCATTCTTCATTGTGTGGCTCTGACTTCCCAGTCGTTGCAAGTTGCTGACCACAGTTCTAAGCTTCACTTCCTCATAGAACATATCTCATTCAAGGAAGAAGGAAGATAAAGGACCATCTATATGGCTCTTTATTTTATCAAGGTAGAAAATCTTTTCCAGAAGTTGTTTCCAGATCGACATCTCATTTGATAGGATTAAGTCAACGTGACTTAGTCATGTAAGAATAGAATGAACATAATCTTAAACCAATTGGATTCATCAATTGGGGAAGGGCATGTTGACTTCTCAGTGAAATCAGGGTTCTGTCAGTAAGGAAGAAGAAGAGATGGCAATTGCATGGACAAACAACAGTGTTCACCATATACTTCTCTTCTCCCTTTGACATCACTTTTAGGATTTTATCTACTACATACCTACTGATGTCTTTCATATCTATATACAGTTATTTTTCTGAGTTCCAGATAGGTTATCATCTCCCCATTGTACATCTGCAATTGAGTGTCCTTCTAGTAGCTCAAATTACATGCCTAAAATTTTACTCATCATTCATCCTGGAATGGAGAAGACCTCCATATTTCTACCAAAAATATGGTTAAGACGCTGCCACTCATCCAGTCTCCAGTACCAAGAAACAGGGTCATCTTAGACTACTCCTTACCCAAATCTACCACACCTAATTCCAAGATCCCTTGATTTTAACCTTGATTTTCCAACTAAATATATCTTGCATCCATGCTTTGATCTATTAGTTGTTCTTTTAAAATTCTCTTTTATATATTTTTTAACATTTTTAAAAATTTATCTTTTGAGACTGGGTCTCACTCTGTTGCCCAGGTTGGGGTGCAATGGTGTGATTATGGCTCACTGCAGCCTCCATCTCCCAGGCTCAAGTGATCCTCCCACCTCAAGCCTCCCGAGTAGCTGGGACTACAGGTGTGTACTACCATGTCCAGCTCATTTTTTAATTTTTCATTTTTTTTTGTAGAGATGAGATCTCACTATGTTGCCTAGGCTGGTCTTGAACTCCTGACCTCAAGTGATCTTCCCACCTTGGCCTCCCAAAGTGCTGGGATTACAGGTCTGAGCCACCGTGCCTGGCCTATTAGTTGTTTTTAATGTAGCTCTGTATGTGTGAGTTTGTATAAAGATGGGAACACATGTTTTGTGTATGTGTAATGTGAGCTTTAAGTGAACCCGGAAATATTATCATTCTTAATGCCATTTATGCATACTGGCAGCTAACAAAGAGGAGAAAAAAATATAAAATCTTGGTTTGATTTTATAAAGTAACACTAAATACAATTATTTATGTAAACATTTACCATTTGTCCCTAATTACCATGCAGTAAAATAATGATTAAGGCAATGAATAACTATGTGTCAGAGAATTTTGTTGCAAGCTTTATTTAGTTATGACTGATAACACTCTATCAATCACTATTGTTGATAATAATGTAACATTATGGTCTGATCACAATTTTTAGAACCTAGAAGAAACATTGATTACATTCCAGAAAAGAAAGTTTTGATAACAGTGGTCTCATGGTTGTCAAAGTTGAGTTCATCTAATTTTAGCTTGTAGGACTTGATTGCAGGTGGAATTGAAACAAGAATGCCCAGGTAAGTTTAATGGCAAAAGAGTCAAAGATCGGACCAATTACTGGCTCAAGGTAATTAATGTACATTTATTATATGATTACAGGTCTCCCAAGTACTAGAATGCAGAGTTTCCTGGCTATGGGATAAGCACAACTTGGACCAAAATGCCCTGTATTAATGAAATCAAACTTACTTATCCCAGAAAACACTGTCTGCTATTGTGGAGGATGCCTGGTCACACTCAGAGGATGAAGGGGTTCCCATAAATATAGTATATTATAATTATCTTAAATATATTTATAAATACATATATAAATAATAATTAAAAAATAACATTTCGTGCTTTGCCTTCATCTTGAGGCTCGGCTTCAAGAAGTATTTTACCAAAATGACCTCCCTGATTAGCATAAAAAACTGTTGCGGCAGGAAGGCTTAGGTATTATTCCCTCCATTTTGAAAATGATAAAACTGAGGTCCCAGAAACTTATGCTATTTGATTAAGAGTTCATCAGCAACTTAAAAGTAGAAGGCAAACAGTTGAAATGAAATCATGAAATCCTAGGTCTGTGGCTTCTTGTTTCAACTGCTATTGTGCATATTTCTTAGTTTTCTTATGCCTTAATTTGCCCATCTGTAATATGGGTAGAGTCTTTTTGGTAGCCATAGTCAGTAGCTCTGGTCCTCCTAAAATTGTTATGAAGAATAATAATTAAAATGATTGGTACTATGCAAAATATAGGGTGTTCTTTAAATAACAACATTATATGTTAGTGTTGGTTCCACTCTTACAAAGAGTGTAAACATTCATTTAGAATTACAAGGCTCAGTACATGCTCAGCAAATGACTAACAGTAAAGGATTTAGCTTCTTCATGTACATGGTACATATGAACTGTCAACACTGCACAAGTGAGACAAGTGAGACTCCAGACCTACGCCTGGTTTTCCAGTATCTGAAAGTCAGTGATAGAGGGTGGCCCCCCTGCCAAGCACACCCAGTAGTCTTGCTTTGTGGCAATAAACAAGTTTGGATGGGCAACTGATGTGAAATAGTTCTTAGTGCCGTGAGTTTCCCAGAAGAAGAGGAGGTTGGTCTCACTACCTGTGATGGTTTTGGGTATCTCAGGCATCTCCTATGAAGAAAAGAAGAGAATTCTGTTAGAGAACAAGATGGTAGAAAAAGGACTGAAGCTCAATCCCTTAGCATTTGGCCTTCATGAGAAACAGCACTTTAGGACTATGGCTGTAACATGATGCTATAGGCTCTTCATTCATTTGTTCATTCAGCAAGCATTTATTACATGCCTAGTAGATGTGTGGCCCAGTCTATTAATAAGAGTTGATTTCCTTAGTTGATTGGAGAGAGATCTAAATTAGTTATGAAGATTGTCAGTGACACTAGTATCTTACTGTATCCAGGCAGGTAGGAGGGAAACATTGTTTCTGTCCTGCCTTCAACATAGGCCTAAGACATTTTGCATCAAATCTGAGCACTACAGTGATTCTAAGCCCCCTAAACATTTTGATCTCCAAGTGAACAAATCATACCTTTGGAAATCAATTTAGCATTTAGATGACATTTATCTCAGTATTTAAGTCAACAATTGAAGGTTAAACACACGCACACACATACACACACACACATACACACAAAATTCCTAAGTATATCAGTAAACTCTTTCAATATACTCTTTAGAATGTACTTTTCTTGTGAGTATGAGTAGAATTTAACAATACTTTTATGGAAAAATAGATTTCAAATTCCAAGTTGAGATGCTTCTTTCCTATTCTTTTAAATCTAAAGCAAGTAAATATACTTTTGAGGCTTCCTTGGGGTTTCCAATGTCAGCAGGATTTATTTCCCAAACCTATTCCTCTCCTACTTTTTCCCTTCTCAGTAAATGTTGTTTCTCCTCTTCCTTCTGTTGGTTCTATCTCCAAAATATAACCCAATTCTGTCTGTTTCTTTCCACTTCTTTTCCTTACCCCACCCCCATGACTGCTGTGAAACCTCCTCATTGGACTTTCTGCTTCTCTATTGCCTTCCTTCTGATCTGTTTTCTATTTTAGGAAATATAAGTGAGGTCAGGCCATTGCACTGTGTGAAACCCATTAATGGGTTTTCATTGTACCTCAAATGAAATCCAAATGCAAGCTCTGCAAGCACTAGTCTCTGCATATTTTTCCTCCTTCTCAAAATGCCCCAGTTCCAAGAATGCTTCTTCTGATCCTTGGAGCTGTCCTTTACCATCTTGAAGTTGTAGGCCTGGGTGCATTCAGACTCCTCTGAATGTCCCAAAAACCCACAACCATGACCCGCCCCCTCCTCTGAATGTCCTACCCAAAAACCCACAACCACGACCCGCCCCCTCCTCTGAATGTCCTACCCAAAAACCCACAACCACGACCCGCCCCCTCCTCTGAATGTCCTACCCAAAAACCCACAACCACGACCCGCCCCCTCCTCTGAATGTCCTACCCAAAAACCCACAACCACGACCCGCCCCCTCCTCTGAATGTCCTACCCAAAAACCCACAACCACGACCCGCCCCCTCCTCTGAATGTCCTACCCAAAAACCCACAACCACGACCCGCCCCCTCCTCTGAATGTCCTACCCAAAAACCCACAACCACGACCCGCCCCCTCCTCTGAATGTCCTACCCAAAAACCCACAACCACGACCCGCCCCCTCCTCTGAATGTCCTACCCAAAAACCCACAACCACGACCCGCCCCCTCCTCTGAATGTCCTACCCAAAAACCCACAACCACGACCCGCCCCCTCCTCTGAATGTCCTACCCAAAAACCCACAACCACGACCCGCCCCCTCCTCTGAATGTCCTACCCAAAAACCCACAACCATGACCCGCCCCCTCCTGTCGGCAGCTCTCATCTCACAAGGGGCTTTGTTTTTACCACTTTGTCTAAATAGCACTCTCCCACTTTTCTCTATCTTAGCACCCTATTCATTTTTTTTTTTTTTTGCAGCATCTTGCTCTTTTGTTGGTTGTTTGGGTTGTCTGTTTTCCATATCCTCCAGAAGACTAAGTTCTATGAGACTAGAGGCTTTGATGCACCACTGTCCACACTGCTGTTGGCACTATGCCTGAAAAATAGAAGGCTCTCAGTGAATAATGCTTGTTGAATGAGTTCATGAATGAAGCTACTGCCCTACTCTGTAGACATCACTTGATCCAGGTAGAAAAGCACAGGCAGGCACATAAATTCTACTTGGGAATAGAAGGTCTTGGATTATATACTTACAAATTGAGTCACCTACTTATCAGTGGAGAAAACATCTAAGGCTGTTGTGTGTGTGTGTGTTTGAGGGGGAAAGTGGTAGTGGAGACAGGACTGGGACGAAGGATAATGCTGACATCAATGCAGAGAGAGGGGAACTGGAAGCAGCAGGCCCCATTTTGGGACTTGGCTCCCAGCTTGTTGCTTTGTGCCCATTGGCAGGTGATTAATCCTCTCTGATCTCAGTTGGCTTATTTGAGTTTCTTGGAGGCAGGCCACATTGTCCTAATGTCTAGTATTGTGTAGGTCAGATAATAGATGTCAGTAAAGATCAATGGAATAAATGGATGCTCTGGGATGGGAGGTGAATAAGGTCAGGCAGGGAAAGGAAAAAGAAAGAAGGTAATTTTCCTCTTACTCTCTGTTATATTTTCTCATAGAGCCTGCCTAGGCACGCCTCTGGAATCAATGGGAGTGGGGTGGGCAGGTGGGGGCTGTGGTAGGAAGGAAAGAGGACAGTGTCACCTTGTTAGAGGTGTCTGCCTATTGGGCTTATTTACAAACATATGAGATGTAAATGAAGGTAAGTTGGAGACAAAGGACAACTGACCTTCAGCAGCACTGGTTGGTCTTCATCTTGGGCAGTCACATACAATTGAGTTTTTGAGATTCTTAGAATCACGGTAATTTTAGCATCATCCTTTGATGACTTATAAGCACCCATGTCAAATTTCACTGGTGAAGAGAAGAACCAAAAAGAAAGTAAATTCATTGTATTTGTATAAAATCAAGTGTTGATGTAGATTGTGTGTGCATGGTGTGTGTGTGTGTGTGTGTGTGTGTGTGTGTGTGTGTGTAGTTAGGTCCCCACCTATGGTGTAAATACCTGGAAGTCAGGAATGGAATTCTATACATCTTTGTGTCCTTCACAATGTCTTCCACACTCACTAGGCAGGTAAATACTTGGTTAATGTTCTTAGAATTTTCTACGTTGAATGAATCCTTCGGGGCTGAATAAGTGTTGAATCTCTTATAATTTCATTAGTGGGATAAGACCCTGTAATTTGTTAGATCATAAGTTCATAATGACCTAACATGGAGGGGTTTAGGAAGCTGATACACTCATATGTTGCTAGTGATACTGAAAAGTAGTTCAGTTTTTACTTACAGAATAATGTTTAATAAGAGCTGTCAAATTATTTGTGCCCATTGATCTAGGCATTCCTCTTTGGGATGTGCTCAAAGAAATTACAAGATAGGAGAAAAAACAATAATATATACAAAGATATTTGCAATCAAGCTATTTAGAGTAAACCCAAGGGACCAACGTAGCAACCTGATTGAATTGTCTAGTGATATTAAAAATGGCAAATACATACACGATGTCAATATTGGGAAAATTGCAGAAATAATATTAAGTAGAAAAATAGAACACAAAATAATTTGTAAATGTAGAGTTGAAAGCATGTTAGCTGAAGTGCATCCAATCAGAAAAAGTCTTGCTTGTTTATTGCAAAATTGCCTCTCTGGACCTTTGAAAATATGTATACTGTTGAAACTAAAACATGTCCGCCATGAAAATTGGATGTGTGTGATAAAAGTTTTTGGACACTAAACTTCATCCTTTAAGCCATATTTGTAGCTTATTGGAGGTTTTGCCTCACAAATATGTTATCAGAGATAATAAAGATCTTCCTAGTTTGGTGTTACTTGTGAGTTTGATCAACAGACTTTTTAAAGGAGAGTGATTGTTCTTCATTGGCTTCTGGGTAAATCTGAGTAAATCATTTAATATGTCTGACAGTTTCCTCAGTTTTAAAATTGAGGGTAAGAATGTCTGAAAGAACCAAAGAGGTAGTACATCAGCTAGCTTTGTGCACAACCCTTTACTCTCAAAGATAGGAAACTTCTCTCTTGTGGAACTTCCAGATTTAGTTGAACCTTCTGCCCTGGCTTGGGATTTTTATGGGGGTGCTGTGCTTCAAGCTATTCTGGAAGAATTGTGCAACCCAGAACTCTGAAGAGGTATGTTTTTTGCAAGCAGAAAGATTGAAATAAATAAATAAGTAAATGAAAGGAGGGGAGGATGACAGAAATGTCTGGTGCCATTTTAATGTACCTGCTTCATCCAGATTATGTAATGCAGCAGCCGTGAGGTACTGATCATTGGCTCGAATTATACTTTGATTGAGGGCGTCATTCAGGATGAATTCGTATTTGATGATCCTCATAAAGTTGTATTTCACATTGCTCAGGAAGCTAAAAGGTGCTGACCTAGGCTTGATGATTTCTAAAACCATGATCACAAGTGCAGATTAATGTCTATGTACAAACACAGATGATATACACAGTCTAGTACAAACAGGGAAAATAGTTCTGGAGGGGATATTAGGAATATTCCAATCCAGATGAGGAAGCAAAGAGAAGTGAAATCACCCAGTCAGCAGAACTGGTTTTCTAGGATTATCCTTGTTGTTGCTTATGTGCTTCTTTTTAAACTTCAATTCCTCAGGCAATAGTTTCATTGTTTTTAGAGACTATTTGTGCAACTTTTTCATTTTTCATTGTTTGGGTGTTTCTAACTGACAAGGAAGACTACCAGTATTTCCCGTCTATGTTTTCAAATGAATGCACTCTGAGAAAAAAAGAATGCATTAAAAATAATTATATATGTCACAGAGAGTGCAAAGTGGCACATATCAATAGCGTCACAAATCCTCATGGCTCTGGGAAATTCTACTTCTAGGAATATATTCTAAGGAAATAAAGGGTGAGAGAAATGAATATTTATTTATACAGATGTTCATTGTTGCATTGCTTATAATGGTGAAAAACGGGCACTCTAAAATGTCCTCAATACATTGCTAAGTAAGAAAAGCTGGATATAAAGTTGTAAATAGTGTGGTCTTGATGTTAGACATATTTGTTCACATGTAGGTATGTGTATAGCAAAGATTTTAAGGAAACATACCATAGTGCTGGCAGTAGTAAACTCTCACTGACGATATGAGTGATTTTTATTTTCTTATATTTTGTTACATTTTAAAACCTTCTAGGTGAACATGCGTTATTGCTTAGGTATTATCTTAAAAACAGGAATATTGGGTTTATAGTTCATGTGGAGGCTTGTACAGTAAAGGGATGGAGGAGAAACCATGATTTTTTTACTCAGGTAGAACTGAATTAGATTTGAGGCTCTCCCACTTACAGATGTATGCCATTGGGCAGTTTACCTATCTCAATGAGCTTAGTTTCCTTTTATGTAAAATGAGAAGGTAGGATTCTTGTGAGGTTTAGACATAATCCAGTCATTAATAAATTAGTATTGCTGGTAGTATTCATATAGGTAGTAGTAGTAGTAATAATAATAATAATCATAGGCCGGGCGCGGTGGCTCACGCCTGTAATCCCGGCACTTTGGGAGGCCAAGGTGGGTGGATCACGAGGAGATGGAGACCACGGTGAAACTCCGTCTCTACTAAAAATACAAAAAATTAGCCGGGAACAGTGGCGGGTGCCTGTATTCCCAGCTACTCAGGAGGCTGAGGCAGGAGAATGGCATGAACCCAGGAGGCAGAGCTTGCAGTGAGCCGAGATTGCGCCACTGCACTCCAGCCTGGGTGACAGAGCCAGACTCCATCTCAAAAAAATAAAATAAAATAATAATAATAATGATAGTAATAGCTAACATTTATTGGGTGCTTACTTTGTACCAGACATTATTCTAGTCCAGAAGTTAGGGGATGTTGACTCATTTAATCTTTATAACAGTCAGGAGGGCCCAGCTAGCTCAGTCTGTAAAGCCTGAGACTCTTAATCTTTACAGCAGTCCAATGAGTGGGGGATTCTGATTATCTCCATTTTACAGTAGAGGAAACTGAATCACGAAAAGATTATGTAACATGACCAAGGAGGCATAGTTAGTATGAGAGGAACATAGCTCGTAAGTGGTCTTATTACTGCTTTCTCCTGAAAGGCTAAAAGTCACACGACCTTTACAATATGGCTAAGAAATAATGGCTGTGAGCAAGTATTCTCGATTCAGGCCACTGCTCATTTCTCCCTCCTGGAGAAGGATAAAAATTAATTTTCCTCTGTATAGTTACCAGACTAATGCTTGGTTGTCTTCTTGTTATTCTGACTCCACGTTTAATTTTCCCCTAAATTCTACTGTCCCTACTTGCTTAAAACTGTAAAAGAAAGATATTATTGTGCTTGACCCCTTACCTTCCTCTGAGTCATTGGCGATGGCCTCCAGGTCATCATCAGTGATGGATTGGCTTAAACTCAACCGTCTCTTCTTCAGAACCTTCCCGTTGGTTGCTACTACCACCATGCTCTCCTTGAAGGTAAGCTTGGATGTTTTAGAGGTTTCAGAGATACTCAGAGACACAGATTGATCCATGCAGCCTTCATGGAGTGGGCCATAGCTTACATGATAGAAGGATTTCTGTGAGGAAGGAAAACAGAAGCTGAGAGGCTGTTCATGGTCAGGGAATGAAAGTTCTTTCAGTAGGTGCTGTATTCAACAGAGGTAGTGAGGAGGATCTCCATTCTGGTCTTAGGTAACTGGTGTTTCATTAGGCTTCCCTCCCTCTCTCCCTTTTGTCTCACCTTCCTTCCTCCTTCCAGGATAAAAAGATGATTTTTTTAGGAAGACTTTTTCATTTATTTGCATGCTCAAAAATGAGATGTTGTAACTAAATAGGTTAACAATGATTGTAGTGAGTGGTAGCTTTCCAATTAGTTCCCTCTCAGGAGGTTAAAAATCTGCTTAACAATGCTCAAAATATTTTAGAAATACTCCTTTGGGGACAGCTTTTAAAGCCAGTACTGAAGACATACTAGGCAGTACTTATAGTGTCTATTTGTGGTCTCCAAACACAATAACACAGATTGATGAGTGGCTGTAGACTTCTCACTTTCAACTGGCTTGCTTCCTCTCTCTCAGCTTCATGTTTGGAGACTTTCTCTAACCTCTGATGCTGGTGTCAGAGAAGACAACCACAACACATCACGTTAGGAGACAGACACCTGGTGAAGCGGCCTGCGGGGCCTTTCTCAGGATGGCATAACTAACATCCTGATGAAGCCTGCCCCAGGAGACTCCAGTTCTCAGGGATTTGGGATGGTTCTGCTCTGTTCTGGGAGAAGCCAATGCACATCAACTATTAGTTTAGAGAGGCAGCTGGTCTCACTTATAATGAAAGACAGGTCTCTGGACCTCTAGTGAGGGTAAAACAAAAGTATTGAAGATTCAAGTCATTGCTGTTCTCTTTGGATGAAGAAACCACTGTGTAAGAATAGCAGTCCCATGAGAATTACAGTCATTTGCTTACCTGATTCAGAGACAGATGATCAATGGAGGAACTGTCTTCTTCATTTTCACTGTCAAAATAAGATGATGAGAATGTAATTGTTGTTATTTCAGTGTGGTCTCTGGCCAATGTACTTTAATGACCATGATAGTTGTGGGTCACACACATACACATGGCCATTACTGTCATCTTTGAAATTTAAGGACTTCTACACATACACATAGGTAGAGTAATTCATATCTTACTAATCTGGAATTAGTAGTCATCAAGACAGGCTTTGAGCTTTACCTGTGCTTTATCTGTAAAAATTGGACTTGGCTAACAAATTGAAGAGCTTTAATTGAAGTTCAGGGAAGAATGTTAAGCTCCTTTAGAGAAAAGAAAGGTTTTGAAGCACTTCCTTTTTATTTTAACCAAATAGATTATATGTTACACATTACTTTCATGTATTCACTAAAACAGATTTCATAATTTATACTTAGTAAAATATCCAGGCAAAATTTTGACAGCCTAGTTTGTGTTAGTATTTACTACAGATAATGGAAACATCATGTTAGTTTAATATGTTCCGTAATTTTATCTTTGTGTTCATTTACCTTTCTTCTACATCTGAGTGAGATTTGCCTGCATATGTGAGTTCACATGCCCAGCTTGCTGTGGAGCCATTTCCTGTTCCTGAATGAGATCAAGTTTTCCTGAGAATGGACCAGTAAAACCCATTCTTATATCAGGGCATGTGATCTCAACAGAGGCTGTGTCTAAGTTGATGCTGATATTCATGTAGGGCTCAGCAGACCTCAAAAATAATTTTTCTAAAATGGCGGTCTCCCTGCCAATGTAATCTCAGTTTAACATGCTGAATGCTTAGTTTTTCTGGGTCTTCTCTGAACCTGCTCTGACTTCAGGACTAGTACACATCTCTACAACCTCTGCCGGCCTGCCCCCATGCTGGCCACTGTTATGCCTAGCTGGATTCTGGTGAGCCTTGAAACCCTCATTAAATCACAAGAGATAAATCTTATTCCTTACCTGTAACAGTTCTTCAGGTCTTCAAACATGTCTGGAACTTTGGCCATCTTGACTTCTGCAACAGAGAACACCAGCCACCATCAGCTCAGCCAGCCTCTAATCCAGATATCTGTGAGGGGAGCCCCTCCTCTTTGTGCTTCCTGAAAACTTTGTTGAATGACTTAGTCCACATTCAGCATTTTCTCCATCTTCTAGCTCCTTTGAATTAGTTTGCTATGTACCTGTCTCCTTTATTAGATCGTAAACTTCTTTTAGAATGTTTTATTTATGTTGGTATTCCTTATGTGCCCAACCTAATGTATTGCCAGAACAGGCATTCAATCAATGAAAGTTTGAAGAGGTTACAAAAACACCACAAGAATAAGGTATTTGCCTTACACAGAGGTAAGAGAGAGACAGAGTTGGAAATTTTCAATTTTCTCCTAATAATTTTGGATAGTAGAGATTCCCTCCCATGAGAAGCCTCAGTTGTATTCACCCATGCCCTCATAGGAAACTAGTTCTGCTGTCCCTCAGTATAACGAATCAGTCCTTATCAGCAAAATGAGAGAATCATTTTCTGAAATCTGACTGTAATTCTAGGTCACATACCAAACCAGGGAGGGACAAGAAAAGAAAGGAGAGGCTGTAGCTTTAGAGAAGGCAATGTGAGAGAAAACAGCCAAAGAGAAAAACAACAACAGAAAATACTTTAATAGCCAGAGATGTGAGGACAATACCTTTGCTGACTCAAACGCCAATGAAATGACTCCCTCTCTGGCTGGCAGCTTAAGCCTGAGTCAGTCTTCTTCGCCTTTTGTAATTGTCTTAAGTAGGCGTGGCTACGTGGCTACAAGTGCGTCGTCAAAACGGGGAATTTACAGGGAAGAATTCAGTTTTGTATTTTTCTATGTTCATTCAACTCGATACTGGCTAAAATAGTGAAAGATGGCATAGCTGATATTATTGTTGTTTGCAGATATTCCAGAAGTTATTGATTTGGTTCATTTATTCACCCCTTTGCTTTATAAGATGACAAACATGTAGTCTTAGAAAAAGGGAAGCGCGGGAAACTTATCAAGTTTCTAGGAGGAAGGGAGAAATCGTGAAATCCGAAGTCAAGGGGCTAGATTTGGAGAGGAATTTATTAATAATAATAGTTCTAATAGTAGCTGTAGTTGTGTTCTGGCTGAATTTGTTGATTGTGCTCCAGGGTGAATTGGCAGAATACTTGGCAGCTCCTGGCAACTTTTGAGGGAAAATGAGCCATCTTTTCTGAAGAGGGAAGTTTGCTTGATTAAGGCATAAATCACCTCAGAGTTTGGGGTGACAAGCTCCTGGTTAGGGCAGGGTAGAGAAGAGAACAGTGGTATTTGAGCACAAAGAAGTCTTGATCCTCTTACTCTTCTGAATATTGTCAACACATTTCCTATAGAGGGGATGGAGCTTCAGGAGAGAACTCTCCACCCTGGCCCTGTTACAGTAAAGTAGCCCTCTACCAAGGACCAGAGAGAAGCCTGGTCTTCTGTAGGATATGCCCAAGGTGTGTCTTCTGTAGAAGAAGGTGTGTGCAAGCCCCGGGAGGTATGCGTAAGGCCTCAGCCAGAAGCCAGTGGCTAAGTTTGGGAATGGAGATTGGGAGAAAGGAAGGCATGGATTTTTACATATGAGCCTTCAATGGTGTTGCCTGGTTACTATTATTAAAGAATTTCTCAGCTTTTATAATTCCTGTGGCCAGCCTAGTTCAGGTGGTAGAACACCAGACTCTTAGCAAATGAATGTTTTGGGTTCCCAGTTGGAGTTTAAGCCATGTATATTTTAAATAGAGGAAATGAACTAGGTGTGATGGCATGCCCCTGTAGTCCCAGCTATTCAGGAGGCTGAGGCAGGACAATCACTTGAGGCCCAGAGTTTTAGTCCAGTGTGGGCAACATAGTGAAGCCCCCATCTCTAAAAAATAATAAACGCAAAAAAGCATGGATCTGGGAGGAAAGCAGCTTGTGTGAGTTGGATAAAGTATTCCCTCTGTTCCTGTTTAATTGTAAATAATGGGGTTGGTTAGGTGTCATAAGGTCTATTGCAGGTGCAAAATCTCTTATTCTGATTTAATGCCAGTCTAATTCTCCTGGTCATAGACCTGGTGCTATAATAGTTATAACAGGAGCCACAGAAATAACCACACTTGGATGTAAGCAATGTAAGTGTAGCACCAGACTAGGGTAGAAGCTTGGGTGTCTAAGGATGAATCCTGAAGCAACAGTGATGCCAGCCAACTGGCTACATTTCTGCTTACCTTGGTTCCTCTTTAGGCAACACAGAAATGTTAATCCTGATTAACCCTCTCCTCCTGAGAATCTTGTGAGGGCTATTGCTAAGGAACAATTGCAAAGCACATTGTGAATGTGAGCTGCTATGGAGATGCAACTAAACAAAAATAATGACAATGCTAATGATGGCTTCAGTCACTCAAGAACCTGTATAGTCATCATTATAATGCCTCAGTTCACCAAAGAAAATATAGTTCTTATGAAAATACTGGCTTGAAAGCTTCAACAGGGATAACATTTTCAGGTGAAGGCCACCATTGAAAGCCTGAAGATATTTAGCTTCTGGGAGCAATGCATACCATCTCTTTGGTAATCCAGGAAAAAAACCCTGGTTCCACCAACATAGGCAATACCTATCCTGGTCCCATCCTCACTCCTCTGTTGTAAATAATTCCCCAAAGGTGGTTGTTGAATTTTTCAAAGAGAACTTGGTTGAGAAACAGCTAACTTGGGTTAGAATATCACCCAACCTTTTCCTTCACATGATCTTCTTGTAAATTGATTTTTAAAGGAAAACTAGGGTGGGTGAGGTTCAGAGAGAGGTGGGTCCTTGCATTGTTTTGGGGAGCCCGCTTTTCTGGGACTGTGAACAACAGTCACCTCTTCTAGGGAAGGGACAGTGGAACGTACTGGGCAGGGCTCTACTGGGTAGATAGTGGAACATACTGGGCAGGCCTGTGGTGTGTGCGTTGGGAGCCATCCTGTGACAGGGACTTTGGGTGGCTTCAGGCACCCACCTCTCGACTCTGAGGAGGCCTCAGGAAACCCTTAATGAGTCACTGTCATCTAAATCATTTAGGAAAAAAAAATTATTGTGCACTTATCCTATGCCATGGGTTTTGCTAGGAATCAGCAGTTTTTCCCCATGATCCACAAAATCAGATATGCAAGGTGAGATGATCTATGTTGGTGGGTGACTGGATATGTTTTATAAGATTGGAGCTTGTGGGTCCAAAGAATCACTGTGATGCGTTTCATGTGACAATTGTTTTATAGTTTACCTGCACTATCTCACTGCCTCCTCACTGCACCTACAAGAATTAGCTGATACTATCCTCTTTCACAGCTGAGGACCCTTGAAGAGGTTAAGTGACCAACCCAAGATCACAAGACTGATGAAACCAGTGCTTGAACTCAAGCTTCTGATTCCGAGTCCAATCTTCTCTTTCCACTGCATAAAGATACTCGAGTCTCTTATCACCACCAACACCAAGTGATGGCTTATAAAGATCATCCTTAGGGTCTTTCCCCCTCAAACGTGCTATCATTCAGTAACTCTAGGATCCTTGTTAAAAAAAAAAAAAAAACGGGGGTTGCGGAGAAGGGATTGAAATATCTCCTCTCCCTGTCTTCACCTCCTCTGATGAAATCTGATTTTATTCTGTGATATGTAAGACCTGAATGAAGGTGACTGAAGTAATTGGGTACATGGTTAGTGGTGGAATCCGGATGTGAACCTGAGTCATGGTCTTGCCATTGTTCCTTGAAGACAGGAAATATTTGTAAATATATTTGGAAGCAACTTTAAAATTGTTGCATGTGGTTGGGTCTAACAGAATCACTTGAATGAAGAGAAAAACATAACTTTTTCCTGTGAATTTTCAGGGAAATGCAATTATTTCCTTTCACTTGGTATAAAAGCTCTTCAGAGGAATAAAGCATGCATGAGCCAACACATGCAGAGACAATTGAGCCTTTAGTCGCAACTCATGCTCTAGTTATAATGTGTTTTTAAATTCCATGATAGCTACAGAGAAGGAGGAAAGGACTTAACATAACAGCCTACCATGTTCAAGGGATTATAATACATTATCTCATTTAATCCTCTCATGAAACCTGTGAGGTAGATGTTCTTATCACATCTTACAGAAGAGGAAGTCATGGTCTAGAGAAATTAAGCAATCTGCCCAAGATTGCAAGGTTACCAAGTTTCCTAAATGGGATCCAGACACCAGGGCATACACTTCTTCAACCATGAGGATGTCTCTTTTGCTTAATGTAGCTGCTTCCTTTCCTGTGTTCTTTTAAATTAAGTTTTAATTATTCTGCTTTATCTTAGTTTATTGAAGGTTCCAGAATATGTTAGAGAAGGATGCATGTCGGAGACCATCTAGTTTAAACTCTTACTTTTATAAAAGAGGAAACAGGGTACAGGGGAAGTATGGCCCGAGGTCACATGGAGAATTCATATGAGAGTGTGAGGTAAAATTAAAACTCAATTTCTTGAGTTCTAGTTCAAAGTATCCTACTACTTAGTGACCCTGGTGCCTTAGTGAAGAGAGAAAGAAAAGAAGAAATAATCTCTAATGGCTTCTCACCCATAAGTAAAAAAGGAGTGGCTGGGTGCCGTGGCTCATGCCTGTAATCACAGCACTTTGGGAGGCTGAGGTGGGTGGATCGCCTGAGGTCAGGAGATCGAGACCAGCCTGGCCAACATGATGAAACCCCGTCTTTACAAAAAATACAAAAAATTAGCTGGGCGTGGTGACAGGCATCTGTAATCCCAGCTACTCGGGAGGCTGAAGCAGGAGAATCACTTGAACCCAGGAGGTGGAGGTTGCAGTGAGCCGAGATCATGCCATTGCACTCCAGCCTGGGCAAGAGTGAGTCTCCATCTCAAAAAAAAAAAAAGTTACAAAGAATGAAACCCCGTTAAGTAAGTAAAATCAGCTATGATTCCTGCTATCCTGAAAGCTGACAGTGAAGACCTTCATCAACACTTTTCTAAATGAGTAGATAATTACAAACTGAGATAAGCACGGTAAGGGCGTGTGACATAAGCACATGTCTTAGACTGGGAGTGGACAGTTCAGTGGAGAGCAAAGAGGGAAAATTCCAGGCTGAGATAAGTCCCTGGGGGTCAAAAAGGGTGGAAGTAGGTAATTGGGAGTCTGGAGCTCAGAGAGAGGAGGGGGAAGGAGTGAGGGGTATAGGAGTGGAGAGTGAGTTGGTGAGATGAGGATGAGGAGGAAAATAAGAGCCAGGTAGTCATGGCCTTATGTAGGCTCCATAAAGTCTTTACTCAAAGTTTAATGGGAAGCCATTAAGAGTGGTATATATTGGTGACACAATCAGCTTTGAGCTTTTAAAGGATCACCTTTGTGTTTGTAAACAATTTCTAGATTTTAAAGCAGTAGACAAAGGACAGAGATTATATAAAGAAATGAGAAAGCTTCCACAAAGTGTACATGGAAACCAGTCTTTCTGCCTTAACTCAAACTGTGTGATGAAGGCAGCAAGTGCTTGGGAGCCCAGAGAGTCAAGGGATGGCCATGGCTTGGAGGATATGGAGCAATTCAAGTGGGCTAAAATCTGAAGTCCATAGCAGGAAGGGACAGCTTCACGTTCAGTCAGCAAATTTCTATTTAGCTACAATTACCTCTTCACCTTAGCTCATCTGTTCTCTGATGGATGTGCTTTTTTTTTTTGTTTCTAAATTCCCTTTTCCTTTTCTCTGGAGATGGGTGATTGATGTAGTCTGGGTATTTGTTCCCTCCAAATCTCATGTTGAAATGTAATCCCCAGTGTTGGAGGTAGGGCCTGGTGGGAGGTGTTTGGATCATGGGGGCAGATCCCTCATGAATAGCTTGGTACTGTCCTCTCAATAGTGAATGAGTTCTCCTGAGATATGGTTGTTTAAAAGTGTGTGGCACTCCCCCATTGCTCTCTTGTTACTGCTTTCGACATGTGACATCCCTGCTCCCCTTCGCTCTCTGCCATGATTGAAAGTTTCCTAAGGCTTCGCCAAAAGCTGAGCAGATGTGGGTGCCATGCTTGTACAGCCTGCAGAACTGTGAGCCAAAATAAACTTCATTTCCATATAAATTACCCAGCCTCAGATATTTCTTTATAGCAACATAAGAGTGGCTTAATACAGGCTGGGCATGGTGGCTCACGCCTGTAATCCCAGCACTGTGGGAGGCTGAGGGGGGTGGAACATGAGGTCAGGAGATTGAGACCACCGGCTAACACGGTGAAACTCCATCTCTACTAAAAATACAAAAAATTAGTCGGGCGTGGTGGTGGGCGCCTGTAGTCCCAGCTACTCTGGAGGCTGAGGCAGGAGAATGGCATGAACCCGGGAAGCGGAGCTTGCAGTGAGCCGAGATTGCACCACTGCACTCCAGCCTGGGCGACAGAGTGAGACTCCGTCTCAAAAAAAAGAAAAAAAGAAAAAAAAAAGAATGGCTTAATACAGAAAACTGGTACTGAAGAATGGGGCATATAGCTATAAAGATATCTAAAAATGTGGAGTCAACTTTGGAACTGGGTAATGGGCAAAGATTGGAAGAATTTAAAGGGCTCAGAAGAAAACAAGAAGATGAGGGAAAGTTTGGAACTTCTTAGAGACTGGCTAAATGGTTGTGACCAAAATGCTGATAGTGATACGGACAATGAAGTCCAGGGTGACAAAGTCTCAGATGGAAATGGGGAATTTGTTGGGAACTGGGCAAAGGTCACCCTTGCTATGACTCAGCAAAGAAATTGGGTGCATTGTGTTCATGTCCTGGGGATCTGTGGAAGTTTGAATGTAAGAGTGATGACTTACGGTAGGGTATCTAGTGGAAGAAACCTCTAAGCAACAAAGTGTGTTGCTTAGAAATTTCTTTCTTTCTTTTTTTTTTTTTTTTGAGCTGGAGTTTTGCTGTGTCGCCCAGGCTGGAGCGCAGTGGCGCAATCTTGGCTCACTTCAAGCTCTGTCTCCTGGGTTCATGCCATTCTCCTGCCTCAGCCTCCCAAGTAGCTGGGACTACAGGCGCCTGCCACCATACCTGGCTAATTTTTTAGTATTTTAGTAGAGACGAGGTTTCACCATGTTAGCCAAGATGGTCTCAATCTTCTGACCTCGTGATCCACCCGCCTTGGCCTCCCAAAATGCTGGGGTTACAAGCATGAGCCACCCCGCCTGGCCTGCTTAGAAATTTCTAAGCCAGGATATGGCCTGTCTGCTTCTAACAGCCTGTGCTCAGGGGTAAAGAAATGACTTAAAGTTGGAACCTATGTTTAAAATGGAAGTAGAGTCTAAAAATTTGGAAAATTTGCAGCCTGGCCTTGTGGCAGAGAAAGAATCCAAGTAGGCTGCAGAGCAATCATTGCTAGAGAGATTAGCATGACTAAAAGGGAGCCAAGTGCTAATATTCAAGACAATGTTAAAAAGGCCTTGAGGGCATTTCAGAGATCTATGAAGCAGCCCCTCCCATCACAGGTGCAGAGGTTTGGTGCACTAGGCCCAGAGGTTTTATGGGCCAGGCCAGGGCCACACTGCTATGCACAGCTTTGGGACACTGCTGCCCGCATCCAGGCCACTCTGCTCTGGCTCCAGCCTTGGCTCAAACGGGCCAAGATAGAGCTTGGACCACTGCTCCCGAGGGCACAAGCCATAAGCCTTGGTGGTTTCCATGTGGTGTTAAGCCTGCAGGTGCCCAGAATGCAAGATTGAGGGAGCTTGGGCACTTCCACCTAGATTTCAGAGGATGTGTCAGAAACCCTAGGTTCCCAGGCAGAAGCATGATACAGGGGCAGAGCCCTTGCAGAGAACCTCTACTAGGGCAATGCCAAAGGAAAATGTGGGGTTGGAGTCCTCACACACGGTCCCCACTGGGGCACTACCTGGTGATACTGTGGGAATGGGGCTGCTGCCCTCCAGACCCCAGAATGGTAGATGCACTGGCAGCTGGCACCCTGAGCCTGGAAAAGCTGCAGGCACTCAACTCCAACCCATGAGATCAGCCACATGGGCTACTCCCAGGGAAGCCCACAGAGGCAGGGCTGTCTAAGGCCTTGGGAGCCTACCCCTTGAACCAGCTTGCAGGACATGGAATCAAAGATTATGTTGCAGCTTTAAGGCTTAATGTTTTCCCTGTCAATTTCAGGCTTGTGTGGGACCTGTTGCTTTTTTTTTTTTTTTTTTTTTTTTTGGTCACAGGTGTTTGAACCAGAACAATTCCATCTTGAATAGGGGCTGGGTAAAATAAGGCTGAGACCTACTGAGCTGCATTCCTAGGAGGTTAGGAATTCTAAGTCACAGGAGGAGATAGGAGGTCGGCACAAGATACAGGTAGCGAAGACCTCGCTGATAAAATAAGTTGCAGTAAAGAAGCCAGCCAAAACTCACAAAGCCAAAATGGTGATATGGTTTGGCTCTATGTCCCCACCCAAATCTCATCTCAAATTATAATTCCCATAATCCCCACATGTTGAGGGGAGGACCTGGTTGGAGGTGATTGGATTATGGAGGCAATTTCCCCCATGCTGTTCTGGTGATACTGAGTGAGTTCTCATAAGATCTAATGGTTTTATAAGTGTTTGGAAGTTCCTCCTACACACATGCTCACACTCTCTCCTGCAGCTTTATGAAGAAGGTACTTGCTTTCCTTTCTGCCATGATTGTAAGTTTCCTGAGGCTTCCCAGCTATGCAGAACTGTGAGTCAATTAAACCCGTTTTCTTTATACATTACCAGTCTTGGGCAGTTCTTTACAGCAGTGTGAGAACTGCTGGCGATGAGAGTGACCTCTGGTTGTCCTCACTGCTCATTATATGCTAATTATAATGTATTAGCATGCCAAAAGACACTCCCACCATGACCCCAACAGTCATGCCTGTGCCGGTCTCAGCACCATGACAGTTTACAGATGGCATAGCAACGTCTAAAAGGTACCCCATATGGACTAACAAGGGGAGGAACCCTCAGCTCTGGGAAGTGCCTACCTCGTTCCCAGAAAGCTTGTGAATAATCCACTGCTTGTTTAACATATAATTAAGAAATAACTATTAAGCATCCTTAGTTCAGCAGCCCAAGCTGCTGTTCTGCCTATGGAGTAGCCATTCTTTATTCCGTTACTTTCTTAATAAAATTGCTTTTACTTTACTGTATGTACTCGCCTGGAATTCTTTCTTGTACGAGGTCCAGAGCCCTCTCTTGGGTCTGGATCGGGACCCCTTTCTGGTAACATTTTGACCAATTTCTCCCTTCTGGAATGGGAATGTTTACACAATGACTGTATCACTTTTGAATCTTGGAAGTAAATAATTTGTTTTTGACTTTACAGCCTCATAGGTGGAAGGAACTTGACTTGAATTTCAGATGAGACTTTGGACTTTGGGACTTTTGGGTTGGGGCTGGAATGAGTTAAAAGTTGGGGGGATTATTGGGAAGGCACGATTTTATTTTGCAATATGAGAAGCACATGAGATTTGGGGGACCAAGGGTGGAATAATATGGTTTGGATGTTTGCCCCCTCCAAATCTCACATTGAAATGTAATCCCCAGTGTTGAAGTGAGGCCTGCTGGAAAATGTTTGGATCACGGGGACAGATCCCTCATGAATAGCTCGGTGCTGTCCTCTCAATAGGGACTGAGTTCTCACAAGACCTGGTTGTTTAGAAGTGTGTGGTACCTCCTCCCTCACTGTCTTGCTCCTGCTCTTACCATGTGACATGCCTGGCCCTCTTTGCCTTCTGCCATGATTGGAAACTTCCTGAGGCCCTCACCAGACACAGATGGTCGTGTCATACTTTTTGTATAGCCTGCAAAACCATAAGCCAAAATAAACTTCTTCTCCTTGTAAATTACTCAGCCTTAGGTATTTCTTTATGGCAACACAAGTATGGCCTAATACAGTGATGAACAGGACTGCTTCCTCTTTTTCTTCTTTTTTGGAGAACTGTCCTTCTTTCCCTCTTCATGGATGCCCTTTAAAAATCAGAGTTCCTCAGAGAGCTTCCGGTGTGGCAGTCATGTCTGTGCCCGTCTCTCACTTTTCTTACTAATTCTGGTTATCTCATCAAAAGTGCATTTTTAAGAAATTCCCTTTCCTTTTGAGTCATTTTCTTTAGTGGAGTCAAGGTTATCTCTGGTCTGAGCTTGTTTTTCAACTTCCAGGAATAGCTTGTATTACTTTTTTCAGATTCTAAAACATGTTCATTAAATTTTGCTGAGGAAATATAAAAATATAAAGAAGAAAAGAAAATCCGCAATTTAATAACTAGAGATAATCATTGTTATGACTCCATTGTCTTTTCTTTCAGTCTTTCTTTTTTTCAAGGCATATATAGATTTGTTTTTAGACAATTAGGACACTAAAAACTTTTTTTGATATTTGGTTTCCTGAAATCTAGAGAGCATACATGTGGTAGGCAGTGCTCACCAAATACCTGCTCATTTGAGAGATTACTCGATTAATGTCTGTCTTAATTTCCTGGTCTCCCTTGCAGTTTAGACTGGGGACATGTGTTTTTTTCTGGCCAGAGAACTGTGAGAGGAAGTGATAGATGAGGTGTTGCGTGTCTTGGCTGATGCAATCAAGGGCCAGTGTATGCCTGTGTCACATAAACTTGCCCTGATGCAGCAACTTTGGAAGTCACGTGTTCTAGAGAATGTGCTACAAATGAATTAGGTGTGGTTGCAAATGCATGAGAATAGAACGACCTGTATTAGATGTATTAAGTCACTGAGATTTCGGAATTTATTTGTTACTGTAGTATAACCTTTATCTCAAATTCCTCTTTCACAAATCATTTTCTTCTTGGACAGAAATATGCCTAGATTAGCATTCCTCTGTCATATTCTCTACCTTCTGGGAGATGAACTTTCCAATAAGACAAACCCAGAAACTAATCAGATGCTTTCATGTTGGCCAAATTTGGATTCCAGATTAAATATAAATTAGCTGTGAAAATAAAATGGCCAATAATAAAGTTGGTACTGTTAATATCCCAGATACAAATCATGTAATAAATATATTACTAATCTAACATTTATATGGTGCTTTACAGTTTTTCAAAGCATTTTTCATAAACATAAATATAAGCATTCAACCTGATACAAGGCTTTTTATCCATTGCAAATAGTCAACAGTGAAGTCCTGTGCCAGTGCACAGTTCTCTCCTTCCTCCTTTTGGTGTGAACTCCTGGCTGCAGGGGAGGAAGGGACCCTGGTTAGGGCAATTGTGGCCTCAGACTGGGAGTGGCAGGTGTGGCATACAATGTGGCTGGAGACGCAAGAGACTTGGATCCTCATCCTGGCTCTGATCCTAATGAGCTACGTGACCTCCGGCAATTCCCACATGTCTCTGGGCTTTCCTTATCTATGAAAGGAGGAGATTGGACTGGCTAACTACTGGGGTTCTTCCAGCCCTGTTCATTCAGTATTTCATGACTACCCTGAACATGACCATGTTTTGCTTCATGGCACCTCTATGCTCTTGATAGATTGTGTTTGGTTGCTCAGGACCCATGCTAGACACATTCTCCTCAATAGATCTTTGTCTCATGCACAGTTGAGTTACATATACATACATGCTACGCTCTTTCTGCTTTACTTCGATGGCAAATTTAACTTACCACCCTGAGTATAAATATAAATTTTTTCTAGTATAGAAATATGTAACAGTTGCTGATAAATTAGAAGGAAATGGCCATTTAGCCATGTGTGTTAAGTGATTATGACTTAGCTTTATTTTCTAGAAAGCTTGACATACCTGAAGGACCACTGGGGCCTTTGATGATCTTCAAGAAAAGGACGCTTAGGTTTTTGAGTTTGAAAGTCTGGACAAGTACTAGAGCATTTTGTTAAGAAAATGCACATCTTAAAAAAATATGATTATCGTTTTCCCTTTCTGTACTCTTCCCTCCATGGGGTCTTTGTGCTGCCCCTAATAGGCCATTCTATCCCATGCAAAGTTGCTCAAAGTTACTGTGGCTCCCCAAGAGAGAACGAGCAGGATGAGAGAGTCTGAGCCTGGACTCAGGAGGAAGACCCAGGGCCTGGGGGGAGCAGGTATTCCTGTAGAGCACAGTTCCATGCAAACCTGCCTGAAGCCAGCTTGGTAACCTGTTTTACAACTCTGTCATGCATGAGGCACTGTGTTAGAAGCCCTGGGGAATGAGGTGGCAAAGAACACCACTTGCCCTTAACAAGCTTTTAACTTGTGAGGAAGGCAGGTGGAGATGACTGTGATGCCAGCAGAATAGAGAAGTGTTATAACAGAAAGGAAACAGAGGGATGGGGAGGGAGCAAGTGAGGCTAACAGAGTGAACACAGGGACGGTTTCTCAGACATTGCTATGTGTTAGCTTGAAGAGTTAGATTTGCATAGTGGAGGGAGAATGGACATTCCAGGCTGAGGAAATAGGATGAGGAAAAGCATAAGACATACATTTCATGTTTGTTTCTCCTACTTAACTTTTTAGAGCTTCCATTGCCTCATCTGCAAAACTGGGATAGTAATTCTTGTTTTTTGTTTTTTTTTTGGTTTTTTTTTTGTTTTTTTTTTTTTGAGACGGAGTCTCCCTGTCACCCAGGCTGGAGTGCAGTGGCACGATCTCTGCTCACTGCAACCTCTACCTCCCAGGTTCAAATGATTCTCCTGCCTCAGCCTCCCAAGTAGCTGGGATTACAGGTGTGCACCACCATGCCCAGCTAATTTTGTATTTTTAGTAGAGATGGGGTTTCACCATGTTGATCAGGTTGGTCTTGAACTCCTGACTTCAGGTGATCCACCCACCTTGGCCTCCCAAAGTGCTGGGATTACAGGCGTGGGCCACTGTGCCTGGCCCTGGGATAGTAATTCTTACTTCACAGAGTTTTGGAAGGATGAGATTGTGTTTGTGAGACTGTTTGGTTTAGTGTCAGTTTCCTTTTCCTTCTCTCCAAATGTCCAGCCTTCCCCAATCTCTACACCTTTGCTCAATCTATTCTTCCTTTCAGATTTAGTCTCTCTCTCCCACCCATGGAATTTAGACCTTTCTTGGCCCTACTAGTCCAGGTCCTTCCTTGACTTAGGATGGAAAGCATAGATTTACTTCAGGGAATGTCAAATGTGGCTGGCCAAAAATAGAGTTAAAGCCCAATAAATTTGGAGTAGAATGCAAGCTTGTTAATAGTAGGTATAAAAGGCTGGAATAATTATTGAGGGTTATCAGTTCTTTCATTAATTCATTCACTGACTCCTTCATTCATAAAAGATGGGGATCTTTGATTCAGGAACATGCTTAGAGCTAAGGACTGTGTGGGAAATAAGAAAAGCGTGGTTCCTAACCCCATGGTGCATCCCTACTAGCAGAGAAACCATAAATTACACGTATAATCATGGTTGGGTGGCACATCAGTCTGTTTGTGCTCCTATAACAAAATACCATAGACTCGGTGGCTTATGAAAAATAGAAATTTATTTCTCACAGTTCTGGAGGCTGGGAAGTTCAAGTGCCAGCATATTGGGTACCTGGCAAGGGTCTGCTTTTTGGATCATAGACCATACTTTCTTGTTGCATCCTTACACGGTGGAGGGGACAAGGGAGCCCTCAGGGGTCTCTTTTATAAGGCTACTAATCCCATTCATGAGGGCTCTGCCTCCCAAAGAGCCTTCCTCCAAATATTATCACATTTGGGGCTAGGTTTTAACATATGAATTTTGGAGGAAGACAAACATTCAGTCTACAGCAGGTGGTCATTAAGAAAGGAGTAATACAGAGTGCTATGAAGATATATACTGGGGAGACCCTGATTAGTTTAAAAAGTCAGAGAGAGTCCCTGAGAAAGCAACATCATGAGTAGGAAGGGTAGGGATTAATCAGATGAAGGTGCAGGTAGAGATAGGGAGAGGGATTCATGTCTCAGGCAATGGGAACAGCACTTGCAGAGGCCCCAACACTAGAAGGACTATGGTGTGTTAGAGAACCTAAAGGAGGGCTAGGGAGGCAGAAGCCCAGAGAGCGAGGGGCAAGGGGCATGAGATGAGGCTGAAGAGATGGGCAGGGCCAGGCCATGGGCAACCTGTGAACATGTCAAGGGCAGTGGTTTATCCTGAAGGCAGTTTTGAGGTGTTTCAAGCAGGAGAGCAAGCACATCAGATTTGTATTTTAAAACAATCTATATACATCCAAAGGAGGGGGCAAATGTGGGAGAAGGTGAATGCAGTCATCCAGGTGAGAGCCGCGGGGATGTGCTTGAGAGATGTATCTTCTGGAGGGAGCAGCCAGGACACGGTGTTCTGAGGGGAAAATGCTTTGAAGTATGATGGGCCTGTGAGGCAACACCGGCAGGAGTCGCCTACATGAAGTTAGAGCTCAGAAGAGGCAGATGGGCTGGAGCTAGAGATGCGGCTCCTCTGCAGTGCGAGCCGTGAGAGTGGGTGGGGTGGCCAGGGAGGGTGTGCAGAGCGGGAAGGTACGCCCAGCAGCTGACCGACCAGTGTTCACCCAGGATGGGGCAGATGAGGGCCCCGGGAAGCAGAAGCCGGAAGATGGGAGGGAATGTGGAGAGTGTGATGTCCTGGAGACAAGGGAGCCGACAGCTGTGGTTCATCCACGTAGAGATAAAATCGGTGTGGTACACACCTCCCTGTGAAGCCAAAATCATCACCGGCTCCTCATTGCTGCTGGTGTTCCTCATTGCTCTTTCCAGCAACCTCTGGCCTGATTTCAGTGCCTTCTCTTCAGTCATTCAGTGCCATATTCTGCCCCCAGCTCTTTCTCAACTTAGAGGAAAATAGTCTGATAAAGTCTTTGATGAAAAATTCCTAGAACCTAATGTGGTACAACTTACAGGCACTTATGTCTTTCAAAAGATGAGTTTGGAAAAAGTAAGGCCTTACCTTGGGCCTGGGACCTTTGCCAAAGTGAGGGCTATTGACCCACTGAAAAAAGTAAATGCATGGGCATTAGGTACAATGTAATTTAAAATTTTGAAAATTAAGATTAGGCATTGTAATATTTTATTCCATTAGCCAGATGTGGTGATGCACACCCGTAGTCATAGCTACTTAGGAGGCTGAGGCAGGAGGATGGCTTGAGCCTAGGAATTCGAGGTTACAGTGAGATATGACTGCACCATTGCATTCTGGCCTGGGCAACAGAGTGAGACCCAGTCTCAAATAAATAAATAAATAAATAAATAAAATTCTTTATTCCATACTTGAAAGCAATGTTAAAAAAATCCATAAATCCAGTTCATACTAAAAGTAGAAGAGAGCAATAAAAGAATACATAAATGACAGACGGAGAGTCTGTCAGAGTAAGGAGAAAAGATTAGAGAGGTAGGTGGCATAGGGGCAAATTGTGCTGGGCCTTCTACGTTTAATATCTAGACTTTCATTAATGAGCAATGAGGAACCACTAGAGTGTTTTCAGCAGAGTAGTGAGGGGATGCAGAAGATTCTGACAGTGATGAACACAACAGATTACCACATGAAGTGAGTGAAGGCTGGGAGATCAGTCTGCTGCTCCAAGCGCACAAAAGGAGAGCCTGGGCCAGGGGAAGCGGTGATGGGCCCACCAAACTGATGGGAGGGAGGGTGGGAGAATGGATCTGGGGAGGGAGGGGCATCTGGGTATGCAGGAGAGCAGAAGGGGGACTCTAGGGTAATATCAAGATCTTGACTCTGGACCACAGAAATAGAGAAGTCTGGAGGAGGAAATGGTTTGGGGTGGAAAATGATGCTTTGGGCTTTAGACAATCTGAGTCACCATATGGGGCAGGTTTAACAGATAAGTATTTCCCAGATTTCCCCATAAGTGAGTTCTGCTTTGTCTGTGGACCCTGGGAATTTCTATAGACCTGAGCCAGGGGCATGTCAGAGTTTGGAAAGAAGGAGTTCTTAGAAATAGATAGAAAGTGTGGAAGTGACACATTTACCACCTCCTGGGTTTGAGGAAGGAAACTGGGCCTTCAGACTCTTGGTCTCAGATTTCCTTGAATGTAGCCTGAATAAGGCAGTGGGTTGTATTTCAAAGCCAAACTTGCAGTATTTAAAACCAGAGGGGGAAAGCGTGGGTTAATAAGTGCTATTTTGGAACCAACAAAGCATCTGAAAAATTAAAAAATAAAAAGGCAGCTGGGCGCAGTGGCTCACACGTGTAATCCCAGTGCTTTGGGAGGCTGGGGCGACAGGATCACTTGAGCCCAGGAGTTTGAGACAACATTGCAAGACTGGGCAACAAGCAAGACTCTGTCTCTACAAAAAATAAAAAAAATTAGTTGGGCATGGTGGTACATGCCTGTGGTCCCAGCTACTCCTAAGTTGACGAGGGAGAATTGCTTGAGGCCAGGAGTTCAAGGCTGCAGTGAGCTATGATCACACCACTGCACTCTAGCCTGGGTGACAGAGCAAGACCCTGTCTCTAAAATAATAATCGTAATACATTTTTTTTAAAGTAAAACAAAAAAAGGTCACACTTTCTCATACCAAAATAAATTCCAAATAAATTAAAGGCTTAAACATGAGAAAGTTAAACCATAAAATTACTAGAAGAAAATAAAAGCAAATATTTAGATAATCCTGGGGATAAATTTCTTTGGAATGAATTTCCTTAAGATGAATCTCTAAAAGTGAAATTCAGGGTTCAAAGGTCTTTTCTTTGTCCTTTTCTTTTCCCTTTCCCTCTCCCTTTTTCTTTCTTTCTCTTTCTTTCTTTCTTTCTTTCTTTCTTTCTTTCTTTTTCTTTCTTCCTTCCTTCCTTCCTTCCTTCCTTCCTTCCTTCCTTCCTTCCTTTCCTGCTTGCTTGCTTGCTTTCTTTCCTTCCTTCCTTCTTTCTCTCCCTTTCTTTCTCTTTCTTTCTTTCTTTCTTTCTTTCTTTCTTTCTTTCTTTCTTCTTTCTTTCTTCTCTTTCCTTCCTTCCATCTTTCTTTCTTTCTTTCTTTCTTTTCTTTCTCTCTTTCTCTCTCTCTCTCTTTCTTTTTTTTTCTGGTGAGACAGGGTCTCATTCTGTCACCCAGACTGGAGAACAGTCGCATGAACATGGCTCACAGCAGCCTTGACCTCCGAGGCTCAAGCGATCTTCCTGCCTCAGTCTCTCAAGTAGTTGGGACCACAGGCACATGCCACCATGCCCAGCTAACTTTTCTTATTTTTCATAGAGACGAGGTCTTACTGTGTTACCCCAGGCTGGTCTCAAACTTTTGGGCTCAAGCAATCCTCCCACCTTGGCCTTCCAAAGTGTTGGCATTACAGGTGTGAGCCACTGCACTCAGGCCAAAGTTCTCTTCAGTTGTAAGGTTTTTGGTACTCTATTGCCAAATTGTCCTCCAAAAAGGTTATGTCTTTTTACCCTCCTGCCAACATTATATAAAAGTGTCCACTTTTGTAGACTTTTACCAATGCTGACTACTTTTGGTTTCAAAAAAGCTTTCAGTAATTTTCTATTAATTACTTTTACCCTTTTTTATTGAGGGTGTTCAACTTTTTATTGTTAGCATATTCTCTCTGGGCTCCATTGGACGCCTTGGCAGCTTTTTGGTAGTAGGTGCCTTTAGAAAAGTCCTTCTCGTCTGGCCCTTTCTAAGCAAATCTAGTGAACAGAATTGGCTCTATGCTCAGCATTGCTTAATACGGTTGATCCAGGGCCTAGGACTCATTCCTTCATTACCATCCACTTGCATTGTCTTAAAGCAAGGCTCTATTAATTTAATTTGGCATTTCCTGTCCCAGCTCTTTAGTTTCATTAAACAAAGGCTTTAGAAAACTCCCAGTAGATGCCTATGTTGCTTCCTTTTAAAAAATTTTGGAGCTGTTTCCCTAGCCTAACCTTTTCTTCAGGGCAGGAGTTAAGTCCCTTCTACTGCATTCCTGTGAAGATGGTGATTCAAGAGGCAGGGCACCTGTTGCTTTGTGAAACAGTCCACTCTGCAGCTGGGCAGCTCTGTTACTAGAATGTTCTCCCTTCTGGGGAGCCAATATTTTGATGTCCTCTGTGAGTCTCATCTGCTTATCCCATCTGTTTATGTCCTTGAAGATGCACAGGTCTGACACCACGAGGTAGCCCTTAGAAATTTGATGGCATTTCTGATGTGTCCCCAACTCTTCTCCAACCACTCCTCCCAGAGCTTGTTTCTTAAGCCCCTTGTGGAGCTGATTGCTTTCCTCAAGGCAGCTCAGTTTTTCCCAGTTTGCTCCTGGTGGTCCTGAAATATGATTGACTCCTGAATACTCCAGGTGTGAAGGAGAGTGGGGGTGGCCTTTCTACTTGTCATGGCCTGGGTTTTAAGTTGCTGTCCAGTGGAGCAGAGGTGACTTTCCCAGTGAACTACATTTTTTCCCCTCTAAATCCTTAGCAATTTTGTCTCCAGAGGCAAGACCTGGCCAAACCATTTGTGTTGAGGATTGAATCAAGAATGATTGAGGAGATGACAGTAGTCCCCCCTCATCTGAGGAGGGCATGTTCCAAGCCCCTCAGTGAATGCCTGAAACTGTGGATAGTACCCAACTCTATATGTCTATGATTTTCCTATAAATTAATACATGCCTGTGACAATGTTTAATTTATAAATTAGGCAAAGAGGCCAGGCGCAGTGGCTCAAGCCTGTAATCCCAGCACTTTAGGAGGCTGAGGCCTCACCTGAGGTCAGGAGTTCGAGACCAGCCTGACCAACATGGAGAAACCCCGCCTCTACTAAAAATACAAAATTAGCTGGGCATGGTGGCAGGCGCCTGTAATCCCAGCTACTCGGGAGGCTGAGGCAGGAGAATCACTTGAACCCGGGAGGCGGGATTTGCGGTGAGCTGAGATCGTCTCATTGCACTACAGCCTGGGCAACAAGAGTGAAACTCCGACTCAAAAAAAAAAAAAAATTAGGCAAAGAAAGAAATTAACAACAATAAGTAATGAAATAGAACAATTCTAACAATATACTATAATAAAAGTTGTATGAATGTGGTCTCTTTCTCAAAATTACCTTTTTTTTTTGAGACAGGGTCTCACTTTATTGCCCAGGCTGGAGTGCAGTGGCACGATCACAGCTTACTGCTGCCTCGACCTCCTGGGACCAAGTGATCCTCCCACTTTAGCCTCCTGAGTAGCTGGGACCACAGGCATGCACCACTGTATCTGGATAATTTTGTTTATTTTTTTTTGCAGAGAGAGGAGGTCTCACTATGTTTCCCAGGCTGGTTTTGAATGCCTGGGCCCAAGGGATCCTCCTGCCTTGGCCTCCCAAAGTATTGGGATTACAAGCGTGAGCCACCATGCCTGCCCCAAAATTATCTTATTGTTCTATACCCACTCTTCTTCTTGTGATGATGTGAGGTGATCCATTGCCTCCTTGATGAGATGAAGTGAGGTGACTGATGTGGGCATAGTGATGCAGTGTTTAGGCTGATATTGGCCTGATGATATGTCAGAAGGAGGGTCATCTGCTTCGGTGATCCTGGATCATAGAGTCATGATGATGTCAATGGTTGGATGTCAGGAGCAGACGATGTCAATGACTAACGATAAGCTGGACAGGTGGGATGGTGGCACAAGATTTTATCACGCTACTCAGAATGGAGCACAATTTAAAACTTCTGAATTGTTTATTTTTGGAATTTTTCATTAATATTTTTGGATTGCAGTTGACTGTGGGTAACTGAAACTGTGGAATGTGAGACTGTGGAAAAGTGAGGGAGTACTGTATTATGGAACTGTAACTCTATTCGGTAGGGGAACAGAATTCACATTTGTGGGGCCCAGGTCTCTGCATCTGTAGGGATCCAGTTGTTTCATTTCTCGTTGTAGCAAGAACTTGGCTTTGGAATCAGACAGATTGATGTTTTCTATCATTCTAAATGGGTGCAGCTACACTTTCCTCAGGAGGTAGTTCTGAAAATTTAACAAAATGTGAATTTCTTGGTAAAAAAAAAAAACCTCAAAAATATTCAGTTTCCTTTCCTTTGTGTCTGATGTACTCCATCAAATACTTGGAAATATGTTTCTCTCATAGAAATGTCATTGATCTTTGTAATTCTGATTATCCACAAACCTTGGGGATTAGCTGTTTCAATGTTCCTATTTTACAGATAAGAAAATGGAGCCTGTGGTAAGTTAAGTGAGTTACTCATGGCTACTTAACTAATATTTTACTAGGTGATAGGCCAGAGCTAGAGCCCAGGTCACCTTCTTATCAATGCTCTGCCTTGTCTCTGTGCCTTCCTGTCTGTCTGTATGTGTATGTGCCTGTTGACAGTAAGGCATAGTTTAACCCAGTAGAACTACCGGTTTGTAATGAATTCCACTTGTAAATGACTGACCATTCAAGGAACAAGTGTTTTTTCTATGCTTGACACCTGTTTTGGATGCCAAAAAGGATACAAATGTAACTTCAGACACTCTGGGCCTCATTTTGCACTCATTAGCATGTCCAAAATTAAAAAGACTGACCACACCAAATATTGGTGAGGATGTGGAAGAACGGGAACTTTCATACACTGCTGGTGGGGATGTAAAATGGTACAATCCCTTTGGGTAACAGTTTGACGGTTTCTTAAAAAGTTAGACATATATATTTACCATATGACTCAGCCCTTCCACTTCTAGGTCTTTACCCAAGAGAAATGAAATGCTGTGCTTTTACAAATGTCTATACAGGAATGTACATAGCAACCTTATTTGTCATTGCAAAAAACAGAGACAATTCAACGTTGTCAAGAGTGAATGGATGAGCAAGCTGTGGTCTGTCTATGCAATGGTATCCTACTCAGCAAGACAAAGAGATGGGCTAAGGATACGCACAGCCATAAGCATGAATCTTGACATAATTGGGCTGAAAGAAGCCATACATGAAGGAGTATATACTCTGTCATTTTATTTATGTAAAATTCTAGAAAATGTAAATGAGCCTATGGAGACAGAATGCATCAGTAGTTGTCTGATGTTAGGGGGCAGGGAGTTGGGAGAGAGGGGTTACCAAGGGGCGTGAGGAAATTGGGAGTGATGGATATGTTCATTATTTTGACTGTAGTGATAGTTTCACTGGTGTGTACATTTGTCAAAATTATCAAATTGCATACTTTACATTTGTGTAGTTTTTTCAATGTTAGCCGTACCTCAATAAAGCTGTTAAAAGACTATACTGGCTGGGTGCAGTGTCTCATGCCTGTAATTCCAACACTTTGGGAGGCTGAGGCCAGAGGATCACTTGAGCCCAGGAGTTCGAGACTAGCCTGGGCAATACAGAGAGACCCAGTCTCTACCGAAAAAAAAAAAAAAAAAAAAAAAAAAAAAAAAAAGCCAGGCCTGGTAGCATGCAACTGCTGTCCCAGCCACTTGAGAGGCTGAGGCAGGAGGGTCACTTGAGCCTGGGAGGTGAAGACTGTACTGAACCATGATCACACCAGTGCACTCTAGGCTGGGCGACAGAGTGAGACCCTGTCTTTAAAAAAAAAATAAGAGAGACTCTCTGGACCTCATGGTTGTGCGGATGTAAAGGAATTGTAGTAACAGTAATTCCAATTTCCCTAGTTCCTGTTCTCTTCTGACCAAGAACTTGGAGCTGCCAGCTAGTCTCAGCCTGGTGTATCTCGGAGTCCTCAGAGGCCATCTTACATGAAAATCGGTCTTGCAGCTACAGTCCCCCAGGCACTGTTCCTGTTATTGCTGAGAGCTCATTGCCTGTGAAGCTTCATGATGGCCCAGCACTCGCCCTGCTGCTGCTGACCAGGGGAGAATGCGGGTGTCCACTGTGGAGGCCTCTCTCCTCTGAGGACCCATGTGTGTGTTTTAAGGCCTGTGGCCATTCTGCATTCGGGTAGGAAAGAGGGCATCTCCCTGGTACTCACTGTGTCTTGGGCACTTTTTTACACTCACATCTCACAGTGAAAATAACGCCTCCAAGCCTCTTTCTCTGTGACCTCCCATGGCTGAGCAGAGACAGCTGCTAAAGAAACGTACTGTGCTGTTTTCTCACGCCCCATTCCTCCGCGTGTTCTCCCCGCCCTTGCATACAGATCAGTTCATACTCATACATGACTTCCTGCTGCTTGCCCTGTCAGACCACCTGACATGTCTGGACGAGTCTATCCTAGCATGGGCACGAGGCCTCAGCTGGGCATTCCCTCCCCACCGTGGGGCCAGGTCTTCATGGCAGCTTCCCCGGCAAGTACCACGTACAAAAGACTTTTCCATTTCCCAGTGCCTCTTCTTGGGCTCCAACTTAGAGGTGGAAGAGCCAGAAGGAGGGGAAAGAGGTGAAGAAAGAGTGAAGGATGGACCTGCTGCCCTTCCCCGGAGCTGTGGGTCGGGCTGAAAATTGAATGGGCTGTGGGGTTGATGTTTTTCTTTTTTTCTCATCCCCCAACCTCAATTCTCATCATGACATTTTCCAAACATACAAGTTAAAAATGAGCATAATGAATATCTGCAAACTCAACTTCCAGAGGTTTTAATTTTTTTTTTTTTTTTTTTTTTGAGATGGAGTTTCACTCTTGTTGCCCAGGCTGGAGTGCAATGGTGTGATCTCGGCTCACTGCAACCTCTGCCTCCCGGGTTCAAGCAATTCTCCTGCCTCAGCCTCCCGAGTAGCTGGGATTACAGGCATGCACAACGCCCAGCTAATTTTGTATTTTTAGTAGAGACGGGGTTTCTCCGTGTTGGTCAGGCTGGTCTCGAACTCCCAACCTCAGGTGATCTGCCTGCCTCAGCCTCCCAAAGTTTTAATTTTCGAATATAAGTTTTGAGTGGACTAACCTGGAATGAGTTTTAATTACTAAAATGAGACTTTTATCTTCTTTTTCAAAAATCCAGTTAAAAAATAATAGTATTATTATTTTGTGTTTTTTAAAAAAGATCCAAGTTCTACATGTAAACAGTCAAATGGTTTTACAAAATTTGTTGCAAAAAATAATCAGATTCTTGCCCTCTTCCCCCATCTCTCGCTTCCTATCTGGTGTTTAGTGCTTGTTTCTTAATGACCGCTTTTACTGTTACTTCTTGAATTTTGAGTTTTACGTATTAACAATTATCTTTAGAAAATGAGGATTTAGGTTCTTTGTCCTGCCCTAGTCTATACCACACACATCCACATTTCCTACCTCTTGATCTTCCTAATGCAATTATATCTTCATTTTCTTAGACTAGTAATGAGTGCTTGTATCATTATGAATATGTGCTATTCAGAAGTGAACCATTAGTAAACTAGGTATTTTTCTTTGTTTTTTTTCCCCCTTATTTGCATAGTTTCCTATGTACTTATCATGAAGGCTGGATATAGTTTATATTGGTGGTCTTCTTTAAGAAAACAAATATAAAATTGTAAACACAAAATTAGGTATAGGGTCTTGGAAAGGACTCTTGCAGATTAAGTGTTCTGAAATTTAAATTTGATTAACTTTACAGTAAATCCACCTCTGATTATCATTAATTTCACTTTAAACTTTTCACGAATTATTTAAATCTCCTCTTAAGACATTCAGATGTATTAGGCAGTTTCTTTTTATCTTAGGAAAAAAAAATTCCTAGCGCTCTCTGACCTGCTCCAAGTTGGACTGGTGGCTCCTTGTTGCTGTGCCTGCTTTCATCCTGGGATCTCCCTTCACCATCAGGATTGCCTTCACCTCATTCCAGTCTTGGATCTTTCTTCTTGTTTCTTGAGTATTTTTTTTTTTTTTTTGCTGCATTCCCTTCAGTGGCCTCTTGGGAAAAGATGTGTAGGGAGAAAAATTTTCTTTAGAAACTTGCATATCTGACAATATATTTATCCTATCCTGACATTTGGTAGATAGTTCAGCTGGGTACAGAATTCTAATTAATTTTCCTTCCTGATTTATAAGACATTGCTCCATTTTCTTCTGGCTTCCAATATTGCTGCTGAGAAGTCTGACACCATTCAAATGCCTGATTTTTTCCATGTGATTGTTGTTTTCTGTCTGGAGTGTTGTAGGATTGCCTCTTTATCTACAGTGTTCTGAAATTTCATGACGTAGGTCTTTCTTCATTCATTATGGTAGACACTCAGTGGGCCATTTAATCGGGAAAAACATGTGTTCTTCAAGTTCTACAAACTTTATTACTTCCTTTTTCTTGTGTCTTTCTCTGGTCTGTTTTCAGCCCCGAGTCTCTTAGATCTGTCCTCTAATATTCCTATTGACTTTACTTCATTTTCTAAGTCTTTATCCTTTTGCTTTACTTTCCGAGAGACCTGCTTAACCTTATCTCCCAACTCTTTTATTGAATTTCATTTCTTTTACTATATATTTTTTACTTTGAATACACCTCTCTCTTCCTCACATTTTCCCCCATAGTATTTTGTCTTCAATTGACAGTTCTACTATCTTATTACTCTGGAGATATTAATAATAGTTTTTAAATTTTTATTTATTTTTATTTTCAAAACAGTGTCTTACTCTGTCACTCAGGCTGGAGTGCAGTGGTGTGATCATGGATCACTGCAGCCTTGATCTCTGAGCTCAAGCTATCCTCCTGCTTCAGCCTCCCAAGTAGCTGGAACCACAGGCATGTGTCACCATACCCAGCTAATTTTTTTGTTTTTGAGGTGGAGTCTCACTCTGTAGCCCGGTCTGGAGTGCAGTGGTGCAATCTGGGCTCACAGCAACCTCTGCCTCCTGGGTCCTGGTTCAAGCAATTCTCCTGCCTCAGCCTCCTGAGTAGCTGGGATTACAGAAACACACTACCATGCCCAGCTAATTTTTGTATTTTTGTAGAGACAGGGTTTCACCATGTTGGCCAGGCTGGTCTTGAACTCCTGACCTTGTGATCTGCCCACCTTGGCCTCCCAAAGTGCTGGGATTACAGGCGTGAGCCACTGCACCCGGCCACTAATTTTTAAATTGTTAATAAAGACGAGGTCTTGCTATGTTGCCCAGTATGGTCTTGAACTCCTGGGCTTAAGTAATCCTCCTGCCTCAGCCTCCCAAAGTGTTGGGATTACAGGTGTGAGCCACTGAATCTGACATTTTTTAAAAGTTTTCTTCTCTTTACCAAGTCTTTTTTCCCCTTTCTGCTTTTTTGGGTTGTTTTATTTTGATCTCTATCTTGCTAGAAACTTTCTGCAGACGTTTAGTAATACTAGATTTTTGAGAGTGGGCAACTGGAAAGCTGATTGGAAACTCTGAATACATGGGTGAGGCTTGTTGGCTGTGAGTGTCATTGCTTGATGTCCTGGCAAGGCCAATGGGTTTGGGACCCCTACTATTAGTATAGGCCTGATTCCCTGGGAAAGGCTCTTTTGATCTCCTGCCTGGAGGATAAAGGCCTGGCTACCAGCCTTCTGTGTGTAATGTGAGGGAGAAGGGCTGGAGTATTCAACATCATGCTGAATCCTTTCAATGATCATCTTGTTTTTAGTAATCTCCTACCTTAACTCTCTGTCTTCTGCTAGTATGGGAAAGATGACCTGAAAATCTAACCATTTATTTTTCCCCCATTAATATCATTTTATGATTATTCAGAAGTTAAATAATTGTCATGCTGTCCTCCAAAAAGACTGAATCAACTAGCAACAAATAAGAATTTTCTCACAGCTCTGCCAGCATTTTAAAAGAATAGCTTTATTGAGCCCAGGAGGTCAAGGCTGCAGTGAGCTGTGATTACACCACTCTACCCCAGCCTGGGTGACAGAGCAAAACCCTGTCTCAAAAAAGAAATTTAAGGAACAGCTTTATTGTTGTAAAATAGACATACAATAAACAGAGCACATATTTAAATTGTGCAACTTATACTTTGATATAACCCTGTGAAAACATCACCACAATCAAGATAGTGAATATATTTATCACCTCCTGATACAGTTTAGCTCTGTGTCCCCACCTAAGTCTCATGTTGAATTGTAATCCCCAATGCTGGGGGAGGGGCTTTGTGGGAGGTGATTGAATTGTGGGGGTGCACTTCCCCCTTGCTGTTCTTGAGATAGTGAATGAGCTCTCATGAGCTCCCCTTCACTCACTCTCTTTCCTGCTGCCATGTGAGGATGTGCTTGCCTCTTCTTTGCCCTTCTGCCATGATGTGTTTCCTGAGTCCTCCCTAACCATGCCTCCTGTACAGCTTGCAGAACTGTGAGTCAGTTAAATCTCTTTTCTTCATAAATTACCCAGTCTCAGGTGGCTCTTTATAGCAGTGTGACAAGGAACTAATATACCTCCTAAGTTACCTCAAGCTTCTTCTTAATTCCTTCTCCTCCCTTCCTTCATTGCCAAGCAAACAACCACCTGTTTTCTGTCACTATAGATTAGTTTACATTTTGTGGGTTTTTTTTTTTTTTGAGACAAGGTCTCACTCTGTTGCCCAGGATGGAGTGCAGTGGTGCGATCATAGCTCATTGCAGCCTTGAACTCCTAGTTTCAAGTGGTCCTCCCACTTCAGCCTCCTGAGTACCTGGGACTACAGGGGTACACCACCACAACTGGCTTAAAAAATTTTTTAAATAAAAATGGGGTCTTGTTATGTTTCTCAGGCTGGTCTCGAACTCCTCGCCTCAAGCAGCCCTCCCTCCTTGGCCTCCCAAATTGTTGGGATTACAGGCATGAGTCATGACTCCTGGCCTAGTTTACATTTTCTAGAGTTTTGTATAAATGGAAACATACAGAATGTATTTTTTTGCGGAGTGGGGGAGTGTTTCTATTTCTTTCTTTCTTTTTTCTTTTTTTTTTTTTTTTGAGACGGAGTCTCGCTCTGTCTGTTGCCCAGGCTGGAGTGCAGTGGTGCGATCTCGGCTCACCGCAAGCTCCACCTCCCGGGTTCAAGCAATTCTCCTGCCTCAGCCTCCTGAGTAGCTGGGACTACAGGCGCCCGCCACCACACCTGGCTAATTTTTTTTGTATTTTTGGTAGAGACGGGGTTTCACCATGTTAGCCAGGATGGTCTCGATCTCCTGACCTCGTGATCTGCCCGCTTCGGCCTCCCTAAGTGCTGGGATTACAGGCGTGAGCCACCGTGCCCGGCCCAAGTGTTTCTATTTCTTAACCAGCTTTCATGCAATCTTTTTTTATTTTACCATCTCTGTGATCCCACTCCCAAAGGTACTAGATGTCGATTGGTCCTTAGGATCAGCTACCATTTGCCCAACTGCTTTCCAGCCTTCCAAAAATTTTTTTCTTTTTTTCTTAAAGATACTCCTGTGTGAGGCTCAGAACTCTTGAATTGCTACTGCAAATATGAACTCGGTGATGTGAATGCCAGGGAATTGCCTGATTGATCAAAGAAATGTATCCCCTTCTCCCTCACTCTTGCTGTCTTCTCATTTGTTTTCCCCATCCTTGTGGATTCGTGAATTTAAATATCCCTTTAATGTTATAATATTTTAATGGCGTTTGGCGAAAAGTACAGAATTAGGTGCAAGAGTGCATAGCTGTTATTTTTTTTTTTGGCCTCTGAGACTGTTCATATATGCAAGTTATTTAACAGAAAGTTCTGCAGTGACCTGAGATGTCAGGGGGGTCTGATAGAGTACGTTTGAAGGCAGTTACTGGAAAAAAATAATGCCATTTCTGGTTTGTACTTCGGTAAGTTCAGATGACCCAATATATTGTTTACATGTGGCATTCAGTAAAAAAGTAGCTTCCCCTCCCTTTCTTCTTCCTTTTCTCCTTTCCTGCTTCTATAAAGCATCTGCTTTGGGAAACTTCTTAGGAGGAGAGCTTGCCAGCCCGTGGGTAATGGAGAGGTCTTGCAGAGATAAAAGAGATGCTCCCACTCAATGCAGGATGGTGTGGAGGTAAATGGGGATATGTCTGGCATCACTCAGGAATGGGCCTTCCTGGCAGGGAAGAGAAGGGAGGGGAAAGAGGAAGGGAGTCAAAGATGAATTGCTGAATACGGGGATTCCAGGGCCTGGAGCCAGGAAGAGAACTTTGGGAGGTGTGAACCTGGAGGGCATCAGCTGATGAGGAGCAGCCTGAAGTCCGGGGAGGACCTGTTTTTGGTGGCCAGGAAGAAAGTGCCTTCCACACACAGGGAGGCCACAAGGCTGATGGGCTGGGGGTTGGAAGGACAGCCCTAGGACAGGCTTGGGAAGCAGGCTCAGGTAGGGACTGTGAGGTTCTTGTTGAGTCTTTTTCATTCCTGGTCTTAGAAAATAGAATCCAAGGCCTCTTGAGAGTGGAAGGTGGGTTGGGAGGAGGGCAGATGGGGCTTAGGCCCAGGACACCCGTAGAGCTACTGCCCAGCTGTCTCTCAGGGACTCTGCTGAGGTCACTCCAAGGATCATTCTTAGCCTTGCTAGACAGTACTGACAGAGGGAACCGTAGTATCGCACCCACTTCCTTCTCTTTCAATGAAAGTTTAAAGGTCACCATTTCCTCTGGCAAAGGAAGTTCCACAAATATTCCATTTCCGGTCTTAGAAACAGCAAGGTATCAAGCAATTGCAAACTTCCTGTGCTGGGGAATTCCCAAGGAAGTAGGGGCAGAGTTCTGGTGGAGACAAAGTGAATTCCGAGTGATTAGTCAGTAGCAGTAGCAGTAGCAGTAGCAGTAGCAGTAGCAGTAGCAGTAGCAGCAGCAGAACCAGAATTTCCCCGCACGTGTCTCAGGCTCTCATTTGCCAACTCAGTCTCTAAGTATTTTTATTGGCAGGAAAAATAAAATAGCTATGAGTGAAATAATTCATTAGACCTGAGCCTCCATCAATTTTGTGTTTAAAGGCCTGACTCTCTTTACCTTTCCCTGGGATGGAAGATGCAAATGTTCCTGATGTCACTGTCAAAAAAGAAGAACCAGTGGGTATATTGTATGCTTGAGTTCCAGCCATTTGTCACAATAGATAGAGATGACTGCCATGTGTGTAGACTTTCTATAGACTGTGTGCTAAACCCGACCTGCCACTTCCAAGGAGTAGATGAGGAATGTCCATGGTTCTGGGGAGCCCTACCCCAATTTGGGGCAGACATTCCAAAGCTCATTTTCTGTGGAGGGGGTTGATGGTTAAAGGACGGCCTGGGAGTAACTCGTCTGTACTAGGGCCCAGGAGAGTTACATGCTGCTTCCCATGTTATTCATCATTCCCCCATGTGAATAGCTATGGCGTGAGGTCCAAGGTTAGGGCCTTTCTACCATAAATGGGGGAATAAAATTCCCCTACCAGCCTGAGAAGTTTCTGTTATAAAGAGGCCTTTTTTTTTGCGGGGGTGGGGGAGCAAGCCGACTAATGTGTTATTTCCATACGGTTTGTTTTAAAATGTAGACGTCATATGCAGGAGAGGTGGTGTAGTGAGTCACAACGGGATTAGAAGGACCAGTCCGAAAAGCAGAAGAGGGTCAAGTTCAGGGCACGGAGGACTACTGCATTCAGTGGCGTGAAAGGCAGATGGCTGAACAGGAGGGGGACATTACATTGCTTGTTCTCCTTGAGCCTCGATTTCCTCATCTAAAAAGAGGGTCATTTATTCACAGAACATTTATTAAACTTGTGCCAGGCACCGTGCCAGGAGCTGGACTAAAAATTAAATCCACCCCTGTGAGCTGCTCTGAAGGCTAAAATATGAAGTATGTAAAAGTAACCAAGTGCTGTACACATGCAGCTATTCAATGACTGTGTGGGCATTGCGGCAGATTTTAATTTTCTTTTTTATTTCTTTCTCTTTAGTGAGAGGTGTTGGTTGTTATTATTGTCGTCGCTGTAACTGTCTATTTCACTTGCTTTTTTGTTGCCTCCAGCCCATTCCAGGGCTGTCATCTAGGACACTTCTTATCACCTAAATAACCGGGGAGGCAAAGCGCTTTCTTAAGAGATGGATCCAGAAGAACAATGCTGGTTTTCTGTACAAAAAGGGGCTGTGGGAAGTAGAGATAAGAAGGGAATTGGCCAAGATGAATGTACAGAGCCTTATTTTTTTTATAACACAGCAAGATTAGATACAAAACAGGACAATAGCATCATCTGTTTTTATAACTGGAAAGGACCTCACTTTACAGGTGGGGAAGAATAGAGTGGAGAAGTGAAGAGAATGGTCACAGAGTCAATCAGCATGTCTGCGTCAAAGCTGGGATTCCCGATTCAGGGCTCTTACTACAGTGACGTATGGCTAATATTTTGGCATTGTTTCGGGGAAAAGCTGAAGCCCTGATGGTGTACGTCACTCTTGAGATAGTCTGTAGTCCAGCAGGGAGGAAAGCAAGGAAGGGAGGTGGAGGCAGCATTTTTGGGTGTAACATTTCGTTCTTGTTTTGTGGCCAAATCATAGTGTGATTGGGACAAGCCACTGCCTTTCTCTGAGCCTCCACTTTCTTTTTCTTCTTAAGAGGGAGGGAATAGTAGAGTAAAAGTAGTCATTTTATCAAACACCTGCTATTTTGGAGCCATATTGCAAGTGGGTTGGGGGTTGAACAGTTGGCTTTATTACCCATAGGATTAAATCCAACCTCGATACTGTGGCATTCCCAAACTCCAGTCTAATCTTCTTCTCCATCAGCCATGCCCCACGACACCCTGGTCATATCTGATGTTGCCCCTTGCACTTGCCCCCTCCTTATCTTTGCTTTCTGACCTACCATATGGCTATTGGTTGAAATTCTCATTTTCCAGGGCCTTGCTTAAATATCATCTCATCCATTAAAACTTTCTTGAACCTCCCCTTGCCCTGTTCCTCCCTAATGTCTCAAGCCAGAATTTATTTCCTTTTGTGGCCAAGGGACTGGGTTTGTGACCTCTCTCACGAGACTTAATATTGAGACCAAACGTCTTTAGACCTCACCAGCCAGAGAGATGAGCATCTATGGAATGCAGGCTTTTGCCTGGACTTGCTGATGCAGGGCCTCTGCCTTCCTCCAGGGCCTCTCCTGCTGTTTTAGGAATTTCCCTCATGGCACAGTCCATGAGCTCAGGGTCAAGTTCATACATGTTTTTACTTCTTCTACTCTGCAAATGGTCTTCTTGAACTCTGAGGGTCCTAAAGCTGCTCTGCAGTTTGTGGGGTGAGTAGAAAGGGGCTTTCAAAAGTTGTGCTGTTGTTTCCCACCCCAATAGCATGAAACACAAAGATGCTTACAAATAGCTGCCTTGCTTTCTAGTCCCAACTTCTCTCTCCTGAGGCTTTAAAACAAGTCCCCTAGGTTGAGCTGGACTGGAGTTGTATCCTATCTTCATTATCTGTCTACTCTCTTTCTGCTCTCTAGAGAAGATATTATATATGTGTGTATGTATGTGTAAATATATAATATCCATATATAGAACATATATTGTTATATTTACATATACATACATAACATATGCATGTATTCATATATACATATGTAGTATCAAAGTTGGAATTAAACTGTATATTTTGTAATTTGCTTTTATTTGCATCTATCACTGTAAAATGAATATTTATCCATACCGTAAGATATTCTTCAATGTATTTTTTTTTTTTTTGAGACAGGGTCTTGCTTTGTTGCCCAGGCTGGAGTGCAATGACCCGATCTTGGGTCACTGCAGCCTTGACCTCCCCGGCTCAAGTGATCTTCCCACCTTAGCCCTCTGAGTAGCTGGGACTAGAGGTGTGTGCCTCCACACCCAGCTTTTTAATTTTTTTTGTATTTTTTTTTTAGAGACAGGGTTTTGCCACATTGCCCAAGCTGGTCTTGAGCTCCTGGGTCCAAGCAATCCTCCCACTTTGGCCTCCCAAAGTGCTAAGATTACAAGCATGAGCCACCACACCTGGCCTCAATGTAATTTTTAATGGCTGTATAGTATTCCATCATGTGGTTGTACCCAAAATTATTTAACCAGTCCCCAGTTTATTTCAATTTTTTTTTACTATTTTGAATAATGTTTTAGTAAATACCCACAAAATATGTACAATGGCTGGGCTTAGTGGCTCACCCCTGTAATCCCAACACTTTGGGAGTCTGAGGCAGGTGGGTCACCTGAGGTCAGGAGTTCGAGACCATCTTGGTTAACATGGTGAAACCCCGTCTCTACCAAAAATACAAAAATTAGCCGGGTGTGGTGGCACACACCTGTAATCGCAGCTACTTGGGAGGCTGAAGTAGGAAAATCACTTGAACCTAGGAGGCGGAGGTTGCAGTGAGCCGAGATCACACTACTGTACTCCAGCATGGGCAACAGTGAGACTCCATCTCAAAAAAAAAAAAAAAAAAAAAAAAGTACAATTTGTTGTACCTCCCTGATTATTTCTTTTAAGTAGAATTTTCTTATAATTTTTTTTATAAGTAAAATTTTGAATCAAGGGAGAAGCACCTGGAGTCCTTCAGATACCTATTGCCAAACTGAACTTTTCTGTTCCAGGTTTACTACATTCAGCCTGACTCAGGGTTTGGGGAGTAGAGGAGGGGGTGGAGGCAGAGGGCCTCTCCCTGTCCCCACAGACCTCCCTTGGTGAGGTCCAAGTCTGGACAGGTGGAGTGTGGCATTGCACCGTCAGGTCCTGCTTCCTGTAATTCCCCTAAATCCATCCAGTGGAGCCTCATTGTTCAAGTCTTTTTTTTTTTTTTTTTTTTAACTCCCCTGAAGACGGAGTCTCACTCTGTCGCCCAGGCTGGAGTGCAGTGGCACGATCTTGACTCATTTCAACCTCTGCCTCCCAGGTTCAAGTAATTCTCCTGCCTCAGCCTCCTGAGTAGCTGGCACTACAGGCGTGTACCATCACGCCCGGCTAATTTTTTTTTGTATTTTTAGTAGAGACGGGGTTTCACCATGTTGGCCAGGCTGGTCTCGAACTCCTAACCTTGTGATCTACCCGCCTCTGCCTCCCAAAGTGCTGGGCTTACAGGTGTGAGCCACCAGGCCTGGCCTCAAGTCTATTTTTTAACTCCAGGAGGCCTGGTATTCAGAGGGATTAGGGCTGGCAGAAGGGCCTCAAAGCTTTCAAGGCCTGGGGAATAGGCTGCAGCCTGGTTCAGGGTAACCCAAGTGATTTTGGTTCCAAAGGGACAGGAAAAAAAGTGATTGATATGGAAGTTGTCAAAGTGCAACTGTCAAGACATTAAAAAATGTAACCCTTTTACTAATATACAGTAGACTTGTGTTAAATATTTAACTGATTGTAAAAGGAAAAAACCAGACGCAGTTTTCCCTACCATACTGTCACAACACCTCAACACTGAGTTCTTCTGTGACCTCTAGTCACCGAAATGCTTGGGGATTTCTCCCACCACTAGTCCTCCAGCAGCCGACACCAGTTGGGTGTCCTAATTCACTCCAACACTATCTACCTGGAGTTAGCGTTAGATCCCACAGGTTGAGGGCTCAGTCTCACAAGACTGCCTCCCACTTCAGGTGCCAGTTACAAGTGGTAGGTTGTCACCTATGCTTCTGACTGATGGCTATAAATCTGGGTTTGCTTCCCTCGGGTTCCGTGAATTTGCTAGAGCAGCTCACAGAACTCAGGAAAACACTTAAGTTTACCAGTTTATTCTAAAAGATATTACAAAGGATACAGATGAACACCAGATGAAGAGATGCGCAGAGCAAAGCATGTGAGAAGGGGTGTGGAGCTTCCATGCCCCTCTGGGGCACCACCCTCCAGGAACCTTCATGTGTCCAGCTATCTGGGAGCCCTTCCAAACCCTGTCCTTTTTGGGTTTTTAAGAGTGGCTTTATTACGTACACATGATTGACCGAACCATTGGCCATTGGTGACTGACACAACCTTCAGCCCCTCCACTCCCTCCAGTGGTTGGGGAGTGGGGCTAACAGTCTCAAGTCTCCAATCCTGCCTTGGTCTTTCCTGTGACAAACCCCATCATGAAGCTACTGCATTGGGGCTGCCAGCCAGCAGTCATCTATTAGCATGCAAAAGACACTCTTATTATTCCAGAGATTCCAAGGGTTTTTAAAAGCTGTATGTCAGGAAACAGGAGATGAAGAACAAATATATATTTCACAACATCACACTCGTTGGGGGAATTGACAGGATAGCAAAACTGATTAAAGGAGGATAGGAGAGACTGAGATATATATTTCCATATATATATATAGAGAGAGAGAGATATTTCCATATATATATATATAGAGAGAGAGAGAGAGAGAGAGAGAGAGATGATGCAGATATACATATACATATAATCAGTGGAATAAAAAGTGCTGGAATGAGAAGCAAAGTTAGCTGCATGCAGTGGTTTGTGCCTGTAATCCCAGCTATGCAGTAGGCTAAGGTGGGAGAGTCACTTGAGGCCAGGAGTTCAAGACCAGCCTGGGCAACCTAGTGAGACCCTGTCTCAAATTTATTAAAAAATATATATTTTTAAAAGAAGCATAGTTATATACAAATTAGGGCAATAATATTAATTTGTTAAAAAATGAAGCAAAGTTACATACAAAACAGGACAATAATATAACAGTTGGGTTTATCTTTTCTACTGAACAGAAATAATTTTATATTCTGGTGAATAAAAATTACTTGCCACTCATCAATCTTCTGCAAGTTAACAAGTAACTCTACAGAGCCTTGTGTTCAATCAATGGTAAACAGCAAGTCAAACAAAAATACTTTCCTTTACAGAAGGGGTCAGCAAACTATGGCCCATGGGTCAGCTCTGGCCTCTTGCCTGTTTTTGTAATCAAGATTTACTGGAACACAGCCACACTCATTTGTCATGTGTTGTCTGTTGGCTGCTTTCATGTTGTAATGGTGGTTGAGTATTTGTGACAGAGACCTCATGCTCTTCACGCTGAAAAGATTTACTATCTGATCTTTTACAAAAAAAAATTTGTGGACTCCTGCCTGAGAGCATCAGATGCCCCTTGGGCAGGCAGCTTAGACACTAAAAAGGCACACCTACTCTCTTTGCCTTTTCCTCACATTTGGATAATTTTTAACACAGTGTTTTGGCCTTTTCCTTCTTATGTCTGCTGTCATAAGGGCAGTTCTGCCTTAGTCAGTCTAATTGTTTAGACTTTTGTGATGCTAAATCTGTAAAAATGCAGGGATCCAGCCTGGGTGCAGTGCCTCACACTTGTAATCCCAGCACTTTGGGAAGCCGAGGCAGGAGGATCACTTAAGCCCAGGGGTTCTAGACCAGCCTGGGCAACCTGGCAAGACCGTGTCTCTACAAAATAAAAGAAAAAAATTAGCTAGGCATGGTAGCACATACCTGAACTCCCAGCTACTGGGGAGGCTGAGGCAAGAGAATTACTTGAGCCCAGGAGGTTGAGGCTGCAGTGAGCCATGATCATGCCACTGCACTCCAGCATGGAAGACACAAGACCCTGTCTCAGGAAAACAAAAAACAAAAAACAACTAGGGATCTGGGACATGGAGTAGGGATTTTTTTTTTTTTTAATTTAAATCAGAGCAGCCTCCATTCCACAAAATTGAATAAAAGTTCGCTGGGGCAGGGATTTTAACAGGGAGTTTGGAAGAGAAAGGTGGAGACAGCAGTAAGGAAAATGGATATGAGAGAAAAAGAGAATATTAAGAAATGTTGCTTGGACAATGTACAATTTTCATGGAGTTTGTGGAAATAAGCAAAGGATCAGAATTATTTTAAATTGCTTTTTTTTTTTCTTTTTCGGAGCCAGAACGTGTGTGCATGTGTGAATGTGTGTGTAAGTGTGAGCGTGTGGTGGGTGGGTGGATGTTTTCCTGACTGGAACTCAGTGCTGAAACGGGCCTCACAGTTGCTCATCGTCAGGGATACAGAGGATCCAACAAGGATGAAGTACGCAAGGATTGTCAACCTGTGGGGGATGACTGGCCGCACAGCCCCATGAAGACCACCTGGGCAGCTCCTCTCTCAGGCCTTCTGACTTGAAGAATGGCCAGCTCCTGTGGGGTCAATACAAGAATAACTTATGTGCACAGAAAGAATATTTACAATTACTTGAGCTTAAATTTATGTAATTAAATTTATTATAATTATAAATTTAAAAACATAATTTTCTTTTTCTTTTTCTTTTTTTGAGACAGGGTCTCACTTTGTAGCCCCTGCTGGAATGCAGTAGTACAATCTCAGCTCTCACCGCAGCCTTGACCTCCTGGGCTCAGATGATCCTCCCACCTCAGCCTCCCGAGTAGCTGGGACCACAGCTGTGTGCTACCACACCTGACTAATTTTTTTTTTTTTTTTTGAGGCAGAGTCTTGCTGAGTCGCCCAGGCTGGAGTGCAGTGGGACTATCTCAGCTCACTGCAATCTCCGCCTCCCAGGTTCAAGTGATTCCCCTGCCTGAAGCCTCCCGAGTAGCTGGGATTGCAGGTGTCCGCCACCACACCCAGCTAATTTTTTTGTATTTTTAGTAGAGATGGGGTTTCATCGTGTTGACCAGGCTGGTCACGAACTCCTGACCTCAAGTGATCCTCCCGCCTTGGCCTCCCAAAGTGCTGGGATTACAGGCATGAGCCACTGCACCTGGCCTAATTTTTTTATTTTTAGTAAAGATGAGGTCTGTGTTGACCAGACTGGTCTTGAACTCCTGGGCTCAAGCAATCCTCCTGTCTTGGCCTCCCAAAGTGCTGGGATTACAGGTGTGAGCCACCCTGCCTGGCCCCTAAATTTTCTTCATGCTTTAAGTTCAACTTACAAATCTTACTATCCTATTTATAAGGCCTCTTTTTAATACAACAAAGAGAAAAGCCACTTTTCTTTGAATCAGTGTTCAGTTATGCCATTGCTTTACATCACCAACCTAAATCACAAACAGAGAGAGGCTCTCTAAAAGAAAATGATGTTTGTTTGGGAATAGAGCATTGCAACAGGAATATGCACTTCATAGTAAACTCTGTGCATATTCAGGGTAAGTAAAGAAGACAAAGGTTTTTACAGGAAGACAAAAGTTTTCAAAAGAAAAAAAATGAGCATTACATCACTGTTTTGAAATAGTTATGCTGGGCTACTAAGATCAATAACAAAGATATTGCCAGTCTGAGGTTGGACAGGCAGTTGCTGGGCACATGTCCTTTTAAAGTAGTATTTTTTGTGTAAGGTTGCAATGGCCTTTGTGCAAGGTTTTGTTTTTTGCAGAGTCTTTTTCATGATCAGGGATACAAGTGTGAGAACTCTTTCTTCATGGCCTTCCCTGGCTCCATTTATCAGGGTTTTCTTAACATTAGTGTCTCCATTTTGATTTTCACAACTTTAACACCATATTAAATCCTCCTAAATACTTAACTCTCTTTTCTAGCATAGTTAATTGAGTTCCCTTAAATATTTTAAACTACAAATTTGATATATCTGATTCTTTCAAACACTGCAAGTGCCTGCCAAGGCAGACTTAAAAATCTGATGAATAAAATCTTTCTAGCCATCTAAGCAATCCCTAAAACTCCAAAAAAAAAGAAAATTAAAAAAAAATGTAGTAAATCAGACTCAAAATTCACACACCTTTTACAAACTTAACCACATTGTTTTAGACATTTCAAATTAAAATAGAAGTCTAATGTCAATTACACATTTCAAATTGGAATTACAAGGTAATATTTTATATTCTTTAATGTGCAGAATTGTCTCAGACACATTAAATAACAAAGGCATTACCTGGAGGATTCTAAAACAACACTTATTTGTAAACTTAACACAAAAGCGTTGCTGCAATGGGTTTCCTTTAGGTCATCAGCTCTATGCCTTCCCCCTCCCCGCCCCCGGTGTTGTAAAGCCCTGAACTAAGGGGTGCAAATTGCAGTTAACCACTACAGGTGGTTCCTAGGTCAAAGGTTCTGACACTGAGGTTTCTGAGTCAAAGTTTCAAGTACTTGATATGGGCTGTTGGCTAGTGACTCTGAGACAGGATCATTGGTCTACACTAGCCACAGGGTAACACACTGAGTCATTCTCAGAGTTGGGATCAGGCTCCTAAGTCAGCGAGAGGTCCTAAGACTTTTTAGTTGTGAGTTGGTTTTGTAACCACGTCCCATGAATACCTTTTAAATGTCATGCTTACCTATTTTATCTTATCTGCTTTCAACTTTTTCCATCTGATTTATGTAGGTACAATTTTGCACCTCCTATCTGGTTTGTAGTTAATATCTTTTATTGCTTTATCCTACTCAACTAATTTTTTTAGTGCCTGTTTTTTTTTTTTTTAATGTGTGTTGATGACTACAATTCTAAACTCATTCTACTGATTCATGGGTGCTTTAAAATCTGAGCAGTCTTTCGCATTTACTGCCTGTGATGGCCCATCCCACCAGCTAAAGTGTGTGGCCACTGCTTACAGCACCATGTGATAACGAGTAAGGGAGAGATGCCGCCCAGACTCTTCTAGGAGCAGCCAGTAGGACCTTCCAGGGGTTGCAAGCAAACCACAGCAATATGTGGAGTGTGGCAGAGGATGGCCCCAAGAGGATGTGGCAGCGGCTAGTGCAGCTCAGCTTAGTCTGAGAGGAAATGCTGGAGAGGAGAGCCCAGTCTGTACAGGCATGACAGCCACAAGGACTTCAACAGCTAACATGGCTGAGTGGACTTTATGTGCTATCTCATTCAGAAAACAGGAGCAATCAGAAAGGAGTCACCTCCTATTTGTACCCCAGGAATTGCTAACCTACTTGCATCTGAATGATGTCCATCACTTCCCTTCATCACCTCCTCTGGGGGCTCTGCAAGGATTTGACTCCTGCATTAGTGATCTGTCTCACCTACGTTGTGATTCACATGAACTTACTAATGTGCTATGTGACAACTACCATCTTAAACACAAAAACCCTCTTTTGATTCTGTGGCTCCCTCCAGCTACCCCTGCATTTCTCTGTCCCCCTGCCCCGTCTCTGCACTCACTTTTATTTTACAGCAAAACTACTCAAGGGAGTCTCAGTGCTCCTTGGCTCCATGTCTCCACCTTTCATTCTCTCCTCAGTTCACTCCTGTCAGGCTTCCGTCCTCAAGCTCTTCTTCACTTTTGTTCTAGGGCCGCTGACATCCTCTTTCTTGCCAAATTCAGTGGCCAGGTCCTCACTTACTCAACTGCTCAGCATTGTTGGGCCTGGTGGACCACATTCTCCTTCACCCACCTTTTGCTGCTCTCTCTTCTCTCCAGATGTTTCTCTCTTCTCACTGGCTACTCCTCTTTTGTCTCCTTTGTTAGCTCCATTTCTTCCTTCCAACCTCACTGTGCTGGTGTGCCCAGTGCTCAGTTTTTAGCTATTCTCTCTTTTCCAGTGGCATTCATTAGATGGTATCATGTGACCCATGGCATTATATGCCTTCTACATGACAGTTACTCCTGAATATGAATCTCAGGAAAGATTTGCATTTATTTTTAATTAATTTTTTTAAATTTTATTTTAATAAATGAGGTCTCTCTCTGTCATCCAGGCTGGAGTGTAGTATTGAGTGATGTGATTATAGCTCACTGCAGCCTTGAACCATGGGCTCAAGTGATCCTCCTGCCTCAGCTTCCTGAGTACCTGGGACTACAGGCATGTGCCACCATGCCTGGATGACTTTTTGTGTGTGTGTGTGTGTGTGGAGACAGGGTCTTGCTCTATTGCCCAGGCTGATCACAAACTCCTGGCCTCAAGTGATCCTCTCACCTCAGCCTCCCAAAGTGCTGGGATTACAGGTGTGAGACCATCCTGGGCTAAGATTCAGATTTTGTATTCAATTGACTGTTTGACATCTTCACTTGGACACCTAAGAGGTATCTCAAATATTAATTAACTTGGCCAAAATACAGAACTTTTGACCCCTGCCCCCACAATACTTGCCCCTTCCCCAGACTTCTCCATTTCTGTTAAATATCCCCAGTTACTCAACCCTCAAACCTATGAATGCCCTTTGATTTCTTTCTTTCCCTCATCTCCTACGTTGACGCCATCAGCTAGTTCTGTTGCCTTTATGCCCAGAATATAATCCTCACCACCTTCTCTCCTATTGCCCGAGTCTAAGATGTCAGTCTCTCCTGCACAGTCCATTGCCCTGACCTCCTGAGTGGTCTGCTTCCACTTTTGACATTTCTACTCCTCCTTCCCCCAGGGTCAATTTTTCACAGCAAGAGTGGCATTTTTTTTTTTTTTTTTTTTGAGACGGAGTCTCGCTCTGTCGCCCAGGCCGGACTGCGGACTGCAGTGGCGCAATCTCGGCTCACTGCAAGCTCCGCCTCCCGGGTTCACGCCATTCTCCTGCCTCAGCCTCCCGAGTAGCTGGGACTACAGGCGCCCGCCACCGCGCCCGGCTAATTTTTTGTATTTTTAGTAGAGACGGGGTTTCACCTTGTTAGCCAGGATGGTCTCGATCTCCTGACCTCATGATCCACCCGCCTCGGCCTCCCAAAGTGCTGGGATTACAGGCGTGAGCCACCGCGCCCGGCCAAGAGTGGCATTTTTAAAACCATATATTAGATCATCGCTTTTGTGTTTGGGAACCTCCAAGGGCTTTGCATCATATATCAAGTTGACACCTCTCCTACCCAAGCCTGGCTCTTTCCTGCTCCTCTGTCCTCTCAGCCCCTCCACCCATTGTTCATGCTGCTTCAGCCACACTGGCCTTCTTGCCATGCCACATTTGTGCTAAGCCCACATCCAATCTCGGGGCCTTTGCACTCGCATTTCCTCTGCTTGGCATGCTGTACCCCAGATCTTTCATGATTGGCAGCTTCTGTACATTCAGCCACCTGCTCAAGCCACCCTTTCAGAGGGCCTTCCCTGGCCACCTCACCTGAAATAGCACCTCCGATTGCACCCATCCGGTTATTCTCCATCCTGTTCTCTTGCTTGGTGATTTTCCATCACTGATGAGGAAATGAACCATGGAATGCTAGGGCTGATGACCAGAACTTTCCCCCACCCCCACATTATTACAGAGGAGGAAATGAGGTCGGAGGTAAGATGGGCCCAGGATTTCTACTCCCGCCTGGACTGCAGGCACAGCACTGACCTCAGCTGTGCTCACTCTTGGCATTCACCCAACCCTTCTATCTCCAACTGCCCCATTTACCAGAAAGTGAAATGTTCTCAGAGACGGTGAGCCACCTGACTTGGACAGCAGCCCAGGGCCCCTGGCACCCTGCTTTCTTCCTCCCTGCCATCCTTTCCTCTCCAAGACCTACCTTTCCCTGTGATTCTTGCCCACATGCTGCATTTCATGGTTTTATGACCTGATTTCTGAGAGGGATTTGAATTTTCATGATTATTTATGTAAGCAAATCATTATGCTTATACAAATGAGAAAAGGAGTGCTTCTGGACTTCCCAGGGACAAAATCTTGTCACTTGGCTTGCTTTCATATTGCTAATTAAGGACCCAGGATGTGGGTGAGATGTGCTAAAAGCTGAGAGGAGGCTCTGGACTCTGACTATGGGCCCACACCCCTGGGCAGGCATCACACTAGTCCTTTAGGTCATCCTCAACCCAGCTTCCAGTTGAATCAGATGTTTGTGAATAACTCAGCAAGGCTGTATGGGAAATGAAGAATGAGGTGGGGAAGAGGCCTGTGCAGAAGACACACTGACTTACCCCTCTACCTCTAACTAGGGTGTTGTAGCAGCCACCCACCCACCAAGTCTGTCTTCCAGACCACGTATGCTTTCCTCCACCTTTGCATCTTTTATCTTCTGCCAGCCCAGATGCTTGCTGACTCCAGCCCAAGCCTATAGGATAAGCCACAGCCTGTCCCTACAGACTACGCATTGCAGAATCTAAGACATCAAGTCAAGTTCGGAAGCACTTGCCTTCTCCTCTCCAGGTACACAGGCTCTCCTGGAAAGCTGGTAGCAGCTGTGGAGGTGTGGTGTGTTACCTGCTGCAGGTGCAGAGAAGTTGACTTCACAGCCCTTCAGAAAGACTGCCTTCTTCCAGTTGTATTTGTGTACTTGCTTGGGTGTGGGGAGGATTCTCAGCTTTCTCCACTCAAATTATCAGACCCTTTCCATTTAGTGGTAGACCATTTCCCTCGTCCAGGCCAAGGGCACATAGTACAGAGAAATAGGGAGTTGTTACCCAGGGAGAGAACTTGGCTCTAAACCTGTAATAGAAAGGTCAGTTCTGGTCTGGAGGGTCAATTTTGATCTTTGGCTCAGATCCAGGAATTGGAACCAAGGCTTTTGAACATTTTAATGCAGGGGATTAAAAAAATGATACGAGTCATTCACGAATATATTTGCTTAACATCTAAAGAGATCCCTCAAAACACTAGAAAAAATAAGAACAAAAATCTAATAAAACAAAATTTGTTAAACACATTTACCAAATTTTTTTTTTTGGTAAAAATTCAAATGTCATAAATAAAGCTAAAGTTCCTCTTGATGACTCGCTCCTCTGCCCTATTCCACTCCAAGTAACCACTATTATCAGTCTTGCCAATACCCTTCCAGACCTCTCTACCTCTATATACCATTAGAAGCACATGGTTTTGCATTGAGGATGTGCAGTGTTTTGTTTTACGTAAATGTTATCACTCTGTTCTTGTTCCATAATTTGCCTTTTTCTCTCAATGATTTGCTTGGCTATCTTTCTATTTCAGTAGCATCTCCTTTCTTTTTAACTTACCATTGTTTATTTAACCTTGCCTCTATCAACAGATATGTAGGTTGTTTCTAGTTGATTTCATTAAGTATTTATAAACAACGCATCAGTAGATGTCCATAAATTTCTTTACGGAAGATGGCAAGTAGTGGAATTGCTGAGCCAAAGAACATGTTTAAAAAACCCAAAAAAACTAGACGCTACCAATTTTCTCTCCAAAATGGCCATACCCACTTACCCATACAGAGATGATTTGGAATCTGGCTTCCTCACAAGGTGAGATGCCTTCACAGTTTCATTCTTCCTGGCATGTCTTCCCTTTTGTATCTGAGAGAGCTGGCAGAATTGTGTCACTAAATCAAGGATAGAGGGTCAAATGACAGCTCAAGCTCACAGGCACCTCTGCTTTCTTCCCAGACCACCTGCTTTCCTGCCACCAGCTCTGTTCCATCTTATAGAATGGTTGCCACTTGGGTGTCTGCTCCGACAGCCATGTCATCCTTTGCACTGCAGTTATGAAGCAGACAGAGCTAGGAGAGGGGCTTTGCCAGCCTCTGCCCTAGCTTGGAGAACTTCAAAGAAGGAGGGTATTGAGAGTGAGCTGCCGAAGACTGGCAGCTCCCTCAACTCAACAGTTGTCCTTCCACAAGAAGTCAGATACATTTTTTTGGGATAAAATATTTAAAAATTATTATTTTATTTCTGAATAATATATTTACATGATTCAAAAATCAAACTGTAGGCCAGGCATGGCTGCTTATGCCTGTAATCCTAGCAATTTAGGAGGCCGAGGCGGGAGGATCACTTCAGCCCAGGAGTTCAAGACCAGCCTGGGTAACATAGTGAGACCCTGTATCTACAAAAATTTAAAAACAAAAATTAGTTGGGCATGGTGGCTGATATGGTTTGGCTCTGTGACCCAACTCAAACCTCATGTTGAATTTTAATCCTCAATGTTGAGGGAGGGTCCTGGTGGGAGGTGATTGGATCATGGGGGTGGGTTCTCCCTTGCTGTTCTCATGATAGTGAGTGAGTTCTCACAAGACCTGGTTATTTGAAAGTGTGTAGCACCTCCCCCTTCACTCTCTCACTCTCCTGCTCCGCCATAGTAAGACGTGTGTGTTTCCCCTTTGCCTTCCGCCATGATTGTAAGTTTCCTGAAGCCTCCCAGCTATGCTTCCTGTACAGCCTGTAGAACTGTGAATCAGTTAGACCTCTTTTCTTCATAAATTACCCAGTCTCAGGTCATTCTTTATAGCAGTGTGAGAGTGGATGAATATAGTGCCATATGTTTGTATTCCCAGCTACCCAGGAGGCTGAGGTAAGAGGATTGCTTGAGCCTGGGAGTTTAAGGCTGCAGTGAGCCATGACTGTACCACTGCTCTCCAGCCTGGGTGACAGCGAGACCTTGTCTCCAAAAAAAAAAAACCCAAACTGTGTAAAATGTGTTCATAAAAGTGTCTTGCTCCCACACCTGTCCCTATATATCTTATTCCTCAGCCTCTGACAACTACTTTATTCATTTCTTATGTATCTTCCAGAATCAAAAAAAAAAATCAAATACAAGCACAGTGGAATGTATTGCCCTTCTTCCCCTCCCTTTTGTTACATCAGAGTTAGCATATCATAAATACGGTCTGCATTTTCTTCTTTTTCAGCTATCAGCATGTTTTGGAGAGGATTTCATATTCGTGCAGACAGCATGTATTAGTCAGTCCTTGCATTGCTATAAGGAAATACCTGAGACTGCATAATTTATAAAGAAAAGAGGTTTAATTGGCTCACAGCTTCGCAGGCTGTTCCACAGGAAGCATGGCAGCATCTGCTTCTGGGGAGGCCTTAGGAAGCTTTTACTCATGCAGAAGACAAAGCGGGAGTGGATGTCTTATATGGCAGGAGCAGGACTGAGAGAGAGAGAGAGAGAGAGAAAGGATGCCACATACTTTTAAACAACCAGATCTTGTGGGAACTCTGTCACGAGAACAGCACCAAAGGGATAGTGCTAAACCATTCATAAGAACTCCACCCCCATGATCCAATCACCCCACACCAGGCCCCACCTCCAACATCGGGGATTACAATTTGACATGAGATTTGGGCTGGGACACAGAACCAAACAATACCAGAGTGCTTTCTCATTCTTTTCTATAGCTGCCTAGTATTCTATGTCCTTTACTTCATTTAGGCAGTCTCTTGTTGATAGACACTTGGGTTACTTCCAATTTTTCCTATTACAAATGATGTGCAATGAATAATTTTGATCATTTTCCATTTCACATGGGTTATGTCCATCTGTGGGATAAATCTCCAGGAGTGAAATTGCTGGATCAAAGGGGAAGTGCACTTGTGATTTTCATAGTTAGCAAATTTTGTTCTATAAGGGTCATATCAATTTATAGTCCCACGCGTAATATTTAACAGTGGGGATTTCCCGACAGTTTGACCAACAAGGTCTGTTGTTAAACTTTTGATTTTTGTCAATCTGATGGGAAAATACTAGTATCTCAAAGTGCTTTTAATTTGACTTTCTTATTACAATGTTAAGCATCATTTTACTCTGCCCAAGATCAAATAGTATTTTCTTTTCTGTGAACAGACTGTTAAGATCCCTTGCCTCTTGTTTTGCTGGATTTTTGTTCTTTTTTTTCAAATGTTTTGAGGCAGTTCTTTACATGTGAAACAAGTTATCTCTTTATCTGGGGTGTGAGTTACAACTACTTTTCCTCTGGCTTGTTTTGCGCTTTGACTTTGCTTCTGGTGATTCCCGCAATTCTGAAAGTGTACTTTTTGCATCATTCATTCTTATACACCCATGCTCTTGTTCACACTGGTTCCTCTACCTGAGGGCTTTTTCTTTTCTTTTCTATCTGGGAACATTTTTTAGAGACAGGGTCTCACTCTGTCACCCAGGCTGGAGTGCAATGGTGCGATCACAGCTCACTGCAGTCTTGAACTTCTGGGCTCAAGCAATCCTCCAGTGTCAGCTTCCCAAGTAGCTAGGACTACAGGTGCATGCCAGCATGCCTGGCTGATTGTTTTATTTATTTATTTATTTTTTGTAGAGATGGGAGTCTCACTATGTTGCCCAGGCTGGTCTTGAACTCCTGGGCTCAAGCGATCTTTCTGCCCCTGCCACCCAAAGTGCTGGGATTACAGGCGTAAGCCACCATGCCCAGCCCATGTGTGGAAATCTTCTGTTTATCCCTTTAGGCTTGATTCTTATGTCGTTCTCCTCCCTCCTTCCTGGCTACTCCTCTTGTTCTTTATCTTACTCTACTTGTCATGTTACCTTGTTTCTGCTTATAACTAGCTGCCTCTCCTATCTGAGGAGGGACTTGTGACTGTTCTCATCTCTGTACTCCCAGCTCCTAGTACATAGCGCTTGCTCAACAGATGTTTGGTGCATTGATAGATAAATCACTGGTAGCTGTTACTACCAGTCCTGACTCCCTGCAGTGCTTCAGCTGATCCTGTTCCAAATGTGCACTGAATATCCTTCTGTTGAACAACAGAAATAAAGGGGATGGGTGAGGAGGATAGTCTTCGGTGGCCAAGGATATTTCTAGGTACTTTGCAGCACTCAGCAATGAGGAGTGGGCTTTAGTCCCCCAAGAACTCTCACAGCCCTGTTTGTCTTTACTGTTCAGTGTCAAATCCAAGACAAGTCAATGATCAGGAAAGACCCTTTTTTTTTCTTCAGTGAAGTTTATTTCAGAACCATTGAACAGTATGATATTTGCTCATTTATAAATATTCCCATTTAAATAATCTGAGCTTATATATTTTCAGTCTTAATTAAAGGACTTGATTTAAAGAGAGCACACCAGTCCAAATTGAATTGATTCCATAGCTATTAAAAACTAGGCTCTTTTACAGACACTGCTACTTCTTGCCCCCTTTGAATAAATTAGACCAATGAATAAAACAAACAAACAAATAAATAAATAAATAGGGAAGCGGTTGCTCATCAGAATGTGGGAGCGAATGACAGAGGGTTTCTTAGAACCAAATGTGGCCGTGGTTTCTGTCAGGCGGGCTTTAAGTGAGTAGGAGAGGTGAGAGAGGCCTGGCTCAACAAAAGGGCTGGGGATTGGCCCTGAAAGGAGAGAGCTGACTGTCCTGGCTGATGGACAGGAGATCCTCTTAGCACTACCCTAAGGCAGGCAGTTGGGCATTGGTGTAGACAACAGGAAAGTCCAGGCTATAGCCGTACTCAAAAACCTTTCTGTTCCCTTTCTGCCAGCCCTAGGGATTGAGTCCACATTCAGCACAGGACTCTCTGGGTACAGCTCTCTTTAGGAAGACACAAATTGCATGGTGAAGTCAGTTATATCCTGGCCGCCTTTGGTCCCTCCCAGGAAGACGGGCATGTTTTCTGCTTGAGAGGTGCTGATGTACCAGTTGGGGAACTGGGCAGACTCAAATTCCAGCTTGTTATTGATTTCTATCTTGTTGAAGACAAATCGCTTTTCCATCTTCTTCTTTGGGTAATTTTTGGGATCTACACTCTGCAGCGAAAGAGAAAGAAGAATTTTTGTGGGGCAAGGGACAAAGATGCTATGGGAAAGATGTTCTTTGGGTTGGCCAGAAAGGAAACTGACGAGCAGGTCACATGATCAGGAGCCAGACTCCTGAGTTGTAACTGGGCCCCCAACTTTCCGTGTGATTATTAAAAGAGCCCTTCTTCTTTTCTAAAACTTAGTGCCAAATGCTGAGGAGCATAATGTAGGTGAGAATTTTTTTTTTTTGGGGGGGTGAAAATTAAGCTAGAGCTTCTTGAAGTACCTAGTTTCCAGGGGCTTTTTATTGTATTTTTCCTTATGGTCCTAGAATGACATCAACTTGGAAATGAAGCTTTTGCTGAGAAAGCTGGAGGTGATAGTGGTGGTAATTTTGGGAGTGGAGTGGACATGATAATGGGACCCTTTAAGTCATCTATTTCCCAAGGTGTCTATCAAATGAGAGCAGCCCTAACAATATATAATCTGTTGGGGTTGTAACTATGGTAGGACATAATAACATCGGCAAAATGATTTAATTTTCTGCAGCAGGATTGAAGGTTGCACGCAGTTAAAAATTATGTTAAATTTATTTACATTAATGCAAAATTGTCAAATAGACCTGTTCCCAGCTTTTCCTAGGGATGGGGGCGGGGAGAAGGTGGTTGTCTGGGAATAAGTGGTAGCAGGAGGCTGAGAAGGGCTTCATTCCATAGCATTCACTTACCTCCAGCTGTAGAGTGGGCTTATCATCTTTCAACACGCAGGACAGGTACAGATTCTTTTCCTTGAGGCCCAAGGCCACAGGTATTTTGTCATTACTTTCTTCTCCTTGTACAAAGGACATGGAGAACACCACTGAAGAAAGAAGGGGGTCTTGTGGTTAGGGACACAGCAGTGCAGGGTCACCCCAACCCCTAGGCCCCATGAGTAGGATACATGTAATTTGGTAGCCTCTGTGGGAACCCACAGTGAGGTTCCTTGGCCTAAGACACAGGATAACTTGACTTCTCACAGACAATAGCAGGGTCATTTTGTTGATTTAGGGTTTCCCCTCAAAGGCCTGAGGGTTTCTCAGAGCCTCATAGCAGTAGGAACGGAGAATGAAAGAGGGTCTACATTTTAAATGCTGAAGGAAGGAAGGAAGGAAGCCATTGTGTCACTGGCTGGCAATGTGCCCATCCACAGGAGCGGAACAACTTGATCAATGTGGAAGGAAAGGAAAGAGGTGAAGCTGTACTTCTGCCAGAAATCAGGCACCAGAACTGTTTCAGGAACAGAGAGTAGCCCATGGGAAGAAACTGGGAGAGGAGAGGCTGAGCTGGGAAAGTGGCTCCAAAGAGAGACACTCATTTTGATCTTCCTCAGTCACAGCAGTGTCAATTGGAGGCCCTGGGATCACTCTTACTACCCGATTCCAAAGAAACAGGATTTTCTTGGCCTGGCTGAGAGCAAATAGCTTCCCCCTGAGTGAGGCTGTCCTTCAAAGTCAGCAGCCTTAGTTGCCCACACTCCTGTGCAGAGGCTTTGGCTACTGTGGCACGATGCCAGGCAGATCACCACAGCTAATGATGGGTTCACCGCACTTGAAACTTTTGCCCGTTACAGCGGAGAGATATAAGTTCCTGCTGGGCGGTAAAATTTCCCTACAAGGAACCACCTGGCATTGGGTGGGACGGATGTTGGGGCAAGGGGGGAAGACTGGGGAGGGGGATGGACACATTATCGCTCCAGCACTCTTGTTTCAGCCTCAACAACAGGAAGAGAGAACCCACAGGCAGTTAGGCCATGTCCATCAAATGACCCCATATTGTGGAAGAATTGACATTGCACTATGCCCAAGAGACTTGGGTGGACATGGTCCTGGGAGTGCTTGAGCCGTCTAATTTCTCAGGGTCACACTCCTGTTAACAAATGCACTGGCCAGTGCAATCAAATGTGCCATTTCTAGGACCAAAGTTTGTATATTCCTTTTTAATATTTTTTTTCACTTGTGTTGATCATTTGCCTTAAATTAACTTTCTACTTTGTTTAAAACATGGAGAATTAGCAAGCTGCCAGGAGGCCAGGCAGGGAAACCAGGATGTTTCCATTTACCTTGTTGCTCCATATCCTGTCCCTGGAGGTGGAGAGCTTTCAGTTCATATGGACCAGACATCACCAAGCTTTTTTGCTGTGAGTCCCGGAGCGTGCAGTTCAGTGATCGTACAGGTGCATCGTGCACATAAGCCTCGTTATCCCATGTGTCGAAGAAGATAGGTTCTGAAATGTGGAGCACATGTTGTTTAGGTATAAAATCAGAAGGGCAGGCCTCGTGAGGCGAGGCGGCAAAATTTGATTTCTTGGAGGACACCTGAGCATATACGGTCAAAGTCTGATGACAACACCAGTAGGGATGAAGCTGGGAGTGGGGTGGCTAAGAACACTGGACCTGACACTATTAGACATGGGTTCCAGCTTCAGGTCTATTACTGCTCACTGTGGCCGAGCAACAGAGCTACTTAGGTAAAATGGTGATGGTCATAACACTAGCCCACAGGGAGGTTACGAACCTCTGGTGACAATGTAAGTGAAAGGCCCCTGAGAAAGAGTGAGGGAGTTGCAAATGTCAGTAGCCATCAAGATCTTCTTTAAGAATAGTTTCCACTAAAGAGATGATTGCTTTGGTTTCCAGCCTTCTTTGTTTTGTCTCCCCGCTGGGCCTTCTACCTTTAAAGGGCTTTGGCTCTGGGGGAATTGAGTTGGCTGGGGCTTGATGACTTCCAAGAGGACACAAGTGGAGATCTACTGCCTGCTCTTGGCTAACTACCTTCTTCAAAGATGAAGGGAAAGAAGGTGCTCAGGTCATTCTCCTGGAAGGTCTGTGGGCAGGGAACCAGCATCTTCCTCAGCTTGTCCATGGCCACAACAACTGACGCGGCCTGCCTGAAGCCCTTGCTGTAGTGGTGGTCGGAGATTCGTAGCTGGATGCCGCCATCCAGAGGGCAGAGGTCCAGGTCCTGGAAGGAGCACTGCGGAGAGAGCGAGGGAGGGAGCCTGGTGAGGTGGTCCTGCCAGGAACCATGCTTTGACATCAGAGAGTAGAAAGCTCAGAGAGGAGGAAAGGGCTTGAAAGAATCCCGAGCTTCTAAAGATCATCCCTCTCTGGGCCAGGCGTGGTGGCTCATGCCTGTAATCCCAGCACTTTGGGAAGCCGAGGTGGATGAATCATTTAGGTCAGGACTTCAAAACCAGCCTGGCCAACATGGCGAAACCCCTTCTCTACTAAAAATACAAAAATTAGCTGGGTGTGGTGGGGTGCACCTGTAATCCTAGCTATTCAGGAGACTGAGGAAGGAGAATCGCTTGAACTCAGGAGGTGGAGGATGCAGTAAGCCAAGATTGTACCACTGCACTCCAGCCTGGGCAACAGAGTGAGACTCTGTCTCATAAAACAAAACAAAACAAAACAAAACAAAATAAAATAAAATAAAATAAAAAGATTATCCCTCTCTGAAGCTCAAGGAGGTTAAGTGTGTACTCAAGGGCACACAGCAGGTTAGAGGCAGACTCAAGACTAGAATGTGGGCTTTCTGACACCTTACAGGCTATTCTTTTAGAATAAATCCCATTTCTACTTTGTTCATCTTTTTTGTACATGCCCCACCTACACCATACATGTATACCTTCTCTATATCTTTTTGTATCCCTAATGCTGTCACACTATGATTTGCTTTTTCATGCAGATGACCATAACATTTTCCATTCACCTATGCTCACTCAGCAAGTATTCAATTTTTCTACACTGTTCTTTTTTTTCCTTTTTCATAACACTGTCTCATAGGCATTCTGCAAATCCTGTGAGAGTACTTTTTGTGAAATGTTACCACTTTCCTCTTATTCAGAGAAGCTCCGTATTAAGGCTTCACTGAGGTTGCCTTAAGGCATGATAATGGTTCAAAGGCTTGAAAGACAGTTAAAGAGACCTGTAAGTGCACAAAAGAAAGTTGAGCAGGAGAGAATTTCCTGCCTGGAGCAGAGCCAAGCTGCTGGAAGAGGCAATGGGGGCAAAGGCCAGGCAGACAAGCCAATGGGCTCCTCCCACAGCTGCAGCCAACAAGTTATGCCAGTCTTAAAACTTCTAAAGAAATATGTTTTTAACAAGATTGAGGACTGGATTATGAGGCTAGGGGAGGCTATCACAAACTGGAATAAAATAAAGCCAGAGAAAAGTGGCTGCCTCCCAACCTGCACAACTGACCTAGCTAGGCTGATGGCTGGGCCACCTAGGAAGGCTACTGAGCATCATATAAAACAGAAGGGACAGCAGGAATATAACATGGCTCTTTGTAAGGATGAGTCTGAAAAATGACCATTTGCTGCCCAAATGCCCTTAGCTACAACTGAAAATATTTCAGAACTGGAGGTTGCAGGATGCTGGAATCTCAGAGATCATCCAGCTCAGCCCTTTATTTTTCAGATGAGGTCCAAAGCGGGTAAAATGACTTGTCAAGGTCAAACAGCAAGTGAATGGTTTTCTTTCAAGTCTCAATTCATCTTTTTGTTTATATCATCTATGTCTTGTTGTTATAAGCTTCACCCCAGGTAGCAAAAAACTATTCTACTCAAAAGGGGTAGACATATGTTAGTTCTCAAGATCATCTCTTGGTTTCAGAGTTTAACTCAAGTGATTGGCATAGGCTGAATCCATCTCTTAAAAGGATAATCAAATTTATGTTGAAGACTTGGTTGTCTTCCTACTATGAAATGGGAAACATTATCACTACTCCTCCCCTGTCACCACCAAGTGTGGCCACCACCACCAACGTTAGTGAGTGACTGTGGTGATATGATGACCAAGTGGCCAGGTCAGCAAGTGGTGCAGCCTGTGTCTCACTGGAAGAGGTTAAAGTCTTTCTAAAACAAAATACCATGGCATCAAAGTGGCCCAGAACTCCCTTCTTTGAGCTTTCCCTGTGTTAGAGCCCTTCCTTGGGTTGGGAGTTAAACCCATAGTCTTACCTTCATCTGTTTAGGGCCATCAGCTTCAAAGAACAAGTCATCCTCATTGCCACTGTAATAAAAACAGGGACATGTCTCAATTATGTCTTCTAAACAGGTTTATTTTTCCTTCCCTGTGTACAAGACTTGACTGTTCATAAGAAACTGCAAACAGCCTGCCTCTCAAAGCTGCCTGAAACACCTGGCAAGTTTCACAGTGATATGCGCAGAACAGTCCAGAAGGCAGATTCTAGGCCTGGCAGGTGGGCACCCTGGGTGCTCCCTGTTGGATCTTGAGGCCTAACCTCTAGCCCAGCAGAGTCAGCTAAAATCTGAGCTCTCCCTCTCCCTCCAAGCCACACTTTGCAAAGGGATTCCTTGTATTGTGGGCTTGGAGTCTTTTCTCCCCATTTGCCTCTGCAGGAAGCCCTTGCAACAACACATCTGGATAGCCTCCAGGTCCCAAGGCTGGAGGGACTTGTAATGGGAAAGTAGTCTTTAAATCAGATTTACTTGGCACCCTGTTTGCCACTGAAAGAGGCAATTTAGGGGAAAAATCTGGTCTCCAAGCACAGATAACACTCTACTCTTGAAAGAGGAGACCTGCTCATGTTACTGGTCTCAGCGTCTCCACTGACCTGTAATAAGCCATCATTTCACTGGCGAGCTCAGGTACTTCTGCCATGGCTGCTTCAGACACCTGTGTAAAAAGGAGAAAATGAGTGACTTCCCCATGACGGCTACGTTCATGTGTGATTTCTCTCAGCATCCAGTGCATGGCAGTCATGCAAAGAAATGATCTCTGAGTAAATGAATGAATGTGTGAAAGAGAAGTCCTTTGGGTCTAGAGAAAAGCATTTGCTAAACCAAACCCCAACTAGCAATGTATTGGCTAGGAGAGCTGGAGCAGAGGCTTTGACACTAACCTTTAGGGTGTCAGCTGTTAGATAAGCAGTATCCATTCCCAGAATATTTCCCGAGTCATAAGCATTATATTACACCTGGCATTTTTGCAAAAAGCTGAGAGAGGGAGGCAGAGAGGGAAGGAGAGGGAGAGACAGAGAAAGAAAGAGAGAGAGAGAGAGAATATGCATACACACAAAGAGGCAGAGAGACAGAGAGACTCCCTTAGCACCTAGTTGTAAGGAAGATTAAAGTCATACTTGAGCAATGAAGATTGGCTGAAGAGAATCCCAGAGCAGCCTGTTGTGCCTTGTGCCTCGAAGAGGTTTGGTATCTGCCAGTTTCTCCCTCGCTGTTTTTATGGCTTTCAAAAGCAGAAGTAGGAGGCTGAGAAATTTCTCTGTTGAATACCTGATTTCACAATCAAGTTAAAGGAAAGGGGAAAAGAGTATTGGTGGAAGCTTCTTAGGGGAGGGGACTAATAAACTGAGATAATTCTCTGGTTCATGGAAGGGCAAGGAGTAGCAAACTATGACACATTTTGCAAATGTATCACCATGCAAATATGCATTGTTTTCCTGACAATCGTTGTGCAGTTGATGTCCACATTAAAATACTGGATTTTCCCACGTTAGAAGAATGTTTAAATTTAGTATATGTGGGACAAAGTGGAAGACACACAGATTTATACATGCACATACTTTTCTTCATTCACTTCTTTGTACTTAAGTTTAGGAATCTTCCCACTTACAGATGGATAAATGGGTACAATGAAGGGCCAATAGCCCTCCCTGTCTGTATTGAGGGTGTGGGTCTCTACCTTGGGTGCTGTTCTCTGCCTCAGGAGCTCTCTGTCAATTGCAGGAGCCTCTGAGGAGAAAATTGACCTTTCTTGGCTGGGGCAGAGAACATACGGTATGCAGGGTTCAGGCTCCTGACGGAGTTGGGGCAACCCTGGAGATAAGCTCACACAACCCTGCAAGACCAGGTGCTGTTACCCTAGCCAATCTCATGGATGAACCAGATCAATGCCAGATGAGCTCTGCCTAAAATGATTTTTTGGTGAACTCTGAAAAGTGGAATATTGTTTCTGTAAGAATATCCATCTGAGACTCTATCTCTTGGTAATACCAACCAAGAGTTATCAGTTTCTCTTTAACCGAGACACCAGCAAAGTGCCTGCTCCAGGGTACTGCCCAGGGGAGCCCTCCATTTGTAGAATGAATGAGAGTCCAGGTTATGAACAGTGCCTGGAGTGTAGGAACACCCTCCTTTGCCTCTTTGACAGGTCTGCATCATAACACTTTTTTTTTTTTTTTGAGACAGAGTCTCACTCTGTCGCCCAGGCTGGAGTGCAGTGGCACGATCTCGGCCCCCTGCAAGTTCCGCCTCCCGGGTTCACACCATTCTCCTGCCTCAGCCTCCCCAGCAGCTGGGACTACAGGCACCTGCCGCCACGCCCGGCTAATTTTTTGTATTTTTAGTAGAGACAGGGTTTCACCATGTTAGCCAGGATGGTCTCGATCTCCTGACCTTGTGATCTGCCCGCCTCGGCCTCCCAAAGTGTTGGGATTACAGGCGTGAGCCACCGTGTCCAGCCTGTAACACTTCTTATAGCACTGAGTTGAAACCTTGCTCCTCCTGGTTCCTCCAGGAAACTGAAATCTTTTTGAGCCAAGTCTAGCACAGTGCCTGGCATGTACATTCAGGTGGTAGAGTTTGCTGCTTGAATGGGTGAATGGGAATTTGACAGCATTTTTATTCAAATTAGTATGTGCCAGGTATCGTGCTCGCTCTGCATTATCCAAGGGAGTGAGCCTCTGTGCAAGTATTTGAGACACGAGGGAAATAGGTTCTACTGTGGGAAAAAGAGCATTTCATGGACTTGCTCTCCAAGCAGCCTTCTGATTTTTAATTTGGCTCCCAGTATCTTGATATCAGGAGTCAGTCACAAGAACTCCATCTTTAGTAAGTTATATTTTCCACAGGAAATCTAAAAGCTGTTCAACATGTTAGTTTCCTGTGAATTTGATAAGCCATAATCCATTCCTAACACTGAGCCCTCCTGAAATTTGGTGTCTGGTCCTGCAGATAGCTAAAAGCCCTGTCTGGGTGGCCTAGGGGACTCCTCTGTTTTGCCTCCACAGGATCCACTTTGCAAATTAACCACTGGTTCTCCCGTTGTAGGAACTGCCACCTTCCTCAGAGCCTGTCTTTCTTCCTTCCTTCCTTCCTTCCTCTTTCTTTTTCTTTCTCTCTCTCTTTCTTTCTTTTCTTTTCTTTCTTTCTTTCTTTCTTTCTTTCTTTCTTTCTTTCTTTCTTCCTTTCTTTCTCTTTCTCTCTTTCTCTCTTTCTCTTTCTTTCTTTCTTTCTCTCTCCCTCCCTCCCTCTCTCTCTTTCTTTCTTTTTCTTTCTTTTCTCTTTTCTTTCTCTCTTTCTTTCTCCCTCCCTCTCTCTCTTTTTCTTTGTCTCTCCCTCCCTTCTCTCTCTCTTTCTCTTTCTCTCTCTCTCTCTCCTAGACAGGATCTACCTTTATCCCCCAGGCTGGAGTGCAGTGGTACAATCATGCATTCATTGCATGATCACAGCAGCCTCAAACCCTTCCTCAGAGTCTTTATGCGGCAACCAGCAGGGTCTGGAGGGTTGGTGGCTCTGTGAACTCTCCTGACAGAACACAGAGATGTCTTTGGTCTGTTGATGTGATTACAAGCTGAACGAAGGAGGATCAAAGCCAGTGACAGGAAGGGAGATATGCAAGGGACCCGAGCATCAGCTCTGAGTTAGTCCATTCTGCTTCTGGGACTTGGGATACAGGTCAGAAACCTTGAGCTTCTACTTCTCCATCTTCCAATTGTAGCATCCAGGACCTCAGAATCTGCCAGCTAAGAGGAGCCCTAATGATTGTCTGGTGGGATATGGTGGGACCACAGAGATGAAGACATGAATAGCTATTTGAATGTGAACAGCAGACGAAGAAATCAAGGCTAGGAGGGTGGAAGTGACTCATCCAATAGCACAGTGTGGTTGAAGCAGCACTAGTATCCAGGTTGCATGAGCCCCTGATGCTTTCGCTCGAGGGAAATTTTGGAGCCATGGGGCAATGCCCCCTGACGTAACAGTCTCCACAGTTCTGCCATGTCTCATCCTGGCCCTGTAACCTGGACCCAAATCTGCTACCATCCCATCCATCTCAGGAAGTGAAACCTCTTATGTCAAATAGGTTGTGCAACGTATGTATCAGATCCTGTCTTCCCAAGGAGACCGCTCAGGCCACAGCACTTCCTTCCGATCCCCAATGAGCAGAAAATATCTCGCTATAAACATAGTTGGCACTAAGGGAGGGAGTGGAAGAGTGATGATGATGTAGATGGTGATGTAGCCCCAAGGAAGTGGAACAAGCAGAGATGGGGAGCTGGAAATGCCAGGATGCTCCAGCTTTTGGGGAATTATTCAGCTCTTGAGTCACTAAAGCCTTTCTCAGCTGCAAGTTCCTCTTTACCCTGTCAGGTCATTCTTCCAAGACAGGAGACTGACATTTATTCAAAGCAGCAAGTGCCCTGATACCATCTTGTGTCTAATCATGGGCTTCGCAGCCAGTTATCAAGGTTGATCTCATCTCATTGGTCTTCAATCATTTTGAACAAGAAGACAAGCAAAATAATCATGGGTTAGTTCTTATATTATTGTGTGTACATGCAGTGATGTCTGTTCTTTGTAGTGAGCTGTTCCTTCCTTGTTCACCCTCTTGCTTAGAACAGAACTAAGCAATCTGCCCCCAACATTTTCCCCAATTTCCCATCTCATTCTTGGCACTGGCTTCCTAATATTTGTTCTTATGAGTCATTTTCTTGTATCATTTCCATGAGTCCCTCTGGGATCTTAAAGTATGAAAAATGTTGTGTGTACCCACACCTGTCTTTGTGGATATTTCTCTCCTTTCCCTTCTGCTTCTGGGATTATTTGGGAATGGGCACTATGATTTTTATCATATCGCTTCCACTTCCTTTATGGCATCATCTCCAATGGGCTTCTTCTCCCTCTTGGATCCAGGTTCTCAGATTGGGGACATGCAGAGTCCAAGGGACATTCCATTCTCCTCCCTGGTCTAGAACAAGGAGGGCTTAGATATATGAGCAGGTGGCTGGGGCTGGCGAGCTATGTAGTCTCCAATGGCTTTTCCCTGATGTCGGAGTTGTTATGTCAGTTCTGGGAGACCAATAAGACCTTGTCCTTCCTTTGGATCCATCAGAAAAAGCCCCTGGGTGGGTAAGATGGATGGCAGGGCTCTCCTACTCTATGTCTTTTCTCACACCTAGTGGGTATAAGAGAGGGGACCACAAACAGAGGGGGCTCTGGTACCACTTATCCAGGGTCTGGAAACATTTTCTGTAAAGGGCCAGATAATAAATGTTTCAGGTACAACTACTCAACCTTGCATCATTTCAGAAAAGCAGTCAGATAATACATAAATGAATGGGTGTGGCTGGACTTGTCCTGCGGTCCCCTGTCTTATATCATTGTATTATATCATTTTTTCTTACATACAAATTTAGAAGCAATACTTAAAAAAAAAAAGCCGTCCTTTATTGAGCACCTACTAAGTGCCAGGTACCTTTTTTTCCCTCATTATCTTATTAACTCTTCATAATAACCTTTAAAGTAGATAATATTGAACCATTTGACCTATGCAGAAACTGAGGTTGAGACAATAAATTATTTAAGACCGCACAAACAGTAAATGCTGGAACTACGACTCAAATATGGGTTAACTGAACCAAAACCAGATCTTTATTTCTCACTTTTAATTGTTACATATGTTTATTGCCTCATCTCCTGTCCACATGGTGCCCATCGGCAGACTCCTTTCTCATTCTCAGTGATTGAGTGACATTCTAAACTACATTGGCCTGGCAGATTCACCTCTGTCCCCTAAATGTTTCCACATTGTCCTTTTAGGATTGAGATCCTCTCTGTTCCCTTGTCTTCCCTCCTTTCTTCTTCTGGCGGTGACGTGCTGTGTGAATTTGTTTCTTTCTCCTCTCAGGGTAGTACTGGGACTTTCCAAATCAGGGTTTTTAGTGATCTCTCTTCCCTTTTCTGAGTTTCTTCCTTATTCCCATTCACTTTCTCATCTATAAGTGGCAGCTTTGTTGCTGGAGGATTTCCTTTGTCCTTTTATTCTTCTTTAAGACTTTGTCATAACTGTCAAAAGCAATCCCTTGAAGGTATCTGTCCTTGGAATTGTGTGCTTATGATGCTGAAAAATACTTCTCTTCTAAAAGCTATGATAAAATGCTTCTCTCCCAAAATGTCTGTCGTTGCTGTATTCTACTCTCTGGTTATTACACAATCAAAGATGATTTGGTCATTTCCTTCCAGGACTTTGTTAATTTCACTTCTTCAGCTGCTTCCCCCTTGTTGGCTGGAACTGAGTTTTCTATCTTCTGGGAGAAGTCCTCAGCAAGGCCACTCAGGATTTGTTGGGTGCATTTTGTCAAGTCTAGGACCCAGGCTCTGGGTGACTGATTTCCTCTAATTACCGAGCAATGTAAAATGAGGAAGTCTGATTGTGTAAAGGTGTTAAACTTTTGTGTGACGGCAAAACTTTAATACCATGAATAGAGATTCCAGAATTTTCCAACTTCTAACGGGATTCCTTTCACTCCCTGACATTAGAATGTTAGAAAATCTACCACAAAACATCTGTGAGGCTATCCTACAAGGCCCGTTTTTCAAAATAGGTTTTTACAAGGATTGCTATTTGGGATGATAGTTTCAGAAAGGCGCTATCAAAGTTAATTGATGATGTGTGCAAGCTGAAAGTTATATGTTAGAACTAGCAGTGATTTCAAAAATATCCCTTTTAGGCTTTTTGCTAATATATCTGCTCATTTTCAAAGTTCCAAATATTATAAAAGTATTTAAAGCAAAAAGAAGAAGCCCTCCATTTCTGCTGGCCCACTTCCCTGTCTCAACTAGAAAGTATTTTCCCAGGCAATGCTATCCCAGGACTCACACTCCATCCATCCATCACCTACCATAAGTTCTTTGAAGGGCTCATTCTGAGCGCTTCCTGAGTGCCTGGGATCTGTTATTTCTCTCCATTTCTGCTGCTGCATGGTAGTCCAAGTCCTCCTCCCTTTTCCCCTAGGCCATTTGAATCATCTGCTAATTGGTTTTCCTGATTGCCACGGAAACTTCCTCCATCCCTTCCTCACATATCAGCCACAGAAGTATCTCCAAAAAGCAAATCTGGTGACATGAAGCCCTTGCACAAAACCCATTCATTACTGGTTCCACATCTCCTTTGTGGATAAGTTCAAGCTCCTGAGTGTGGCAAGCAGGGCCCACCTGGAATCCCCTGCCCTCCTCTCCTATCCCACGCATCAACCTTTCCTGTCTATTTGCAGTTCCTTGAATGTGATATTCTTTCTAGTCTCTGTGCTTTTGCATAACCTGTTCTTCCTGACTGGAAACTCCTTCTCCTCCTTGTAGTTTGGCTAATTTCTAGTCTTTCAAGACTCAGCTCATGCTTCACCCCCTCTATAACAAGTCCTTTCCCAAGCTGGGTGGTGGATGCTCCTCTGTGCTGTGTGAGTCTTGAACATCCTCAGCAAACCTCAGCTTTGTTTGCTTGTCTCCCTTGCTGTCAATGCACCTGATTCAGGGCTGGCATATACTGTTCACCTCCATGACTGGCTCATGGTGGTGCTCCGTGAATATCATCCACCCAAACGGATGAGAGCTACCATGCCATCACTTGTGACTTCCATCTGGAGCTAACCTCCCCCGACAGGAAAGCGTTTCCTTAGGAAAGAATATCTTTGGGTTAAATAGAAGTAGAGACTCACCAGAAGCACTATGTCCAGCTCAGAATGAACTGCTCAGTAAGCAGCCTTGTCAATGAGGAGGCAGCAGGCCAGCCCCAGAGGCCTCAAAGTGGGAGAGTAGAGAAGCGCAGTTCCTGCCACAAAGGCACAGTGGACACCTTGCTCCCCTGGCTGGCTGGAAGCAGATGGTGTCCACCTGCTTCCATGGGAATTCTGCACCTTTAATAAAGTTTTATGGGACAGGAAGGTGACTGGCATTGACATTGTAACGAGGAATGGGTGGTGCCACCTTTGCTGTGTCTTACCAGAAATACCTGTGGCAGGTAAATTTCTAGAGAGACCCTCCCATTTCTCCCATATAGCAATTTTGAAATGTTTCCTGAGGGCTTTCCAAATTCATCTGGGAACATAGGAGTTCCAGAAAGATGAAATCAAAGGTGATGGTATGCCAAAGAAAGTAGCTTTTAGAATGACTTACATTAGCCATTCATCCATTCAGCACACCAGGCATTCAGTTTGAGGGGTGTGTGTGTGTGTGTGTGTGCGCGCGCGTGCGTGTACATAGGGGAAGGGAAACAAAAGTACACAAGACATGATAGTTGTCCTCAAGGAGGTTTTGCAAATGTTCACAATTTAAGAGAATATGCTGTGCTGTGGCTGGTGTATAAACCAACTGCTAGGGAGAGGCCTTCCACACACACTTGGGGCAAATGCGACCTCTAGGACTGCCAGTGGAATCTGGGCATGCTGTTTGTGGTCGATAAACCCTGGTCCCTTGATCAGGGACCTATGTTTACTTTTCCTCTCCCTGGAAGTCTTCATTAGTGGGCATCCAGAAGGTCTTGCACAGGGCAGAGGGAGGCACAAAGACAAGAGTTTGAAACCAGCCTGGACAACAAAATGAGTTTCTATCTTTACAAAAAAAATTTTTAAAAAATTAGCCAGGTAGGATTGCATGTGCCTGTAGTCCCAGCTATTCAGGAAGCTGAGGCAGGAGGATTCCCTGAGACCAGGAATTTTGAGGCTGCAGTGAGCTATTAAGTTGGCGCAAAAGTAATCGTGGTTTTTATCATTAAAAGTAATGGCAAAACTTTTAATGACAAAAACCGTGATTACTTTTGCACCAATCTAATATGATTGCACGACTGCACTGTGCTCCAGCCTGGGCAACAGAGTGGGACCCTGTCACAAAATAATAAATAAATAAAATGTAAACATGTAAAAAAAACCCCAAAAACAAAAAAAATGGGTGTTGAGACCCCTGAATTGAGGAATAATAGGAAGGAGTGTGATTCTGTGTGTGCATGCATGGGTGTGCACCCTCAGTGCCTGGGTGGCTTACCCTGGGCTAGTTCAGGTGGCAAATGGTTTTCCTCCAGCTGGGCTACCACCATCTTCCCCCAGGGCCTGTCCATGTATTTGGTGGCAAGATACCTATGGACTAGAGTCCCTCCTCAGAGGAAAGGCTCCTCCCATTTCTCTGGCTTTCAGGTAGTAGTCCATGACTTCAACAGGTCCCCACTGCAATGTTATGGGTTAGTTTAGGTGGGGTCTCCTCTGAGAGCCTCCCATAGCCCAAAAGGCCCTGTCCTAGCTGGCACTGCATCTCCCTCTTCCCAGCTCTCAGCCTTTCTCTTTGCTCATCCCACTCCGCACAGGCTTTCTGCCTGATCCTTGGATGTGTCAATCCTGCCCCTAAGGGATACAAGGCAATTTGTCCTTTTATTATTAAGATCTCTCCTGAGGCCACGTGTGGTGGCTCACACCTGTAGTCCTAGAACTTTGGTAGGCCAAGGTAGGAGAATTGCTTGAGCTCAGGAGTTCCAGGCTGTAGTGAACCATGATTGCACCATTGCATTCCAGCCTGTGTGACACAGCGAGACCCTGTCTTTTTTCTTTTTTTTTTTGAGACAGGGTCTCGCTCTGTCATCCAGGCTAGAGTGCAGCGGTGTTTTTCTGCTCACTGCAGCCTCAACCTGCACATTTTTTGTAGAGACGGTGTCTTGCTATGTTGCCCAGAGTGGCCTCAAACTCCTGGGCTCAAGAGATCTTTCCACCTCAGCCTTCCAAAGTGCTGGGACTACAGGCGTGAGCTACCGCGCCCAACAAAGACCCTGTCTTAAAAAGAAAACAAAAATAAACAACTCCCTCAAGTCTTTTTTTTTTTTTTGAGACGGAGTCTCGCTCTGTCGCCCAGGCTGGAGGGCAGTGGCGCAATCTTGGCTCACTGCAAGCTCTGCCTCCCGGGTTCACGCCATTCTCTTGCCTCAGCCTCCCGAGTAGCTGGGACTACAGGTGCCCGCCACCACGCCTGGCTAATATTTTGTAGTTTTAGTAGAGATGGGGTTTCACTGCGTTAGCCAGGATGGTCTTGATCTCCTCACCTTGTGATCCGCCCGCCTCGGCCTCCCAAAGTGCTGGGATTACAGGCATGAGCCACCGCGCCCAGCCAGACCTCTTGAGTCTTAAACTCCTCTGTAGTTCCAGCCACCCTTTAGCACATGACTCTGTTAATTTTGTTCTCACTGTCTGAAATCATCTCCTGTCCACTCTTGACTGACAGGTCTCTGCACTAGCCCACTGCTTAATCAGAGTAGGTCCCTGTCAACTTATTCATATTGTGTCCCCATGCCAGTGTGGATGATTAAAATTGTTGAGTGGAGGCTGATCAGATGAGCCATCTCCTTCCAAGTCCTCACTTGCTGGCTCCTGTCTTAGTTTTAGTCCCCATTCTTCAAAGAACGTGAGCCCTGGAAAGTATTTTAGTCATTTAGTTCAGTGCCTTTGGATGGGAGGATCACATCCCTGGGTCCCGTCCTGCAGACTGTTTTGCTCTAGCTGACTAGGCAGGATTCCCTGCCTTCTCTCACTTCTGCATGGGACTTCCTTCTGAAATTGCTGCTCAGTCAAGAGAATGACCTTCCCCAACATAATCCTACTCCACAGGGACTTAAAGGTGTGTCAGAGATCTCTTGCTCATCTTTCTGGCCAGGTGCCAACGTCAGTTTATAGCCAAGGGACAAGACTAGTTAGCAGATCAGGCAGGTCTTAGACCCCAGCGTAAGTGCCAGACTTCTAGCTGCAGTTGTTCCTGCCCACACTGGGCGTTCAGGTGGAGAGAGGGCATGGCACTACACTGAGCTCTCGGCGAAACCCAGGACTCTGAAATCTCGGTGTCAGCCCCAGGCCACTCTCTTCAGCAGAACTTCAGTCAGTCCTGTCACTAGGAGATGGGACCCTGCCTGATTGCATTCTTACAAATGGCTACATTGACAAGGGGACTAGACTTGACTGAGTGGAGATTGGGGGAAAAGGAAATAAGCCCTCAGTGCTTTCTCTGAGCACATCACCCTTGCTGGCTTAGCATCTATTGTTTGTCAGAAGACTTAGCTATTATCTTGGCAAATATTCTCTGCTTGACCAAATTTTAGTCAGGCTCCTGAACCTTCTCCCAGGCACATTTGTACACTTTCTTGTAAACTCCTTTTTTAGCAAGAACCTTCTATGTTCAATATCTGATCACCCTTGAAATCTCACTGGATTCCCCATCCTCCACCATCCCCAAAGTGGTGTCCAATCACCCTGTCCTGTCTTCAGCAAGGATCCGGTTAGGTGGGTTTAGGCAGAAGCTCCCTTATTTTTCATGTTTCCTCTTAGTAATTTCGCATCCACTGATCTTTGCTCTGCTTCCTGGCTATGAATATGTCCTTGCCCGTGCTGTATATGTAGTTGTGTTCAATCTCTCTCCCCCACCGCAAAGTCCCATTGCAGTGTTTCCTATATCTTCTGTGCTGGTTCTGAATGAAATCTTCCTTACCATGAATTTAAAAATATCATTGAATTTTTTTTTTTTTTTGAGACAAAGTCTTGCTCTGTTGCCCAGGCTGGGGTGCAGTGGCTTGAACTTGGCTCACTGCAACTTCCTCCTCCCGGGTTCAAGCGATTCTCCTGCCTCAGCCTCCCGTGTAGCTGGGATTACAGGTGCCCACCACCACACCTGGCTAATTTTTTTTGTATTTTTAGTAGAGATGGGGTTTCACCATGTTGGCCAGGCTGGTCTCGAACTCCTGACCTCAGGTGATCCACCTGCCTCAGCCTCCCAAAGTGCTGGGATTATAGGCATGAGCCGCCGTGCCTGGCCAAATAATTTTTTCTTTGACAACATTGTCCTGTAGATAACTGGATTTCAAGGAATTAACCTTTGTGAAATCTAGCATGTTCTTTGACTTCCTTCTTCTAAAGGTTGATTTTATAGGAGGCAATATTTTAAAGTATCAAGGCCACCTGGGAATTCATTTCAAGCTCACTTTGTGCCAGGGAAGGGAAATTTTACTGAAAATTTCTTTTAAGTTCTAGCCAGAAAAAAAGCAATCTTAAGAATAAGGAAATAGACCCATCATTTTAAAACCCAGAAAAGAACCTTTCAACATAGCATTCCCCAGGTACCAAGCCTCCCTGATTAGTAGGAGGTTGCTTTGATTGTGACTGGTCAGGAACATACCTGGCCCTCCTCACCAGTGTGTAAGTTCCTGGAGAGCTGTGACAAAATCGCCCACATCCACTCCTCCTGTGCCAACTTACCTATAGTATGCACTTCACAAATGGGCTGGTGGATTGCAGGGGGCACTCAGTGGATAAGCCAGAAAAAACAAAGAGGGGTTTATATGTAGCTTTGCCCTCTCAGCTATGTCCCCAGAACTCAACTTCCTGGCTGGATGTCCTCATGTTCAAAATGTGGACATCAAGACCTACCTCTCAGAGTTATTATAAAGATAAACAAAGTCACACATGGGAAATCACCTAACAGAGATGGACGTGGTTGACAAGCAGGAAAGATTCGTTTGCCCTCCTCCCTCCTCCTTCCTTTCCTTCCTAATGAGGATAGCCTTGTCTTCATTGCTGCCATCGAATCTCTGATGTCAGTGGTCACCCAACAGGGATCAGTGGTCACAGGTGGGCATGTGTGTTAAGACTGCAAAGTGTTCCCTGGTAACGTTTACTCATAAAGCAGTCAGCTGGCCTGAGCTGCAGTAGGGATGGGGAATGCTGCTCCAGCATGCATCTCTGTCCCTAGGTCTCATCCGTTCCCTGAGGCCTTTGTCCGAATGGAGACCTGCATTGGGCTCACCACAGGCTCATACTCAGGCTCAGGATCAGGGACGTCTTGAGTTTTCCAGCATCCTTAACAATTTAGCAGCACACATTCTCAAAGGTTTGATACCTTTCATATAATATTTTTAGTACTGCTAGGAAGACACAGATGAATTAAATATGGGTACTTCTCTTCTGGGAACTTATTATCTTGAGTACAAGGAATTAAGAGTAGGAGGTGAGAAGAGGCACTCCCTTTGGCCACCCCCATGGTCTGGTGACTCTTGGAATCATGTTCACAGATGTCCGCCTCTTGGATGACAGCCTCCAGCCTTCCTGCTTTCTCACCCTCTCTCTTCTCAAAGCACCAGTGATTTGTCCTTTTCAGAATCGCGAACCCATAGATATCCCCTCTCTCTATCGGCCCTTTCTGCTTTTCCGTCCTTTTTGATCCAGCTTAATTTCTGTGCCCCATCTCTTCAACCATTTTCTTGCTGGTCTCTTCAGCACCCTTCCCATTTTTATTCCATTACACTCACCAGACAAAACTTCAGGCTGGGTTGTATCGCTAGTCTGCTTCCTCTGTATCTCCACTGGGGCTGCTAGAGGAGGTTGGGAAATGAGTTTACTCAGCCTCACAGGTGGTTGCTACCATTGGCACAGGACCACCACCCCCCACTGGGCTCTCACACTGCCCACTAGTCCTACAAAGCTTTCCTAGTCAGCTGCCCACAGTGATGTAGAAGGAAAATAAATCTTGGGGCCTCCAAATCACTAAGCTAAAGGGAAAAGTCAAGCTGGGAACTGCTTAGGGCAAACCTGCCTCCCATTCTATTCAAAGTCACCCCTCTGCTCACTGTGATAAATGCATATCTGATTGCCTCCTTTGGAAAGGCTAATCAGACACTCAGAAGAATGCAATTGTTTGTCTCTCACCTACCTGTGACCTGGAAGCTCCCTCCCTGCTTCAAGTTGTTCTGCCTTTCTGGAGGGAACCAGTGTACATCTTACATATATTCACTGATGTCTCATGTCTCCCTAAAATGTGTAAAACCAAGCTGTGCTCAGACCACCCTGAGCACATGTGGTCAGGACCTCCTGATGCTCTGTCATGGGTGGGTGTCCTCAACCGTGGCAAAATAAACTTTCTAAATTAACTGAGACCTGTCTCAGATTTCCAAGGTTCACATGTTGGTAACCACGAAGGGATTCTGAGTGGAGATGCCTCTTACCTTTGACAAATCTCCTACTGGTGTTTGGTACCAGCATGAGCTAACTTTATGGCTCAAACCAACAGGACAATTTGCTGAGGTCTGAAAGCATCTCCTTCAGAGAATTCCTGATCTCCCAAAATTTGGTCAAAATCAAAAGTTTATTTTGCTGTACAACTCCCTGTTTTTTTCTTTGTTTGTTTTGAGTTTTACTTGCTTCCAACAAGGAAGGCAAGATTTCCTGCTTCCCTGATGATGGAAGGCAGGTAACTCCTTTAAGGAGTTTGAGCTCACTCCCCGCAGGTAAGAGAGGAGACCACCCCTCATATTGTCTTATGCCCAATTTCTGCCTCCAAAGAAAGAAGTAATAACTAAAAGGCAGAAATGAAATCCACAAGCAGACAGCCCGGTGACACACCCTGGGCCTGGTAAAGATCGACCCCTGATCTAATCGGTTATTTGCATAAGAAAAGCACTGTGAAGATCCCTGTCATGTTCTGTTCCATTCTAACTACAGGTGCATGCAGCCCCCAGTCACATACCCCCTGCTTGCTCAATCTATCACGACTCTCTCATGTGGACCGCCTTAGAGTTGTGAGCCCTTAAAAGGGACAGGAATTGCACACTCGGGGAGCTCGGTTGTTGGAGACGTGAGTCTTGCCGCAGCTCCAGGCCCAATAAAGCCCTTCCTTCTTTAATTTGGTGTCTGAGGGATTTTGTCTGCGGCTTGTCCTGCTACACAGGTAAGACGAGTTCAAGTTTTATTTCTTGCTTCTAGAACGGTAGTGAGCGGTCTTCAGCCTGAGACCCAACCCTAGGTAAGTAGCTGAATTGGGGTTTTGTCTTGGCTAAAGTTTAACAACCAGCTGGTCTTAATTTCTCCTTACCATTAGAGCACTCAGTAATCATATAAGTTGTGTGATCATTCATTTTGCTTAACTGTTTGTTTCTGTTTTTATTGCTGTTTCAGTCTTTTTCCCATTGGGTTTGACCTACTCTATCTGACTTGATCAAATCCAAAGGAAATTTCCAAATTATGGGGAATGAGGCCTCTGAAGTGGCTAAATTCCCACCCTCCCACACACACAAACGTGGTATGGTGGGGGAAAAAACGGCCAGCAAAAGAAAAAAAAAAAAGGAAAAGATGTTTCATTTTGACCACCAAACGGGCTTTATTTACATAACAAGGCCACCTTTTTGCTAGCCAGGCCATACTGAAAGAGCAATGGCTGTTGCCCCATGCTGTGGGTTCCATAGCTAAGGTTCTGCCTTTTTTCCTACCACGACAGCCTGGGTTTGGTTCCTAAATCAAGCCTTTTCTGGTTTGATACTTGGTAATGCTGAAATAGCAGCAATTTGTCCTAGCTGAAATATCGTAATAAGATTTTAAAAGATTTATTTTAAAGGACCTCAATAGTTAAAAGTCAGCTTAATTAAAAGCTAACATCCAAGATGTGTGCATGTGTATGTATGCGTCTTTGTATTTAAATAGCCCTCATGTTTTTTTTTTCTTTCCTAGGAACTTGCCTTTTTTTGAGCAAAAGTTTTTTTCTTCTCTGTTGACTGGATTCTGTTTTCTTCATTTACTTCTGCTGTCTCTCCTTTCTCTTGCACCGTCTGCTGCATGAGAGCCCTAAAATAGTTTATAATAGCCTGGGGTTCCTTAAAGAAAATGGAGAAGGTGCCAGGCTCCCTTTTAGGGAGAAACTTCTATTTTTCCTTATGGAATCCCTAGAGTGTAAACAGACAAGTTCATTTCAGCTCTTAAACTGCTTGCGTTTGTGTTGTGTTACCTGATTTTTTTGACTATTATATTTTTGACTAGCTATTGCAACAGAAGCTACTCTTGGGTTTTCAAGGAAGATTGTAGTTTAGACATGTAGAAATGTCTTTTAAAAAAAAAACAAACTTTTTTTTAAGTGCACTGTAAAAGCATCATATGGTCTAGCCTCCTAATAATTTTCCCTTTTTGGAGACCAGGATTCAGGGTGGGCTCTGCCCAGAGCTCAGAGATCCAGTTAAAAGAGAGGTAGTCTCGGCCGGGCGTAGAGGCCCAGCCTGTAATCCCAGCACTTTGGGAGGCCGAGGCGGGCGGATCACGAGGTCAGGAGATCGAGACCATCCTGGCCAACATGGTGAAACCCCGTCTCTACTAAAAATACAAAAATTAGCTGGGTGTGGTGGCAGGTGCCTGTAGTCCCAGCCACTCGGGAGGCTGAGGAAAGAGGAGAATCGTTTGAACCCGGGAGGTGGAGCTTGCAGTGAGACGAGATGGCGCCACTGCACTCCAGCCTGGCGACAGTGAGACTCCGTCTCAAAAAAAAAAAAGATAGGTAGACTCGATGTTGTCGTACCCGAGCAAGTTAGAGCAACGCCACACTTTGAGACGAATTTAAGAGTCCTTTATCAGCCGGCGACCAAGAGACGGCTAACGCTCGAAATTCTCTCGGCCCCTTGGAAGGGGCTTGATTTTCCTTTATGCTTTGGTTTAGGAAGGGGAGGGGAGCTCAGTTGCAACAATTCTACAGGAGTAAAAACATGCAAAGAAATTAAAAAGACAAGTGGTTACAGGGAAACAAACAGTTCCAGGTGCAGGGGCTCTAAATCTATCATAAGATGTTAGGTATGGGGGCTCTGCCGGACACAAACTCAAGGCTTTATGCTGTTATCTCTTGAGCGAAATCCTGGGAACTTCGTACATTGCTTGCTTCAGTACCTTATCAGTTAATTGGACTCTTTGATATGTTGGGAGTCAGCGTACACAAGTTAACTCCTTGAGGAAGGGGGTGGGTAAGGAGTCCTTGATGTCTGGTAAATGAAGGAGCGAAATCGAGTTCCTCTGGCTTTCTCAGCTAAGGGAGAGCTTATTCATGTGGAAACAAGGCTAGGTGATTAAGGGAGAAAGGGAGAGTCTGAAAACAAGGTTAGGTATTACAATGTCAATAAAATTGGTCTCCTTATACAGTACTATGGTAGATTTCTTTCCATCTTTAATCTCCCTCTAGCACCACCAGACTTTTTCTCTCTGTACCTTGAGATGTAAATTTTGCTATCTGAATTTTCGTCTAAGAGTTGTTTCCTTTAATATGCAAATTTAGGGTTATTTAGCTGACAACTGCCAAAGTAGTGAAACAAGTTATCAAGAACTTGAACGTCTAAGGTAGGAAAAAAAAAAGTCTTTATGAATCTATAAGATGTATTTCTATTGGCATGCCTAATACGTCTATGTATTTACGTGTTGTGTACACAGTTTTTCACTACTGAAAATATATAGAGGAGTTCTAATTAATTGACTTAAGACAATAAAAGCGCTTGAATCAAATACCTTATCAGGAAAAAGGAAAAGACAAGTCAAATGCTTGTTCAAGTTTATATAACTTAAGTAAAATCTTTAATAAATAAGCTAGCTTTAACATTATTTGAAATGTCTTAAGAATTGCCAGCAGGTTCTGGGTTACAGAACTAGTGGGGGTGCAGTGGGGTGAGGGTTGGTGGGGTGGGGGGTGGTACGGGGGCTTCGTTTTTTCTTGCTGCCCCCTTCTGGGTTGGGGAAGTGGCAGGACCTTGGCAGCACCCCGAGCCGGCATGGCGCTAATAATGGAGGGATGCCAGACCCAAGTGGCTAAGGCCCGGCTGCAGAGCCAAGTTGGCATTTCCAGACTGGGGCTCGGGCCGCACCCTCTCCAGGACCCTCCCCTTGTACCGAGCAGATTGTCGCGGGCAGTTTGGGCCAGCTGTCCTGGCGTGGAATTTCCCAAATTCAACAAATCCTCCAAGAAATCAATCCATCCATTCATCCATCCATCCATCCATCCATCCATCCATCCATCCATCCGTGGCAGATTATGAAGCATGGATCATTACTTTTGGGATGTGGATATATTCAGTTAACAAGGAGCAGCTTTCAAGAGCTGGATTTTATGCTTTAGGTGAAGGTGATAAAGTAAAGTGCTTTCACTGTGGAGGGGGGCTAACTGATTGGAAGCCCAGCGAAGACCCTTGGGAACAACATGATAAATGGCATCCAGGGTGTAAATATCTGTTAGAACAGAAGACACGAAAATATATAAACAATATTCATTTATCCCATTCACTTGAGGAGTGTCTGGTAAGAACTGCTGAAAAAACGCCATCACTAACTAGAAAAATTGATACCATCTTCCATAATCCTATGGTACAAGAAGCTATATGAATGGGGTTCAGTTTCAAAGACATTAAGAAAATAATGGAGGAAAAAATTCAGACATCTGGGAGCAACTGTAAATCACTTGAGGTTCTGATTGCAGATCCAGTGAAGGCTCAGAAAGACAGTACACAAGACGAATCAAGTCAGACTTCATTGCAGAAAGAGATTAGTACTGAAGAGCAGCTAAGACACCTGCAAGAGGAGAAGCTTTGCAAAATCTGTATGGATAGAAATATTGCTGTCGTTTTTATTCCTTGTGGACATCCAGTCACTCGTAAACAATGTGCTGAAGTGGTTGACAAATGTCTCAAGTGGTACGCAGTCATTACTTTCAAGCAAAAAAATTTTATGTCTTAATCTAACGCTATAGTAGGCATATTATGTTCGTATTATCCTGATTGAATGTGTGATGTGAACTGACTTTAAGTAATCAGGATTGAATTCCATTAGCATTTGCTACCAAGTAGGAAAAAAAAATGTAAATGGCAGTGTTTTAGTTGGCAATATAATCTTTGAATTTCTGGATTTTTCAGTTATTAGCTGTCTTATTTATCCAATTTTTTTTACTGTTATTTAATTGAAACCCTAGACTAAGAAGCATCATATTATAACTGATCACAATGTGTATTCATAGTATATTGACTTAATTTCTAAGTGTAAGTGAATTAATCATCTGAATTTTTTATTTTCAGATAGGCTTAACAAATAGAACATTCTGTATATAAATGTGTAGATTAGAGTTAATCTTTCCAATCACATAATTCGTTTTATGTGAAAAAGGAATGAACTGTTCCATGCTGGTGGAAAGATAGAGATTATTTTTAGAGGTTTGTCGTTGTGTTTTGGGATTCTGTTTTCTTTTAAAATTGTAAATATGTACTTGTGTGAATGATTTTTTAAAATGATTTTACCATTTTTGGAAGGGTATTTAATGATAGAATATCATCGAGCCAACATGCACTGACATAGAAAGATGTCAAAGATATATTAAGTGTAAAATGCAAGAGGGAAAACACTATGTACAGTCTGAGCCAAATCAAAGCATGTATGTTTTTTATATGTGTACAACAAAAGGTTTGGAAAGATATGCACCAAATTGTTAAATGTGGTTTCACTTGAGGGGGTGGGAGGATGGGCCCCAGAGGGGTTTTTATAGGGGCCTTTCACTTGGTATTTTTTTCATTTTGTTCTGTTTGAAATTTTGTTTTTTCTTTTTAAATGGAGTTTCACTCTTGTCGCCTAGGCTGCAATGTAGTGGCGTGAACTCAGCTCACTGCAACCTCCGCCTCCCAGGTTCAAGTGATTCTCCTGCCTCAGCCTCCCATGCCTCCTGTGTAGCTGGGATTACAGGCACCCATCACCATGCCTGGCTAATTTTTGTATTTTCAGTAGAGATGGGGTTTCACCATGTTGGCCAGGCTGGTCTGTAATTCCTGACCTCAAGTGATCCACCCACCTTGGCCTCCCAAAGTGCTGGGATTTCAGGTGTGAGCCACCACGCCCAGCCCTGTTTAAATTTTTTATAAGTATGTACTACTTTTGTAATCAGAATTATTAGAAAGCATTTTACTGATTTAAAAGCTTAGACATGTTCAAATGCCTGCAAAACTACTTAACACTCAGCTTTAGTTTTTCTAATCCAAAAAGGCCGGGCAGTTAATCTTTTTGGTGCCAATGTGAAATTTAAACGGTTTTATGTTTTTCCTGTGTTGTGAATGAAAAATATTTCTGAGTGGTGGTTTTTTGACAGGTAGACCATGTCTTGTCTTGTTTCAAAATAAGTATTTCTGATTTTGTAAAATGAAATATACAATATGTCACAGATCTTCCAATTAAGTAGTAAGGGTTTATCCTTAATCCTTGCTAATTTAAGCTTGCATAAGTCACTTTACTAAAAGATCTTTGTTAAGCTAGTATTTTAAACATCTGTCAGCTTATGTAGGTAAAAGTAGAAGCATGTTTGTACACTGTTGTAGTTATAGTGACAGCTTTCCATGTTGAGGTTCTCATATCACCTTGTATCTTGAAGTTTCATGTGAGTTTTTACCATTAGGATGATTAAGATGTATATAGGACAAAATATTAAGTCTTTCCTTTACCTAAGTTTGCTTTCTTGACTAGTAATAGTAGTAGATATTTCTGTAATAAATGTTCTCTCAAGATCCTTAAAATCTCTTGGAAATTATAAAAATATTGGAAAGAGAAGAACAGTTTTTAAAATATATATATATATATATATTTTTTTTGAGATGGAGTCTTGCTCTGTCGTCCAGGCTGGAGTGCAGTGGCGCAAACTTGGTTCACCACAACCTCTGCCTCCCGGGTTCAAGCGATTCTTCTGCCTCAGCCTCCTGAGTAGCTGGGACTACAGGCGCCCGCCACCACGCCCAGCTAATTTTTGTATTTTTAGTAGACACGAGGTTTTACTATGTTGGCTAGGCTGGTCTCAAACTCCTGACCTTGTGATCTGCCCGCCTTGGCCTCCCAAAGTGCTGGGATTACAGGTGTGAGCCACTGCACCTGGCCAGTTTTTTAAATATATTTTTAAAAACACTTGAATAAGAGTCAGTGTAAACTAGAAGTTTAAAAATGCTTCACAGAACACCCAGGGTTTACATTACAAGATTCTCACAACAAACCTATTGTAAAGGTGAGTAAGGCATGTTATTACAGAGAAAAGTTTGGGAGCAAAACTGTAAAAAATTATATTTTTGTTGTATTTTCTAAGAGAAAGAGTATTGTTATGTTCTCCTAACCTCTGTTGATTACTACTTTAAGTGATGTTCATTTAAAACATTGCAAATTTAAATAAGAGTTTTAAAAATTAAGTAATGACTGCCCTGAAACAAAATCATTCCCAGCATACATTTTTGTTTGGATTTATCAATCAAGCAATTTTATACTTATCCCTGTCAAATACTATAAGGTGTCAAAATTTGGCATAGGGGTTACAAAACTATAAACCCAGCCAAAACAGAATAATCTTTGCTTTTTCAATCTTTGATTAAAAAGACATTACTATTGGTTTAATGAAAATAGCTACATCTTGCATTATTTAGTAAAATTACCATAACTTCTAACTTTGTGGCTTTAGGCAGTCTAGTCCACAGGCAGGAAGGAGGTTTGTTTTGGAAAATGACTGTTATCATCTTTTGTTTCAAAGCTAAACTATAAACTAAGTTCCTCCCAAAGTTAATTCAGCCTATGCCCAGGAATGAACAAGGACAGCTTGGACGTTAGAAGCAAAATGGAGTCAGCTAGGTCAGATCTTTTTCACTGTCTCAGTGATGGCAGTTTCATAACTTTAAATGATGGCTATCACAGTTTTCATAAATAATCTAGATAAACAGTTAAAATAAAATAATTAGGTAAATGTAATGGGATAAATATTTGTAGACAAACTCACCATAATTTAGAATCTAAAGTTAAATTAAATAATAAGTATTTCATTATTTGGGTATTTTCCAAGAAAAACATATTGTAGGAAACCATTCTTTCTAAAAAAAAAAGTGTCCTTTTAAAAAGGTGAATAATTTTTGTCTAATTCAAAGCTTATTGAAAAGTTATGTATAAAACAAGGTAAAAGGAACAAGGAAATAAGGGAAATGTAAAGAAAATTATAGAAATAAAGTGGTATTTTTTGGTAAGAAAGCTTAAAGAGAAATAATTTTAGGTAAGAAAGAATCTTACCTAAAATTTTGTGCTAGAATAAAGTGACTGGCTAAGAAAGGGATGTTCAAAGCTATTTATGACAAACCCACAGCCAATATCATACTGAATGGGCAAAAGCTGGAAACATTCCCTTTGAGAACTGGCACAAGACAAGGATGTCCTCTCTCACCACTCCTATTCAACATAGTATCGGAAGTTCTGGCCAGGGCAATCAAGCAAGAGAAAGAAATAAAGGGTATTCAAATAGGAAGAGAGGAAGTCAAATTTTCTCCGTTTGCAGATGCATGATTGCATATTTAGAAAACCCCATCATTTCAGCCCCAAAACTCCTTAAGCTGATAAGCAACTTCAGCAAAGTCTCAGGATACAAAATCAATGTGCAAAAATCACAGGCATTCCTATACACCAATAATAGACTAACAGAGAGCCAAATCATGAGTGAACTCCCATTCACAATTGCTACAAAGAGAATAAAATACCTGGGAATACAACTTACAATGGACATGAAAGACCTTTTCAGGGTGAACTGCAAACCACTGCTCAAGGAAATAAGAGAGGAAACAAACAAATGGAAAAACATTCCATGCTTATGGATAGGAAGAATCAATATCGTGAAAATGGCCATACTGCCCAAGTAATTTATAGATTCAATGCTATCCCCATCAAGCTACCATTGACTTTCTTCACAGAATTAGAAAAAACTAATAGCCAAGACAATCCTAAGCAAAAAGAACAAAGCTGGAGGCATTGTGCTACCTGACTTCAAACTATACTACAAGGCTGCAGTAACCAAAACAGCATGGTACTGGTACCAAAACAGATATATAGACCAAAAGAACAGAACAGAGGCCTCAGATATAACACCACACATCTACAACCATCTGATCTTTGACAAACCTAACAAAAATAAGCAATGGGGAAAATAATTCCCTATTTAATAAATGATGTTGGGAAAACTGGTTAGCCATATGCTGAAAACTGAAACTGGACCCCTTCCTTACAACTTATACAAAAATCAACTCAAGATGGATTAAAGATTTAAACATGGCTGGGCATGGTGGCTCACGCCTGTAATCCCAGCACTTTGGGAGGCCGAGATGGGTGGATCATGAGGTCAGGAGATGGAGACCATCCTGACTAACACAGTGAAACCCTGTCTCTACTAAAAAATACAAAAAATTAGCTGGGCATGGTGGTGGGCGCCTGTAGTCCCAGCTACTTGGGAGGCTGAGGCAGGAGAATGATGTGAAACCAGGAGGTGGAGCTTGCAGGGAGTGGAGATCACGCCACTGCACTCCAGCCTGGGCAACAGAGTAAGACTCCATCTCAAAAAAAAAAAAAAAAAAAAAGAAGGATTTAAACATAAGACCTAAAACCATAAAAACCATAGAAGAAAACCTAGGCAATACCATTCAGGACATAGGCATGAGCAAAGACTTCATGATTAGAACACCAAAAGCAATTGCAACAAAAGCCAATTGACAAATGGGATCTAATTAAACTGAAGAGCTTCTGCACAGCAAAAGAAACTATTGTCAGAGTGAACAGGCAACCTACAGAATAGGAGAAAATTTTTTCAATCTATCCATCTGACAAAGGGCTAATATCCAGAATCTACAAGGAATTTAAACAAATTTGCAAGAAAAAAAAACCCATCAAAAAGTGGGCAAAAGATATGAACAGACACATCTCAGAAGAAGACATTTATGTGGCCAACAAACATGAAAAAAAGCTCATCATCACTGGTCATTAGAGAAATGCAAATTGAAACCACAATGAGATACCATCTCATGCCAGTTAGAATGGCGATTATTAAAAAGTCAGGAAACAACAGATGCTGGAGAGGATGTGGAGAAATAGGAATGCTTTTACACTGTTGGTGGGAGTGTCAGTTAGTTCAACCATTGTGGAAGACAGTGTGGCAATTCCTCAAGGATCTGGAACCAGAAATACCATTTGACCCAGCAATCCCATTACTGGGTATATACCTAAAGGATTAGAAATCATTCTATTGTAAAGACACATGCACATGTATGTTTATTGCAGCACTATTCACAATAGCAAAGACTTGGAACCAACCCTAATGCCCACCAATGATAGACTGGGTAAAAAAATGTGGCACGTATACACCATGGAATACTATGCAGCCATAAAAAAGAATGAGTTCATGTCTTTTGCAGGGACATGGATGAAGCTGGAAGCCATCATTCTCAGCAAACTAACACAGGAACAGAAAACCAAACACTGCATGTTCTCACTCATAAGTGGGAGTTGAACAATGAGAACACATGGACACAGGGAGGGGAATGTCACACACCAGGGCCTGTCAGGAGGTGGGGGGCAAGGGGAGGGATAACATTAGGAAAAATACCTAATATAGATGACGGGTTAATGGGTGCAGCAAACCACCATGGCACATGTACACCTACGTAATAAACCTCCATGTTCTTCACATGTATCCCAGAACGTAAAGTAAAATTTAAAAAAGAAAGAAAGAAAGAAAAGGATGTTCACGACAAACCAGAAAGTCCAAGCATGTCATGAATAGTCTGTGTAAGTCACAATAAGAGGATTTATTTAAAAAAACTTTTATATGATAAAGTTGTCTATAATTAAAGGGAAATTATAATGGTCTTTCTAGAGATTGGGTTGATGTTAAAAAACTACTTATATATTAAAAAATTGGTTAGAACAATGAAATTTTCTTACGGGGTTGATTCACTCTTAATAAATTATAAGAGACTTAAGAATTTTTTTTTAACCCAAAGTTCAGCTTTTATTGCATCTTGCTGTTTTAGGTTTTCTCTCCCCTTTAAAAGGGTGGGAAATAGTAATGCCCTCCTTCAACTCCCTTCAGCTCATATACGTTTTTTACCCTCAGATTCTGTTTGTTGTGTCCTGATGCTAACAATGTTTTCTTAAAGGTCTAAAGGAAATGTTTTCTTCCAACATAATATTCTGTGCATTGCAGAAGGTCTTTTCTTTTGCCTTTTGGTAACTGGCTTAACAGATTTTATGTTTTATTGAAATAATTTCTATGCCATTATTATTAAGTTTTGGTTTGCTTAGAAAACACTGAGATTAATACAATTTTTTAAAAATTATGATTATTACATCCATATATCTTTATGTATGTGCTTTTAAAGTCCTTGTGACATTGAGTTATAGGGCTTGACTCCTGGGTCTTAAAAGGACAAGTCCTGCTAAATCTTAAATACTGACAGCAATTAAAGGCTCATCTTCAGGACTGGTAGAAAATGCCAATCAAAATAAACTGCATTCTTGAAACACAGAGCCAGAAATTAAAGCTATTCAACTCAAGGCCCAGGAACTATAGTGGAAGAGGTGGGTGTGTGAGATTGTAAGGGCCAATTTTGAGAGATAAAATAAGTTCAATTTCTCTATAAATTAATCATAATCATTGATGTCCAAGCCACACTGATGCAAGATCAGCATATGGGTCCTGTGTCAGATTAACAAGGTTTTCTTGAAGCATTAACCTACTCCTTAATAAAGGTTATAGAGGTTATAAAAGGCTTCTGGAAGTTATAGCTATGGTCAAGATAAAAATTTCATAGATTGTTAATACAATTTTGGAAAACAAATTTAATTGGCTTCATGCTGTTTTTATTAGGGCTTATTGTTTGGAAAATTAAGTCTCGTCTCTCAAAGAATGAAGGCTTTCACCTTTTTTTTTTTTTTTTTTAATCCTTGAGTTATCACTTTGGTCAAATGAATGACTTATTTTACAATGACCTTTCATCAAGTGTTTTAAACCTTTCAAATTTGACAAACTTTCCAAAATCAAACTACAAATTATGTCTTTTTATGACCTAATGAATCCTTTAAGATACTAGGTTCCCTAAAGTCCAAAAAAAAAAAAAAGTAACATAATGTGGCTTATTTGGTATAAAAATTTTACAGGAAGCATTGTCAAATATGAAATAGTGTTTGGTTTTGTTTGGGCTGTATTTGTATAAATATGTTATTGGTATGTGTTCCAAAATTATAGGAAACTCCTATAATTCTGATATGACTTGGTGTACATTATCAGTAATAATTATAATTGTTATGGTAAATTATTGTGTGCCATGGAGGTAACAAATTTCCTCATCAAGTGTGTCTTTGACTATGGTTGCCCTAAAACTTTTTGCCATTCACAGACAATTGTCTTGCTTTGGTCCTCTTTAGAAGGTGGTTTTATAATCAGCTATAAAACTCTAACGGGTGCTCTTGAATGCAGGCTTAAGATAGCTTTGGAGACTGTGACATCAGAATAGAGGAAAAACTTTCAGTATTCATGGAGTGCTGAAATATTCATGAATATCAAGCAAAACAGGAATTAACTTCATAGATGGAACTAAAAGAATGCTGAAGTAATCTTTTTGACTTTTTTTCTTAAAATGTTGATCCTTCGTTTTGTTTTTCAGAGTCAAGGAAATTTTTCTGTTGAGATATTGACAGCTTTTAACAATTAAGTATACTCCAGTGAACACAATTTGGAGCATATTTGTTTCTCTCTATATATATTTGGAAACAATTTTTGAGTATTCTTAACTTATGGCAATATATTTACATAAGTACAATAAGAATCTATTTTCATTTGTAACAGAACACAGTTGGACAAACTGTTTATTTTACCAAGGCTTTGACTGCAATGCTGTCTTTACTTTAAGGAATCAAACTTGACTTATGGAGCCAATAAAAGCCCCTTAGGAAAACTGGCCTAATATCTTGTCTACCCAGTCCCCGTACAGGGTTCCTGACCTGTGGTAATTAAAGAATGTCACTCTGACAGGCCCAGGAGCCCAAAGTTTATCTTGGAATCTCAAGAGGAGAGGAATTCACCCAACTCATAGGTATTTTGATGGTACAAATCCATGGCTGGGCTCAGCTTTACAAAAGTCTTATTTGAGATTCCTTCTATGGAACAAAGTTACATCAAAGCCAATTTAAAAGTCCGTCAAAAACTAGTTATTCTTGCTGCACTGTATACAAATAAACAGCTCAAGTATAATAAAGAAAATCAGTCCTACCATGATTTGTCTAGTAAAAATGGGAAACTGGAGAGAGAAAAATTGTTTCATAAAACTATAGTACACTTGTTGGTAGATTCTAGTCTTGCTTAATGTTTTTCAATTTTTATTATTTTCTACAGTTTGGACTGAATTCTAATTTTTCTTGGCTATAGGTCTTTAAAATAATGTTTTCAATTTTTTTTCTTCTTTTCCACCCCAAGTTTTCCTAATTGAGAGTCACTGAAAACTAAGCTATGCTTTTGTAAAGCCCTCCAAACTGAAGCTAGACAACTTAAACTTCAGAAGAAAACAACAGCAACCTATTTACATACATAAGCCACTTTCGTATGTGCCTACTGATGTATAGACTTCAGAGGAATGTGGCCTATATCAATTTTACAGATTGTTCTTTTGTTTATTGTTGTTTTCCTCCCTTCCTCCCCCTATTTTCTCTTCACAGGACATGAAACTTCACAACCTGCTAAAAATGAACTTTCCTAATAACTCAGAACCTACCTGTCTAGGAATAAACCATCCTAGCCTTGAGCAATCAGATGAAACCTGGGACCAGAGACTCATTTTCTTCTAAAATGCTTTCTCTAAAAGATTTTTAAAAAGAAAAGGGGGGAAATGTGAAAGGAAAATAAATCTTGGGGCCTCCAAATCACAAAGCTAAAGGAAAAAGTCAAGCTGGGAACTTCTTAGGGCAAACCTGCCTGTCTTTCTATTCAAAGTCATCCCTCTGCTCACTGAGATAATTGCACATCTGATTGCCTCCTTTGGAAAGGATAATCAGAAACTCAAAGAATGCAACTGTTTGTCTCTCACCTACCTGTGACATGGAAGCCCCCTCCCTGCTTCAAGTTGTCCTGCCTTTCTAGGCAGAACCAGTGTACATCTTACATATATTGATTGATGACTTACGTCTCCCTAAAATATATAAAACCAAGCTGTGCTCTTACCACCTTGGGCACATGTGGTCAGGACCTCCTGATGCTCTTGTCGTGAGTGGGTGGGTGTTCTCAACCTTGGAAAAATAAACTTTCTAAATTAACTGAGACCTGGGTCAGATTTTTGGGGTTCACAGCAACAATTTAAAAAACTCACCATTGACCTGAAATTTTGACCTTATGCTGTTCCTCACACTCAGCCATGAAAATAGACACCATCCTATGAGCTCCCTCAGCCATGTCCTGCCACACTTCCAACATGTGTCCCCATCCACCATCTGTTTTCTTATTGCTGCATCCTACCCAGGCCCTGATCTCTGGACCCATTGTTGTATAATTAAGAATTTGGGGCTGGGCATGGTGGCTGTGGCTCACTCCTGTAATCTCAGCATTTTGGGAGGCTGTATTAGTCAGGATTCTCAAGAGGGATAGAACCAATAGGATATATATATATGATACATATATATATATATACCTGTATATAATAGGATATTATATATCTGTATATAATAGGATATTATATATCTGTATATAATATACAATAGGATATATATATATGTCTGATACATATATATATATCTGAGTTTATTAAGGAATATTGACTCACATGATCACAAGTTAAAGTCCCACAATTGGCCATCTGCAAGCTGAGGAGCAAGGAAGCCAGTCTGAGTCCCAAAACCTCAAAAACAGGGAAGCCAACACTGCAGTCTTCAATCTGTGGTTGAAGGTCCAAGAGTCCAAAAACTGAAGAACTTGGAGGCTGATGTTCGAGGGTAGGAAGCATTCAGCATGAGAGAAAGATGTAGGCTGGAAGACTAAGCCAGTCTAGTGTTTCCCTGTTCTTCTGCCTCCTTTTATTCTGACCACACTGGCAGCTGATTAGATTGTGTTTACCTGGATTGAGGGTGGGTCTCCCAGTCCACTGGGAAAGGGTGGACTTTCCCAGTCCACTGACTCAAATGTAATCTCCTTTGGCAACACCCTCACAGACACACCCAAAAATAATACTTTGTATCCTTCAATCCAATCAAGTTGACACTCAGTATTAACCATCACAGAGGCCAGGGCAGAATGATTGCTTGAACCCAGGAGTTTGAGACCAACCTTGGCAACACAGGGCGATCCCATCCCTACAAAAAAAAAAAGTTTAAAAATCAGCCAGGATAATTAGCCATTTTCTGTGGTCCCAGATACTTGGAAGGTTAAGGTGGAAAGGTCACTTAAGCCTGGGAAGTTGAAGCTGCATTGAGCTGTGATCTGTCGTTGCACTCTAGCCTGGGCAACACAGCAAGACCCTGTCTCCAAAAAAAAAAAAAAAAAAAAGAATTTGATCTATGTCCCAGGTTCCTGACATGGAGCTTCTAAAACTGTTGGAATTTTCTGAGTAATATAAGTGTCTTTGTTATGTTAATGAGCTAACTCATGGCAGGGCCTGTAGATAGCTTCAGGATGGGGTCTAGTCCCTGAAAAGACCAAAAAGGTAATTAGAGTTGGGGCTTTGAGCCACATGATATTAGCCAACCCTTCAGACCTCTAGGGAGAAGAGGGACACTGGAGATTGAGTTCAAGTACATGGCCAATGATTTAATCAATGATACCTATGTAATGAATCCTCCCTAAAATCTCTGGACATTGGAGCTCAGAGGAACTTCCTGGTTGATGAGCACTTGATGTGCTGGGAGGGTGGTGCATCCTGATTCCTTGAAGGTAGGACGCAGAAGCTCTGTTTTTTACTAGTCCTCTCTCTATGTGTCTCCTCATTTGGCTAGTCCTTCTGATTTGTATCCTTTATAATAAAATTGTAATAATAATGATAGCATTTTCTTGAGTTCTATGAGTTGTTATACCCAGTTATTGAATCTGAGAGAATTGTGGGAATTTTTGAACTTATGGCAGTCATTCAAAAAACATGAGTGGCTTGGGGACCCCTGAAGTGTGCCTGGCATCTGACGTAGAAGCAGTCTTGTTGGGGACCATGCTCTTTAACTTGTAGAGTCTACACAAACTCTGGGTGGTTAGTACTGGAATTGAATTGCAATACATCTGGCTGGGGTTTAAACAGAAGGCCCGTGTTCTCAGGGACCTTGCTCTTTTGTGCTCTGTCTCTGTCTCTCTCTCTGTCCCTATCTCTATCTCTGTCTGTCTCTCCTTTAACTTTGTACTCTACTTGTTTCTCCTCACCAGACCCACTCAAGTCTTGCTTATCTAAAGCAAAACAAAATAGTGAAGGCCGTAACTCCTTCATTAGTATTCTCCTCACCTTCTGCTTTGTTTCTCTTGAAAGAGTGCCTTCACTTACTTCTCCTCCCACTCATCAGCCCTCAACAATTTTGCTTCTTCCTACTACTTAAGCAAAACTTCTTTCATAAAAGTTATTCTTATTCACATAGTCAATGAATAATTCTAAGCTTAAAAAAAAAATCCGTGAGTTTCTCTGCAGCATTTCATACTATTTGACAATTTTCTTTCCTTCTTGAACTACAACCCCCTCCCACCCCAGTTTCTGTAATACTGCACCGGGATTCCTTTGTCTATTCCTCTCTCAGTCTCCTGTATAATCTTCTTTTGTCTACCCCTTCTAAACTGCACGTATTGTCCATTCCCCACCCTCCTCCTCGATTCCTAGTCCATGAATGTCTTACCATCCACCCAGATACCTGGGCGTGTCACCTTGAGTATGTCTTCTCACTCACCACTCTAACCCCACATCTGATCACTCATTGTATTTGATTCCTTCTGCCTCCCACATGCCTTGTGTCTCTGTGCATTTATATCCTCTGCCTCTGTGATTGCCACAGTCCACACAAAAACAGCTTACTTCCTCAACAGTCTCTCTGCTTCAAGTTTTGTGACCCTCCTACCTGTTCTTCATCTCACAGCCAGGGTGATATTTCCAAAACAGACGCAATCATGTAGAGCCCGAGTCCTGGCCCATGGCAGGTGCCAGTGACCTTTTACTGCATGCTTGAATGAATATTATATCCCTGCTTAAAACCCCCAATAGTCTCCCACGGCTCTTTGCATCCAAGCTCTTTGACACAATTTCAGGTTCTCCTGACTTGGCCGTTGCACGCTTCTTTCACTGGCCTTGAATAGGTCATGCTTATCCTTCCTCTATCTGAAACACCCTCCTTCCCTTCAGCTGGGTAACTGGAACTTATCCCTTTGATGTCAGCTTTCATAGGCTTTTTCCTGCCCTATCTGCTATATGGTTGCAGGTCACTTCCTGCTCCACCTATTGTATATTTATTACATTTTATTGCAATTGTTTGTAGTACAGATTTACACACCCACCATCAGTATCTCAGCAGCCACGTCAGTGCACACGTCTGGTAACACTTGGTGAGGTCAGACTTGCAAAGTGTTGACACTGTATTTGGTATAAAATCGTATCTTATTGTGGCTTAATTTTCACTTCTATAATTTTTAATGAGGTTGGGCATTTAAAAAAATGTTTCCTAGCCATTTGTATTTACTCTTAAAAAATATATGTTAGAAAACTGAGAGAATGTATTTATTCTTTTATGAAATGTATATACTTTTTCCTGCTGGGCTATTTTTTTCTTATTTATTTGTAGGAGTTTTTGTTTTTGTTTTCGTTTTTTTGACAGTCTTACTCTGTCACCGAGGCTTACAGTGATGTGAGCTCAGCTCACTGCAACTTCTGTTTTCTGGGCTCAAGTGATTCTCCTGCCTCAGTTTCCTGAGTAGCTGGGATTACAGGCACCCGCCACCATGCCTGGCTAATTTTTGTATTTTTAGTAGAGACGGAGTTTTGCCATGTTGGCCAGGCTGGTCTTGAACTCCTGACCTCATGTGATCCGCTGGCCTCCCAAAGTGCTGAGATTCCAGCGTGCGCGGCCATACCCGGCCGGGAGTTCTTTATATATTCTGAAAACTAATCCTTTGTGAGACATAAGTGTTGTAAATATTGTATCCCAGTTTGTGGCATGTATTTTTAATTTTTAATGGTGTCTCTCAATGAAAAAAGCTTAACACTTAAATGAGGTCAAATTGATCACCTTTTTATTTATGGTTGATTCCTTTGGTGTCATGTGTAAGGAATGTTGTTCCTTCCTGTCCCAAAGTTGCAAAGATTTCTTGTGTATTTTGTCCTAAAAGTTTTAAAGTTTTGCTTTTCCCATCTGTGCACATTTCACATTTGCTACATCTCACTGACTGCTTCCTCTGCTGCAGAGCAAGCTCCATGAGAGCAGGAGGCATGGGTCCTGCTTCTTGTTGGTCCCCAGAGCCCTATGTCATGACTAGGACCTGGCAGGGGACTAGTGAGTAGCTCCTGACTAACTGACTCAATGAATGAATGATTGGATGATTGAACAAAGTGGTATGGGAGTTCACAGCGAGTAAGAGATGCCTTAGAAGAGATGAAGAAGGAGATGGTATAGGGTAGTGGTTCTCAATTCTGGGTCCATGGTGGACTCACCTGGGGACCCTTAAAATGTACCGTGGAGGATCCCAGCCCAAGAGATTCTGTATGACTGGTCTAAGATGTGGTCTGGGCACCAGGTGATCCCAGTGTGCAGCCAGGCCTGAGGCCACTGGATTTGGTGGTAAATGAGGTAGCTATCAAGGGTACAGACGTTGGTTGCCAACAGGCTTGGGCTTGAATTTAAGCTTTGTCACTGACTTGCTGTGTCCTCCTGCACTCGTTGAGCCTGTTTTCTCACCTGAGAGATGGGTGTGATAACACCTACCTGCTGTAGTTGTTGTGAGAGTTAGAGGAGATAAGCATGTTCCTGGAATGAAGTGTGTTCTTAATCCATCATAGGTTTTTTGCTTGTTTGTTTGTTTGTTTGTTTGTTTTTTCCTTTTCAAGAATGAGGTTGAGCCAGACTTTGACAGCTGGGTGGGAAGTGAACATGTGGTGATTGGGAGAGAAGGGCAGTTTATGTGAAGGGAATGTAATAATTAGAGAGTGGGCGTGGGAAGACATGCTGGGGAGAGTGAGCAGGCCGGTTAGCCCTGGTAGAGGGTGCAAGAGAGCAGTGCGGAATCTGCCAGGGAGACAGGTGGGTGACCAGGGTGCCAAGGGTGTGGCTTTTCCCAGGTTCCCATGGACACAGCCATCCTCCCAGATGCCCAGCCTAGCTGTGAGTGAGCAAGAGTTCTGGATTGTCTCTCTCACTCTGTCTTTTTCTCTCATTCCAGAAACAAAGCAGTGACTGGTACTTAGGAGGAGAATCAGGTCAAGTTGGGAGAAACTTGCTTCTGCTCAGGGGAGCAGAAGCAAGAATGGAGGCCCCACCCATGCTGGAAGATGATGAGGGTTTTGGTTCAGGGAGGAGGAATATTGGGGATCTAAAGGGGCCTGGGAGTGGGGCAGGACCCTGCCTTAGGACAGGTAGAAACATTTTCTATAAAAAATGGGGTGGAGGTTGATGGTAGGACCAGGCATCTTTAGTTGGCTCCCTGGAGTGTCAAGCCCTTGAGATGGTCTTTAAAAGCCATGCAGTGGGGTTTGAATCTGGTGTTCAAGCTCATAGGTTATTAACATAATGACACTTGGAAACTATTTGGGAGAGCTCAAGTGAGTGGCCTGGAAGTTCTGTGTTGGTGCAGGAGGTGACTTAGGATGTGCTGCTCCAGACTCATATCTTTGACTGCACACCTGATGCTTCATCTGGCTATCCTGTAAGCACCTTCAACTTAACATGTCCTACACAGAACTCTTGATATTCCTGTTCCTCCCCCAGTTCCTCAGTTCTTACCAAATGTTCTTCCAGTTACCCAATTGCTCAAGTAAAAAATCTAAGTCCTTCTCTTGGATTTCTGCCTGTTCCCTCAACATCCCACCTATCCATGAGTGTTCTGTGGGCCCTGCCTCTGAAATAAATCCTGCCTTTGTCTCCCAGTTCACTCCAGCCACCCATCCTGGGGCTGCACCCTCCTCCTTCCAAGCCCTCTCCCTTTCCTTCCTGGTGCTGCCTGTCATGTCAAGCATATGCATCAGTGCGACCAGGACATTTGAAATGCAACCAGTACAATTGGGCGCGGTTATGCCTACCAGTTTTTCTTCCTTAAACATTTTATATTTATGTTTGAAAGCATGCCACCTTTCTTCACTTGCCAACTTGACAGATTTATTAGTTGACAACATCCGCTGATAGCATCAGTAATAAGTTAATTGTTTTTGCACATGTAGCTTTAATTATTCTCATTATCATTTATAGGAGTTATTCTTTGTAAAGGGTAACTGAGTTTTCCAAAACAAACAGAAATTTGGGGTGTGCCCATGGAGCGTGACTCATGAAATCAGATTCTTAGAAGGACCTCGGCAAGTCTCTGGGTTGCTGTTAATGAGCCTGGCTGGCTGCCAGGGGTGTGTCTGCCCTTTATGAGGCCACGACTGTTCAAATGCTTGCCTGCAGCATTACTTGCCTAGGTAGTGCTTGTTTCTACTGAACTGTCAGGGATCCAATTCTTTGTGGTCTAAGTAACAATACTCAGATTCACAAGGAATTGATTAATAAGCCAGAATGCCAATGTATTACATTTTTGATGAAGACCATATTTACAGTGATTGTATCTGCTCAAGCTCAAATTAGGATTAGAGTTCTGACAAATACATATGTGAGAAGTATGAGGTTAAATACTTGAAATTTGGACTTTTCTAGAAAATCTGAATGTGATTGCCATTCACATACCTTTCTGGGGATGATGATTCTTGTACTTTTATTTTAAAAGACATAGAAAACTAACTTAAGAATCAGATTGCTTGGCTGGGCACAGTGGCTCATGCCTGTAATGCCAGCACTTTGGGAGGCCAAGGTGAGTGGATTGCTCGAGCTCAGGAGTTTGAGATCAGCCTGGGCAACATGGTGAAATCCCATCTCTACCAAAAATACAAAAAAAAAAAAAAAAACAACCAAAAAGAATAAATTAGCTAGGTGTGATGGTGCGTGCTTGTAGTTCCAGCTACTTGGGAGGATGAGGTGGAAGAATTGCTTGAGCCCAGGAGGCGGAGGTTTCAGTGAGCTGGGGTTGCAACAGTGTACTCCAGCCTGGGCGATAGAGTGAGACTCCGTCTCAAAAAAAAAAAAATCAGATTGCTTTATTGCTGGTTTTCTTTCTAAAACTGAGATTGGGTCCCATCATCCCCTGGCCCCCATTGGTTAATGGTTCCTCCTTTGTCTATTGAATAAAATACAGATGTCTGCTTTTGGCAACATGGTTGAATGTAGACACTGCAGGGTCTTCCTTACTCAAAATGAGTAAGGCTTAGATAAAACACATTTTGAAATGCATTTCTGGATGAACAGCAAGGAAAGGAGATCTCTTAAAATCCTCTTTCTGTCCCCCTCTCCCTACCCCCTCCAAGTGGGCTTAAGTAGGAAGGGTGGTGAGCGGCAGGTAAACACACGTCAAAGGCAGTCTTCCTCTCTGAGGGAAAACACTTGTATAAGCATTGCAATCAATGGGCCTCTTTAATTATGTGCCAGTGGCAAGAGCGGGTGCTGAACCCAGGGGCCTGCCTCAATCCGGGGCCTTTGAGGCAGAATAAAGTGGTCTCAGGTTGTTGGCATTTCCTTGCCCTTCCACCCGAAGCAGACACAAATCCTCTCTGGAGGCAAGTTCCCCAATTCAGCCAGTACAACTCCCACAGACTAAGATCAATCATGTACAAGCTCACAGACAAAGGTCACCAAACACACAGAGCAATAAACAAATTCATGAGTGACGTGAATGAGAATAAACAGAAACAATAACCACCAGCTGGGATGCTCTAAGTCTTCAGCTGTTAGAATTCCTGAATATAGAATAAAACTGCCACAATGGCAAACATGCATCTAGTACTTACTGTGTGCTGGGTTCTAAGAATTTTGCACATTGTGCCAGATACCGACTCAGCTTCACACTCACCCTCCTACTGTGCCCTCTTAATTTGCACTAGATTAAAAGGTAGAAAGGAAGAGGCAGCTATTCTGTTCTTGGCTGTGCCTCTGGCAGCACATGCAAAATGGGCAGTAACAGTGGCAGTCACAGGTAAGTAGCCTTCTCACAGTGTGGAGTTAAAGGCATGGGACTGAGACGAGCAAGGTTCCTAAAGGGACAGTGGCCAGTAGATGACCAGGGGCTACTGGAGTGGCTGCATGGCTCTGTGGAAGCTCAGAGGAGCCTTGGGTCCTGCAGGTGCAGTAGCAGCTTTCTGTAGTTCCTGATCTCTGGGTCCCACAATCTTCCCCGTTTTTGCTCCTCCACTTCTAATTTTGTAACTGACTTCCCTGTGTGTACTTCTCTCTCTGATTGAAATAGCCAGACTGGTTTCTGTTTCCTGATAAGACATTGTCTGGTACGAACACAGTAACTCATTTAATCCGATATCTCTATGAAGGAGGTACAATAATTATTCCTATTTTACAGATGAGGAAACACAGCAGAGAAATAAAGTCAATTGTCTAAGGTTGCACATTTAGTCAAGGGAAGGGTTGATATAACATATAATTATTTAGAAAACATCTAAGGAAATAAAAGGCATAATTTAAAAATAAAACTAGGCAGGTTTAAAAAAATGAAGTAATCTATAAGTAAAAAAGTATAATTGTTGAAATACATATCTTAGTGGATGGGTTAAATAGCTGAAGAAATGATTAATGAACTGGAAGGTAGTTCTGAGGAAATCAGAATTCAGCATAGATAGAAAAAATGGGAATTTACAAAAGTACACAGGAATTATAAAAGAGGTTAAATTATAGGGAGGGTAGAATGAGAATTAACATTGGTCTAACTGGAATTTTGGAAGAAGAGAATAGAGAGAATGAACAAGGCAATATTTAAAGAGGTGGCTGAGAATTTTTCAGAACCAACACAAACTATGACTTTACCAGTAGAGAAAACAATGTACACTGAGGAGGATAAATAAATATACTATGAACAAATTGTAATAATAATACTCAACAAAGACAAAGAGAAGATCTTAAAATCAGCAAAAAAAGAAAGTCAGACTTAGAAAGAAATGACAATGGCAGACTACTCAACAACAACAATGGAAACCAAATTCAGTGAAACAGTATTTTCAAAATGCGTATTTAATCTATCTTTGAAGAATAAGGGTGAAAAGGGTGAAAATTGCTGCCTTATACAAAATATCAACATTAACAAAAAGTAATGAAGGTAATATAAAAATGTTTTCAAATAAACAAAACTGAGAGAGTTTACCACCAACAAGCATTCATTAAATGGACTTTTAAATGCAGTTTTTAGGAAGAAGGAAAACAATTCCTAAGGAAGGTCTGAGATGCAAAAAGGAATTATGAACAAAGAAATTGTTAAAATTATAGGTGAATTAAAAAAACTGCCTGCATAAATGATAATAATGACAATGATGCTATTAATAATGAGTTGATAAGGATAAAGAAAAGGACAGAATTAAAATACTAGAAAACAAGCATGCTGGAAAGGATTCAGGAATTACTTGAAGGTTAAAGTTCTAGGGTCCTTCTATCCTTCTAGAGGGGAGTCAATATATTAATTTTTGACCGTCACTTACACAGTGAAAAACTTTAAGGATAACCATAAAAAAATAGAAATAGAGAGTATAACTTCTGAAACAGTCAAGGGAAAAATATGGAATAAGAAAACTGACCAAAAAACATCTCAGTCAATCAAAAAAAAAAAAAAAGAAAGAAAAGGTTCGGAAGGAGAAAATCAAAGCATAGAAAAAGCGGGACAAATAGAAGTGGAAAAGAAAAAGGTAGAAGAAACAGGTCCAGAAATATCACTGATGCACTAAATCACCATTAAAAGATGAAAACAAATGAACAACATCAAAAAATTCTAGTGACTGTAGTAGTGCTGATCAGAATAGGCTCTAAGATAAGATGCATTATTGTGAGTCAACTTGTGATGATGAAAGGTTTAATTCACCAGAAAGACACAATTATAAACTTGTAATCAAATAGTTTTATTTTATTTACTTTATTTATTTATTTTTTTTGAGACAGGATCTTGTTCTGTTGCTCAGGCTGGAGTGCAGTGGCTTGATCTCAGCTCACTGCAGCCTCCACCTCTTGAGGCTCAAGCTTTCTTCCTGCCTTAGCCTCATGAGTAGCTGGGTCCACAGGCACACACCACCAAGCCCTGCTAATTTTTGTATTTTTTGTAGAGATGGGGTTTCACCATGTTACCAGGCTGGTCTCAAACTCCTGGGCTCAAGCGATCTGCCCCCCTCGGCTTCCCAAAGTGTTGGGATTATAGGCGTGAGCCACGGTGCCTGGCCTCAAATAACTATTTAAGTGAAACAAAACTAGTATGGCACTAATGAAAAATGTATAAATCCATAATCGCAGAGGGATTTCAACTTACTTCTTTCGATTATGTAAAGGTCAAACAGACAAAAGACAATGACAAAACTTAATGCAATGAACACTTTTGATTTAATGAACATATATTGGATATGTACCCAAGAATTAGAGAATACATACTAGTTTTGAGTTTATGCAGAACATTTACAAAAATTTAGTGGAAGCCTAAATTATAAAAAGTTGCTGTCACGTAGAATAACACACAAACCCCTGAGTCCGGAATTCAAAGCCCTCCACACTCTCCTCTACCTTTGCATCTTTATCCTCCACCACACTGCAGTGCATACTCTGGGCTACTACTCACTGTTCTTGATTCAAATTCCATGTTCTGTCAGCTCAAATCATTCTCTCTGCCTGGAATAACTACTTCATACATATTCTGCTATTGAATTCTTGTCTTAGCACCCCATCTACTCCAAGACGATGTCCAGTTGGGGTTACTCCCTGTCCCATTTTCTTTGATTACACTTTTTTTTTCTACTTCCATTATATTATTGATCACATCTGTGCCACAGTTTTTGACTTTGTGTCTGCTTTTACTCTTTTCTAGACCCTGAGAGCTCCTGAAGGGTTGGGTCATTTCTTTTTTATTTGCTCATTCCTCATGGCACAGTGAGTGCTTAATAAATGGCTATTGACTGAAATTAAACTGTATCTAAATGGACATATTCCACTTCTGGGCCATTCATTCTTTCTTTCTATTGGAACCAGGAGATGGGGAACCATAACAAAGGTAAGGTTGTGCCATGTGAAAGAACATGGAACCTTCCCCTGAGGGCCAAAAAAGAGCAGGGAAAGGTGCAAAGACAAAATCTTCCATTTTTAAACAATGTAAGAATGTGGTCCACCTCATGCTCAGGTGGGACTTTATCATGACGTTATTTTTGGGGACTTATAGCTGCATCATTTACCCCATATACATTTACCTTTAGTGTAGGGAACTGAGGACAGGAATTTTGTTGATGCAGACTCTTGCTAATGAGGCTAACACTTGGAGAATTTTTATCATGCATTCAAGAAGCTTGTTTTACATTTCTTCATTAATACTTTAGTTGGTGGTTTAGCTTTAGTTGTAGGCTTATCAGATATTTGGAGATATCTTCATAAACGATGGCTTTGGTTTTAGAAGAGTTATTCTGAAGCTACTATTTCTGGCAATAATCAAACAGCATGGCCATTTGTTTTGTAAGGCCTTTCCTAGAATATGACGGTAAAATCTACGTGTGGAAAAATGCTTATTCTTCTGTCCTCTATAAATGTGAATCTAGTTTGTCTTCAAAATGAAATCAAGTGATTAAAATGTAGTTTTCTAAGAAGATAAATGGAGCAAAGCACTCTGTGTTTCACAGTGTTGGAAATCACTCATCCCTCATAAAACTGTCCCAACTGATCCTGACTCACATGAATGAATTAAAATAAGAGTTAATAACATCAATTTACATTTTTAAAGACACTTTCCCATGTTTTAGACTATTGGTTGGAAAAGCTGGTAGGTGTACAATTTGTGGAGAGTTGGCTGTTTTTGTCTGTCGTTGTTTGACGTATTTCAAAGCCATATCTAATTTTGTTGCAGAATGGTCTGAATTCTACAAAAATGTTGAGTTGTGTAGTGTGGAGAAGTACGGAGCCATTTACTGAAAGGCTGGGGGGAAATGACGAGACCCTGAGATAAGGCAGTAGTGGTGCGAACAGAGTGGAAGGGAGGTAGTTGAGATATGTTCAGAGTAGAATCAGAATGGACATAGTGAACAACTGGATGCAGGTGGGGGCTGAGGAAGCAAAGTTGAGGATAATTCTGAGACTTCTAGGTTGATCCACTGAAGTTACATTATTCAACACCACAAGGAAACTAGGGGAATGAGAAGGCATACTGGTTTGCTTTGGAGTGGAAGGGCAGTGATGTAAGAGGAGTTAATGAGTTAAAGTTTGGATATGCCTGAACTTCAATTTGATATGTGCATCTGATATACCCTTGGGGTGACCCTCCAGGCAATGGTTGAACATGTGTATTTCTTAGTAACTGATAGGCATCACAGACTCACATCAGTAAGGAAGCAACAGCAAACTTGATTGGACGATATACCTGGAACTCAGTACCCTATGACTGGAGCAAGTCTCTGTCAGTGAAATGAGGATAAGAAGAATCTTGACCTTGTGGAATATGTTGTTAGGAATATATGTGATGAACAACATAGGATACTTCCTACAGGGCTCCACATGTAGTAAGGGCTTTATAAATGCTTGATAAATATTATTGTTGTAATTTATTTCCAAAGTAAGATGCCACTGGAGGAATCTTTGGAACCCAAATTAATAACAAATAGGACTGGATGCAATGGCTCACACCTGTAATCCCAGCACTTTGGAAGGCCAAGGCAGGAGGATCTCTTGAGCCCAGAAATTCAAGACCAGCCTGGGTGACACAGGGAGACCTTGTATCTATGAAGAATTAAAAAAAATTAACCAGATGTGGTGGTGCACGCCTATAGTCCCTGCTGCTTGAGAGGCTGAGGTGGGAGGATTGCTTGAGCCCATGAGGTTGAGGCTGCAGTGAGCCATAATTGTGCCACCACACTCCAGACTGGGTGACAGAGTGAGACCCTATCTCAAATAAATAAATAAATAAATAAATAAATAAGTACAAACCAGCAAACACTAATCCTTTCTAGAGATTATTGAACTCTGGAGGGCAGATCTGAATGGAGCCAGCAGAGGGACCTATGGAGATCAGCCTGGCCCTGGACAGCACCAGGCAATGGGGTTGCTAGAGAGGTAATGGGGTTGAACAGGGTTTAAGCCATGAGGTCTCAAGAATCCGTGAAGACTCAGACTAATTTTTTTTTTTTTGCATGAGGATTAGGTGTTCCTAGGAATTTCAATGAGAGCAGGGTTAATGAAGGAATGCAGGGTAGGAGAGCTGAGGGAAGGCATCTGAGAGAGCCTGGCTTATGAATGGCTGCGTCAGTATGGCTCACCTGCTTTCCTTGTATCTACTTAGCAGATGATCCCACCCCAGGCCTCCAGGGCCAAGGTCATTTCCACATAGTCATGGGCCCTTGAGGGCCTGGAGCAGTGTAAGGAAGACAGAGTCTTAAGAAATTGCATTAACAGTCATGGTGCTTGGCAAGTGTCGTCATCCTATGCCAAGCCTGATCTGAAGGGGTGCATGCTCATAGGTAGCTGCTGCCCAAGATTACAGCAGCTTCTTCAATCCCAGATCCATGCTCTCCTATATTCATTTTTCCAGGGGTTCCTGTCCTTCGACAGTGATGAGATGCAGAATGACTTATTGAGTTATTCTCCTGATAGTTGCCAACTTTTCCAAATGACAATGGGGCATGGAGCTTGAGAGTGGAAATGAGGCCCTAGGGATAGCGTGCTTAGGAAAACACTCCCAGCCTGATGTAATTCTGGGGGTACAATGGCATTTTCATCATCAAGACTGATGTAAAGGGTGACTAGCAGTGAGTTGGGGGTGACTCGCACTGGGGCTAGGTTTCTGATTCTGCCTAATCCAGACAGAGCAGAAGCACTAGTGGGCTGGTAGAGGGCCTCCAGGGCCTCACTTAATGTCCTGGAAAAACAGCTCCAGATTGTTGGTTCACGTTCTGAGGACAAGCTTGGGTACTACAGGATAGAGAGAGTGGTGGGAGATGCCGTGGCCTGCCCTGCTGATGCCTGCCCTGCCATTCCTGCGTGTGATGTCTCTGGGGCATCTTGCCTTCCCTGCCCAGACCTGTAGTTCAGCTGAGGGCATGTGGAGGCCAAATGGCTTCTTAGAGTGTTACTTTCCTTGAACAGCTCTGCTGGGAGAACTGGAGGAGCTAGCTAGTCACGGTAACTGCAGCAGTCAAAGGATCGTCCCGGTGGAGGTGGGGTGGAAAGGTAGAGAAAGAGAACATATAGCGTTTTCCTTGGAGATGTGTGGGCATGTCATAGAGGAAATACCCAATTCCTGAGCCTTGAGCCCTCCAGGAAACCTTGGAATATTAGGTTAGTCATCCCCAAGGAAGTCTAAGAATTCTGGTCTCACCCATCTCCTTTAATTCCCACAATGATCCTACATGATATTAAGGAACACGGGCCAGTAACCCTCCAAGCAATGGATGTGGTGGTGAAGTTTGACCTCATGATGGAGCGGAGGTTGGTTTGAAACCTAAGAATTTAATTTATTGTTTCAAACTGTTCTCCACTCAGCGTTATTAAAGCATACATAATTGACACATAAAAATTGTATATGTCTACGGTGTACAATGTGATGTTTCGATCTATGTATACATTGTGAAATGATTACAACAAGCTAAATAACATACCCATTCATCGTGTTTCAAAGGAATTAAACTCAAGCACAAAAGAGAGGTGCTGTTGAAGAGTAGGGCTGCTCTATCTAAGTAGTATGTCTGGGGTTGTCCTGGATCAGGGTCCTTTTGTGCTAGTAATAAACCAGCCCTTCTGGGGCTGCTCCACTTTCCCCACATTTTCTTCTGGAGCCTCCCTAAGAATTAGGACATGGCCACTTTCTCTGCATAGGCTTCCTACTTCAACAAGGACAGGGCTTGTGCTGCCCCATGCCACTTGAGTGTCCCTACAGCACAGAGCTGAGTGCACACTGGCTGAGTGAGGAAATCCCCCAGATTAATCTTGGTTCTAAGCATCATGGCTGTATTTCACACGTATATGAATTACAAATTACAGCATAGTCGAATAAGGATTTTTGTGCTACAACTGGAATCCCAGATTATGCAAATTGGATAGTATAATATTGAAATTCCTAGGACTTTTTATTAGTTTTAAAAAATTATACAAGCTTAGAGTAAGAAATTAAACAGTGCAAAAGAATTCACTGTGAAAAGTAAAATGCTCTGTCTCTGCTGAGAGACAGATATTGCAGCCCAGATACTACTGGGGTCAATAGTTTCCTTTAAGCATGCCATTTTGATGGTTTATGGGACTTACAGCTCAAGAAGCTTGACACTAGGGTTGATCTCAGAAAATCATTGTTGCAGGTATTAGATATGACCGTCTCATAAAGATACACACACAGACACAGCGATTGGAGATATTCACTGGGGCTTATGGGCTGCTTGTCCTTTCTGCTCTGTGCCTAAGTTGGGCTCAGAGTAGCCTGGCATCGGCTGTGGGGAGAATGCTGGCATGGGGTTAGCAGGAGCCCACTTAACATGTCCTAAGCCACCTGGAAGAGTCCTTCAAGGAGACCAGACTCCAGAGGCCCTAAGGAAGGAAGGACTTTTGCCCGTTTTTAGGTATTCTAGTCCCAGAGTTTAGGGAGGAATGGTTTGGCTTTGGGTCGTGTGCCCCTTTACCGAGTGGGATGGGATGTGCCCATGAGCTGTTGAGCTGGCTCTTGGAGAAGACAGCAAAAGCGGGAATAAGAGGTCAGGAAGCTGTGTGGTTGTAGGAAATCCCAGCAGAGGGCCTGGGGGTCAAAAGTGGTCATGGTAGTGACGGTGGAGGCTGAGGTGGTAGAAAATCAGAGGACAAACCCCATGGGCTGCTGGTGATCTGACCGAGCTCCTATGCTCTCCTGGTTCATTTTAGGCTCTGTAGCAGCAGATGATTGGCTGGTGTGAGAGCAGTGCACCTGCCATATCAGGCAATCCAAGACAAGTCCAAGCTACGCTGGGAGGAAACCTGAAGGCAGCAGCAGGTAGACTGGCTGAAGACAGACAGGCAGGCAACTTGTCAATCAGATTTGTGTTTTTAAGGACTTTTAACTGGGGAGCCCTCCATGACAGATCAGATGAGAGAGGAATCTGGGTCCGCCCATGTGTCAAGCTACCAGAGGGTCCCATCGGTGCTTGGATCTTCTTTGAAGCTGGGTCTGAGGTTTGCAGGTAGAGGGTGAGCTGGTCAGAGGGACCTATTGCAGAGCTAACCAACACCTTCCCAGGAATGCAAGCACAAGCACCCCACCGCGGGCAGGCGGGCAGGCACTTCTCCTTTTGCCACCAGGACCTCACAGAGGCTGATCTGGCTCTGTGAGGTGGGAAAATGGGTTGTACTTAGTACATAGAGATAAAAGGCTTAGGAGGCCCCTCCATCCTGTGACCCTGTCCCCAGACCACAGGTGCCGGCAGGTGCTGCTATTTCAAGGCTGGGCCTCAGTGCAAGCTTGTGGTTTCTTGCCCACCTGTGATGTCCTCCCACTAATGAAGGGGCTCTCCATCCTCTGTCTGCCTCTAGCAAGTGGAGGCTCTGGGCCCTGGGCAAGACACAGGGGGAAATGCCATCTGTTATCCAAATATATTTCAATGGGACAGGAAAGGGCTCTTTATGTCATCTGACCCCCTTCCCCATTTACTGGCCTTGTACCCAAAGCTGGACGTGCTGTGGTGATGGGGAGTCAAGAGGGGGAAGATTCAGGGGAGAGCCCTGCCAAGGGGGCCCAAACAACAGGCTGACCAGAGCAATGCCTGGCCTTGACTCATGGCCCATGTGTTATATCCTGGGTGTGTTGAATCATCTCTGTTTAATCTTATAAAAAAAAACCCTTTCCTGTGACAGAAAGAGCCCTGGGTTTGTTATTTTCAGTTTATGCAAAGTGGATAAGAGGGGTGAGGAGTTCATGTTGATTGTCCAGGAGGAAAAACCGAGGCAGACACCAGAGCTGGGGCTCATTCCCACAGTTGAGGGCGCATCACCCTAGTCTTTAGGCAGAGAGTGCTTCCCATCATGGCCTGGGCCCCAGCTCCCCTCACATGCTCGGTGCTGCTGGGGAGGCTTGGGAAGGGGCGTGGAGGCATACCGTCTGATTTGGGGAGCTTGTGTCCTGTTGAGAGAGAGGACATGCACACACCCGCCTGCACAGCAAGAACTTCCAAACCTGGCTGCTTAACGTACTCCAGGGATATTTCAAGTGAGAAGTGCAGGAATATGGAAGCAGGGACTCAAGCAGGAACCATGGATGTTGGGGCGTCCATGAAGGGGTAGCCCTGACTAAAGGAAGATTTAAGGAAAAGCACCACTCTTTGTATCCAAAATAAGGCCAGTGCCTGTTGTTTCTTATGTTATTACTGGAGAAAAGGTCAGGGCTGGGCTCTCGGGCTCCCCACGTGTGAGGTTCTTGGGACTGAAGCCTTTGCCTCCAACAGTCTCTTGGGGTCAGAGGCTGTTTTGTTCTTGTTTCCTCAGTTAAGCTGCAGTGGTAACAGGCCGACACACAGGAAATCATAAGTCAGGAGGGCCACTGCCACGCAGGAAAGACCCATCTGAACTGCTGCAAAAGGCGAGTTGGAAATCATTTACTTAATCGTGACTTAAATGGCCAGACAGGAAGGCTCGTTTATCCAAGGAAAGATGAAGGCTTATGGGTTCTGTGTGTGTGTGTGTGTGTTGCTAAAATAGAAGTTTCAGCAATCAAAACATACACAATAAATATTTTATTTGTTTGATTCATTTAGATGTTTCTGGGGCTAGTTTTGAACATTAGGAAATGGAATCATTGGATCATTTGAATTTACCAAAAATGTGGATATTTCTAAAGTAGCAGAAATAAAGGACTTCAGTATTGGAAGGGGCCTCAGTTGCTCCCTCTCTATAGATGGGGAAGGGCATCAAGACAGATGGCGTGACTTGCCCAGAACCACTCAGCCAGGCACAGAGGGAAGCTGGGTCTGACTCACCACCACCCACAGCTGGTCTCTGCATTTTGTAATGCTTTGCTACTGACAAAGTCTTTTGTGTGCCTTATCTCTTTTGATCCATGCATGTTACAGCTGTGGATAACTAGTCCTTGATTCCTCCTCAAAACACCACAAGCATCCTATTGTGTTTAGATGAGCCTGGTCTTTCCCTTCACCCATGTCCAACATGTGAATGTACTGCACCATGCACATTAAAGGCCTCCCTGGACCATTACTAGTGAAGTGAGGCAGACAATAGCAGCTACTGTGGATCACACATCTTCTGTGTGACAAGGACACTGTCAGCCATTTCATATTTATTATTTTATTTTCTCCTTACGACATCACTAAGTACTGGTGATTATTATCCTTCTCTCTTTGCAGGGATATAAACCAGGCTTAGAGGAATTAAGTAACTTGCCCAGGTTCCTGTAAACAGGAAGGACAGCAAGTCCTCACTAAATGTCACTGATAGGTTCTTGGACACTGACTTTAAGTGAAACAACATGCAGCAGGTCCTCGAATAATGTCATTTTGTTCAATGTTATTCGTTTTCTTATATGTCATTTTGTTTAAAATTGTGGTTCCCAAGAACCTATTGACGACATTAATAGGCTCTTAGACGCCAGTGCTATTTCTAAGTCAGAAGTACAAAAATGTGAAGTAGAGACTTGATAAGGGACTGTGGGTGTTGGGGCATCATCCATGTATTTAATCCAATATATTCAAAATGTTACTTACACAGTCAATATAAAAATTGTTAATGAGATATTTTACATTTTTTATTATGTGCCATGTCTTTGAAATTTGGTATGTGTTTTACACTTTACACTGCAATTCTGACAAGCCAATTTCAAGTGTTCAACAGCCACATGTGGCAAGTGGTCACCATATAGGGCAGTGCCACTCTATAACAAAAGAAAGGGGAAAATATTTCTGGAAGGATGGTTGTTGGGAGTTGATGCCATAGTCAGCTCTTAAGGAGCTGAGCTTTCAATATTCCTGGCATGGGATATTGAAATATCAGCAAGAAATTAAATGACATAGTAGTCATTATGCCTAAATTATTGTTATTTTTTGATTGAAAAAAGTTGAATATTTCAAATATCAAGGTAGTAGTGAGATATAATAAAGAGAGAGTCAGTTCTAAGTATAGAATTGCTGATTCAGTTAAGCTCTGTTCTCCAACATTTGGGCCACATTGAAGAGACCATGTAGCTGCTTTCAGCCTCGGTTTCCTCCTTTGCAAAATGGGGATTACACTACCTGCCTCACAGAGATGTAAACTTATGACATGTTATCATGATTGCCAGGGCCCACCTGTTTTCTTTTAAACATTGAAATCACTGTGCCTGAAACAGGGATTTCCCTGCCCTTTGTGCAAGCTCCAGAAACAGGAGTCAGCCTGAGTCCCGCAGCTAAGAACGTGGATTCTGGTCATTTTCTCATAGCGAACACACTTCACAGGTCCTTCAAGGGAGTACATTTTCCTATAACTCACCTTAATCTCAGTTGAAGCCTCGTTTCTTATTTTGCACTGTGGCCAAAAACTAAATCTCATTTCTTTCACGTAAACTTCAGCAATTCAATAATAGTACAGTCATTTTATGTTTCAACTGAACCAAGTCAGGGTTCCACTCCTGCCTCCCCTTTCTGCTCTGAGGACATCCATGAAGTGGAGGGGGTCTATGTAGCCTGGAGCTATTGGTGAGGGGCGATGGGTCCGTGGTGGTCTTGGGGAACTGCGGGGCTGTGTCTGGCTGGTCTGGTGTCTGGTGATTGGCCTTGTTCCACGCGGTTCACGCTGCAGGACAGTTCGTGTCCTTCTTGTCCTAATGATCAGCTTTTAGGCTCACGGGCCTGTCTCTGCTGAGATATGGAATAGGACAGCCTCTGGATCTTCTTTAAACTCTCCTGGGGCCACAGGGGACTCTGTTTGTGTCTGTGCCCACATAGGATGATTCTGCCCAGACCTTTGCTGCCATTTCTTGCTGTTCTGCTGTTTTTAGTCTCTGGAGGGCTTGCAGTTTCCTTGGGGTCCCTGTGGAAGCAAAGCAAAGTCCTCTCCACGCTCAGATGTCTAAACGTATCTGGGTTTTATCGTCCACCCATCCCAGAGCTCAGTCTAGAGGAGGGGGCAGCCTTCGGGTTCTCTCCTTCCTCCCAGAGCCTCTTCCTTTGCACCAGGGCAGCCTCTTCCTATCTGTTGGAAAGGGCTGTCTGGTTCTTGAATATAGAGTTGCAGGTTTGAGGGGTGTAGGCTGAGGTAAGGCAAACTATCACATGGAATAAAAATTACCCTGTGTCAAGGAACAACCAGAGCTGGACAGTTTTTAAATGTGAAAACCAATTTTATTCAGGACTATGGCGAGAGGTGAAGTAAGACCTCAGTATAGAACTGGGCTCAATTCCAAATGCAGCATGGGCAAATGGGAATGTATAGCCTAGGAGCAGGGTGGGAACCTGTGGATGAAGAATTACTAAAAGGGCATATCAGGGGTGAGGGGGCGTCCTGGCTACACCCACTAACTACTGTTGCTGAAGAAAGGCCTGGTGACATCACTGGGGAATGGTGGGGGATGAAGAATCCAATCAGATGGATATTGAGGATAAGGGGATCTTGATAAACTGGCTTAGGAGGGTTTTTGCTAAAACTGGTTTTCATAGGTAAGTCCACAGATAGGTCTTGGAGAAAGTTCAGGGACCTACGGTTTGTTCGGGCAGATGCTTTGTCATCTGTCACACTGGCACTGTCACCTGGCTTTCCTTTAGTCCCTCCCCCCCTTTTTTTTTTCTGGAGTAGTTTTGGGAGACCAGAGGAGCAGGGAGTTAGGGAGAGTAGTCAGAAAAGGCCAGAGAAAATAAGGAGGTGTCTGTAGGGAAAATCCTTAAATCCTCTAATTAAATTAATTTAATTTATTTATCTGGGACAAGGTCTCACTCTGTTGCCCAGGCTGAAGTGCAGTGGTGTGATCTCGGCTCACTGCAGCCTCGACCTCAGGGCTCAAGCAGTCTTGCCACCTCAGCCTCCTGAGTAGCTGGGGCTCACAGGTGTGCACTACCATGCCCGGCTAATTTTTGGGTTTTTTTTTTTTTTTTTTTTTTTTTTTGTAGAGATGAGGTTTCGCCATGTTGCCCAGGCTTGGTCTCGAACTCCTAAGTGATCCATCCACGTCGACCTCCCAAAGTGCTGAGATTACAGGCATGAGCCACTGTGCCCGGCCTAAATTCTCCAATTTTTAAATGCTTCCCTGTTCCCTGTTCCAGATTTGGGATATTGACTGCTGTTAAATCAGCGATTTCTCCCTGTGGAGAGGTAGCCAATAGGAAGCAACAAGAGTGAGGAGTCCTTATATCGAAATAGAGGGTAAGAGAAGAGACAGATGTTATCTTGGCAGTGATTTAAGAACAGCGAGTCTGTAAGCAAAGCAAAGCAAGGCTCCCAGGTGCTGAGAAACAATGGCTTTCTGGGGAAGCGTCTGTGTTCAGAACCTTAAGTTGGAAACATCTCTGAAGATGTTTGCCATGAAGGTTTTCTTCTGAAGTTGAGTCTTTCATCACTAGGTAGGCGTGTTTTGGAGGCTCTATCAAACAGATCCTGTGTTTATTAGGAAGCTGTGGTTCATAAAGCCCCATGCTAATTTTGCAGGTAGCAGGGTGGCCCTGGCCTGACCCGGGGACAGAGTGGCTGTCCTCCCTCCAGGCAGGAAACTCTCTCCTGCCACCTAGTGGCTGCATACCCACATTTCAAGGGAGCTTCTGGGTGGTGAGTTTACCAGACTATGGTCTGAGGTAGAGTTAAGCAAAACAAAACTAAACTGCATAAAGAAACAGAAAGAAAATCAGGTGTTATAAAAACAATTTGGCATTTGTTTGTGTTTCAGCTCCGTGTCGATTTATTGCTTCCACAAATAGTGCCGATATGCACCAGGCACTGTTGTAAAACTGAAAATATGTTTTTGGATGTGCCCAGTCTGTGAGTATTAAACGATGGTTGATTTGAAATTTGCTATGATTCATATTTCTGGGGGTAAGATGCAGGATTTCTTTGGGGGGCCTAGGATGTGGCATTCCAGAATTCTCAAAGAATCAACCCTGGTGGGACCAGGAAGAGCTGAGCTGAGGCCTCTCTGCTCATGTGTACTTACTGGAGATCATGGAGACAGGTGAGCCTGAGTGCACGTCTCACCAAAGCCACAGCAGAGGGGGAGGAGGCGGAAAGAGAGCTCTCTCCATTTCTGAGAAGTTAATGGTAACAATGGCATACATACCTACTTTACAGTTGAAATTGGAAACCACAGCATTAAGTGTTTCCAATGAAATTTGGCAATTTGGGAGTTTTCTGAGCTGCATTGGATGTGGTTTTGCATGCTGTTAGGATGAGCAAGAGATGATGGAGAACATCTTCCTTTTGAGCTTCCTCTTGGACGTGGGTCACTCCCACTCATGGAATTAGAAAGCTTAGACCTAGACTTGAATCTCACCTTCTCAAGGTGCTCCCGGGCAAATCACTTAAGATCCATCTTCTTCTCCTCCTGCTCCTTCTCCTCCTTCTGAGTTTTTTTTTTTCTTTCCAAAATTCAAATGACACGGTACTGGTAGAAGAAAAGGTCCAAGTCTGCTTTTACAGCTCCCCTCATCCCCAAATGTACTCCGACCCCAAGATGACCATGTTATTATTTGATTGGCATCCTTCTAGTTTCAACTCATTTCTTTGCATGTATATGCACGTACATATACACTATTTTATTTTGCCAGGGGTCACGGTTAGCTGCATTAATTTCTTTTAAAATAATCTTTATTTAGTTATAGTTTACATTTAACAACATACTCATTTAAGTGTATAGCTTGATAAGTCTTCACTGTAAACCAAAAATAAAATTCTAAGCCCCCCCAACCATCTGAATGGACCCCTCTTCTTGGCCAAGAGCATTCCAAAGTTAACCTGAAAAAACTAGTTCAGGTCATGATGGAAGGGAAGGTTGGACATGCCCCAGTATACCCTTCTCCCTTTTGGAATTCAGGAAAAGCTGACCAGCATTAACATCAACACAGACCTTATGTCTGATAGGAAACTTTGACAATCTATTCCCTCTGAAGCTTGCTACCCGGAGGCTTCATCTACAAGATAAAACCTTGGTCTCCACAACCGCTTATCATAACCCAGACATTCCTTTCTGTTGAGAATAATCTACCTTGTAACCTGGAAGCTCCCTGCTTCAAGTTCCCTCACCTTTCCAGATTGAACCAATGTAAACCTTACATGCATTGATTGATGTATTATGTCTCCCTAAGATGAATAAAAGCAAGCTGTATGTTGACTGCCTTCAGCACAGGTTGTCAGGACCTCCTGAGGCTGGGTCACGGATGCATCCTTAACCTTGGCAAAATAAACTGTCTAGATTGACTGAGACCTATCTCAGATACTGTTGGGTTCAAATATATAACTTATGAAACTAATACACAAATCAAGTCATAGAATATTTCCATCACTCCTCATCTACCCCCAAATTTCCTTATGCGTCTTTGCAGTCAACCTCCCACCCCATCCCCAGGCAACTGCAGATCTACTTTTTGTCTCTGCACCTTCAACTGACCCTTTCTGTGATTTCATATGAATGGAATCATGCGCTGAGCAGTCTTTTGTGTCTGGCTTCTTTTGCTCAGCATAATGTTTTTGAGGTTTGTCCATGTTTTTGTGTTTGTCAATGGTTAATTTCTCTCCATTGCAGAGTAGTTTTCTATTGTACATGTGTACCACAATTTGTATATCCATTCCATTGCTGATGGACATTTGATTTGTTTCCAGATTTTGGCAATTATGAATAGAGCTACCATGAACACCCAGGTACAAGTCTTTGTGTGGACTTATGTTTTCATTTCTCTTGGAATGGAACTGTCATATCAATAAGTATATGTTTAACTTTGTAAGAAACTGACAACAAATTATCTGCGATGGTTATGCCATTTTGTTTTTCTACCAGCAATACACGAGCATTTCAGTTGCTCCACAACTTTGCCAAAACTTGTTTTCTTTAATTTGGACATTTAAGTGGTGTACAGAGGCATCTCATTGTGGTTCTAGTTTTCTTTGCCCTGATGACCAATGGTGTTGAACATCTTTTCATGTGCTTTTTGACCATTTACATATCCTCTTTTGTGAAGTATCTGTTCAAATATTTTTGCCCATTTAAAACATTTGGGGGTTTGTCTTATTATTGTGTTGGGAGAGTTCCATATTTATTTATTTATTGAGATGGAGTCTCACTCTGTTGCCCAGGCTAGAGTGCAGTGGCGTGATCTTGGCTCACTGCAACCTCCACTTCCTGGGTTCAAGCAATTCTCCTGCCTTAGCCTCCTGAGTAGCTGGGATTACAGGCATGTGCCACCACACTGGCTAAGTTTTTGTATTTTTAGTAGAGATGGGGTTTCATCATGTTGGCCAGACTGGTCGCAAATTCCTGACCTCAAGCAATCCACCTGCCTCGGCCCTACAAAGTGCTGGGATTACAAGCATGAGCCACTGTGCCTGGCCCATATTTATTTTTTATTCTTTATTTTGTATACAAGTTCTTGGTCAGATACAATAATACCTGGTCAGATGAGATAATGAGTTGGAAAATGCTTTGCAAATGGGGGAGAATAATTTAAATGTTATTTATTTATTAAGAGCAGAGGCCCTTCCTGTTGCGGTCACAGAAGCCGTTTGCTTCTTCTGCCTTTTATAAACCAGCAGAGTTGAGCTACACAGGCTGTCTGTGTTGGCTGCTATTAGTTAATCAGAGAGTTTTTTTTTTCTTGCCTTGTCATTCTAATTTGTGACACATAATTAGCCACAATATGTGTTTTCAGTTGTGACACTGGCCTGGGAAACCAAGGGATGTTTAGAGTGGATTTCCTTGATTTTGCAATAATTGTGTGTTTTTCTGCATCTTCTGTTAAACACAAATTCATGGAAGCAAAACATGGAAGCAAAGTACCCTGGACATCCCCCCTTCTTTATGAAATTGATTTCTCTTAAATGTAATGTTTGCTTGTTCCCTTACTTTAAAAGCAATTTAAGAGTTTATTGAGAAAGTGAGCCCTGGAAACATAGATGCATAGAGAGAAAATTCTACCACCCTCAGGTCCCTATTGTCTTCTCTCATAAAGTGTAGTTTCAGGGCCTTTTAGAAGTTTCTTTTCTGCTCTGATTTGCATGTTTGTGAGTGTTGCTATTTTAAGTATTTGGATTTGGTCTGCAAATCCTATGAGAGATGGCAACAGAGTAGGGATCTCAAAGCCTGCAGGTTGTATTAAGTCCAGCAGGGCCTTGTATTTACAACAGAGGGTCCTTGAAGACATTCCATATATTATGCTAGGGGAGTGGCCAAGCAAACTTTAATGTGTCCCTATGGTGGGATATTTGGGGTTAATACCTGCCCTTCTCTTAATTTCTTTTTCTTTTCTTTTTTTCTTTTTCTTTCTTTTTTTTTTTGAAATGTAGTCTTGCTTTGTCACCCAGGCTGGATTGGAGTGCAGTGGTATGATCTCAGCTCACTGCAACCTCCACCTCCTGGGTTCAAGCAATTCTCCTGCCTCAGCCTCCCAAGTAGCTGGGACTATAGGCACACACCACCATGCCTGGCTAGTTTTTTTTTTTTTTTTTTTTTTTTTTTTTTGAGACGGAGTCTCGCTCTGTCGCCCAGGCGGGACTGCGGACTGCAGTGGCGCAATCTCGGCTCACTGCAAGCTCCGCTTCCCGGGTTCACGCCATTCTCCTGCCTCAGCCTCCCGAGTAGCTGGGACTACAGGCGCCCGCCACCGCGCCCGGCTAATTTTTTTTGTATTTTTAGTAGAGACGGGGTTTCACCTTGTTAGCCAGGATGGTCTCGATCTCCTGACCTCATGATCCACCCGCCTCGGCCTCCCAAAGTGCTGGGATTACAGACGTGAGCCACCGCGCCCGGCCTAGTTTTTTGTATTTTAGTAGAAACAGGGTTTCACCGTGTTGCCCAGGCTGGTCTGAAACTCCTGAGCTCAGGCAATCCACCTGCCTTGGCCTCCCAAAGTGCTGGGATTATAGGCATGAGCTGCTGCATGCAGCTCTCTTAATTTCTTTATTTGATTTTTATTTTTCACTTCAACAGTCTGATAAAAAATGATAATCTAATGATCTTAGTCCATTTCGTGCTTCTAGAACAGAATACCTGAGACTGGGTAATTTATAATAAACAGAAATTTGTTTGGCTTACAGTTCTGGAGGCTGGAAAGTCCAAGATCAAGGAGCTGCATCTGGTGAGGGCCTTCTTGCTGTGTCATCCCATAGCAGAAGGTGGAAAGGCAGGAAAGCATGCACAAGAGGGCTGTGGGGAGGAGGCAGAGATCATCCTTTTATCAGGAATCTACTCTCATGATAACAGTATTAATTCATTTATGAGGGCAGAACCCTTATGACCTAATCACCTTTTAAAGGTCCCATCTCTCAACTCTGTTGCATTGGGGATCAAGTTTCCAACACATCACATTTTGGGGGACACATTTAAGCCATAACACAAGTGAACTTAATATGACAGCTAATTATTTCTAAGTAAGCACACCTAGCAAATTTTTGTTTGTTTTACATTTTTATGATTGCAGCCAGTGTTGGACTCTCTACTCTAATTCCACATTCCTCCCAGGTTTGTTCTAATTCCATTTCTGTCTTGTATTGTTTTCCGCCTACTCTTTTGTCTTGGAGCAGATGGCTTATTCCAGTTTATATGTAATAAAAGATCTTTACCAGCTGCCTTGATTCTACCTACTTAAAACCTCAGGAAGCCATCTGCTTCTCTCTGGGCCCTGCACCTGCCCCAGTGTTCAGGTGTTCCTCATTTTCCTTGGCTCACATCTTAGTCTCCTAACTGGTCTCACAGCCCTGCCCTTCTCTGCAAGGACCCATCTTCCACATTGTCATGAATGGCAACATTACAAAAGGAAAAACTCAAAGCAATGCTGCCATGCCTAAGGACCCTAACCTCAAGGGACTATGTGACATCTGTGTCCAGAATGCTCTGTGACAGCTCCTCAGCCCCATCTCCAGTCCAACCTGGCACTGAGGCCCAGTTAGATGGAACCACTGTGTGTGCTCAGAACAGGCTGGCTTCTCCCTTGCCCTTGGGTATTTTCTCTGCCTAACAAGCTCTCCTCGATCCCTCCCCTTTGCTGGCTTTCCCTAGATGTGAATGTCACAGTAACAAAGCCATGGTAAATGGGTTCCCCGTCATGTCTCCAGCACCCAGCTTAGCACCTGGTATGTACTAAATGAAGACCCTCTGGATGAAGGAACTGTAAGCCATTTGAGGTCCAGGTGGCTGTCCTGTAAATGATCTTAAGCACTTTCCCCTCCCACAGGTAGGGTCTAGAGATAGTTTTCTGTGGGTCTTTGCCCAGTTGTCAAGAGACCCAGAGGCCACAGAACCTCAGCACAATAGTGGTAACTGTGCCATTCAGCTTTCTGCGTCCTCAGACTCCAGCCTTCTTGCTGGATCTCTTGGATCTTGGAGTTTCTCTCTTCTTTCTCTTTCCTCCCACATGCAGGAAGCTCAGGCCTGCACACCCGACAGTTGGCAGTGGGAATTGTGTATTACCTGGTTCCTTTTACCTCACATGAAGCTGACTTTCCCAGCTAAGTCTTTACTCGGTGGGGGCAGGTTATCAGAGGTCCTGGTTATCGAAGTAATATTAAGGCCTTTGTAGAGAATTGGAAAGCATGGAAAAATGGAAGAAAATCATTACCAACTCCGCCTTTCAAAGGCAACCACTCTTCACACATTTCTAGCCTGTCGTCTGACTTCTGTCTGCTAGCCATTTTAACAGGAATCCCCAGATTACAACCATGTCTTTACATTTTAACATTTCTTAGGTAAAAATAGTCTTCACTTAGGTGATCCTCCTAAAGGGAATTATAAAATAATATTTTAAAAGGAAGATTGGAAGATGACAAAATAATCATTTTTATTCATATTGGAATTGGGCCTTGAGGCAATCTACTGTGTGGAGGTGAGATCACACCTAAGGGATTAAGAAAATGAGGAGGCTGATGCTTGGAAAGAGGCCAGCTGGTGGTAGGTTTTCCAAGTGAAACCAAGGGATGAGTCAGCAGACAAGCAGCCGGCAAGTGTCCTCCACACCTGGACGCCTGGGTGGAGGTGAGAGAGTGGAACACTTTGAGAGCTCCCTGGCTAGGAAGAAAAGAGAAAGCTTTTCCCAACAGCCAGTGGAGCAGGAAGGGTTGGCCTGCACAGTGCTATGATGAAATAGCAACCTGTAGAAACTTCTAGATTTCCCACAGTGACTTTCTGCACTGTCACTAGAGTGCAGTGCGGGACTCTTCTGGCCACACGGTCCACTTTGGGTCTCCCTAACCAAGCGTGTGGTCTCCCCACCCCTGGGATCTTAGATTGTGTCACCATCCTACCTGTATTCAATCTATCGGTCAATAGTTATTGAGCACCTACCACATGCTACCCACTGTATGTAGTGCAGGGTGCTCAGCAGAGGATTTGCAGGTTAAATCCTACTACATATCTCTTCTCCCCTCTTGGGTTCCCTACAGAGGAAGATGTACGTAGCTAACTCTATATAACAAAGGGCTAACTTTGTACATGACTGGACAAGCATCCAATAGCATCCCAGTACAGGGCTCCTCTGGTATCTGGGTTGGGTGGGGCCCACAGTAGGGCTCAAGGCTGGAGAAGAGTGTCACGCTACTGTCCTCCCATCCAATACTAGATGGTTGGGTGTGTGAAACAGACTCTGCGTTTACCTGCACAGCCAGCCATGTGGATGACGGTTGGAACTGGGAATGTGTGGTGGATGTTTGGGTCTCCTTCTAGAAGGCTCTGACCAGGCACCTTTATTACTCGGGGGCAGGAGAAAGAAAGAGGGCAAGAGGATGGCTGGGCCTTCTCTCACGAGGGAGAGGTTGGCCAGATCTGTCCTAAGAAGCACGTCCTTCCTCTGAGTGCTGCAATAAGGGAAAGGGAGCCTACTCCACTGGGGCTCAGGAAGTGAGCATGGACCTGGGCACAGCCACGGGCTATCAGCACACCACCAGCCTGCTCCCTGGCCCAAGGCACCCCAGCACATGTCAACACAGCAGATTAGCAACTTCTCCACCTCTGCAGGGTTGGAAAGCAGGCATGGAGGCATAGAGGAGGCATGGAGAGCACTGAGGGGCAGAAAGAGGATAGCCTTCCTTGGAGAAGAGACATTTAAGCTGGGCCCTGAAGGATGCGTTAAGGATGAGACCGCAGAAGGGCGGTGCTGAGGTCTCAGCGTAGGCCTGTCTGGTTGGAAGCTAGGTCTTAGCCATTTGGTGGAGGTTTAGGGACTGGGATTCAGCCTCTGGGGGAGGACACTAAGAGTAAGCATGTAGGTTAGGATTCTAGTCCAGCAAATCAGGACCATAGAACAGGAGTCACAGTGGGAGAGCTGTAGGTTCTTAGGAAACCACAACAGACATACTTACACAGACAAGGAAACACAGTTGGACTACCAGCACTTCATTCATCAAACATCATTGAGCATCTAATGTGTATCAGGTTATGTCACAGCCACTGGGGTGACAAGATAGACAAGGCTCCTGTTCACATGCAGCTTATGTTCTTGTGGTGGAGACAGGCAACAGACCAGTCACAAAAAATAAGTTAGGGAAATACTGGGATGGTAACTCGCTCTGTGAAGAAACTGTTACGTGATTGGGGGAGGGTGGCAGGTATGGAACCTGGAGAGGTGGGGCAGGGACAGTCTCTGAGGGGTGCTGATGAGAAGCAGCTAGGCATGAGAAGATCTGGGGAGGAGCCAGGCAGAGACCGTAGCATGTGCAAAGTCCCTGAGCTATCGGTGGAATCTAAGAAGGAACCTGGGGAAGCCCTTGAGTGTGGCAGGGTGAGTGCAAGACTGAGAGTGGAGGGCATGAGGTCAGAGGCGTAGATGGGGCCTTGTCAGGGTGAGGAATTTTAACTAAGATGGGGGCCATTGAATTGTTTAGGCTGGGGAATGACAAGATCTAATTGACACTGTAGAAGGGCCATTTTATTCTGGGCAGGGTTGAGGCAGGGACTCTGTTAGGTCCACAGGAGAAGAGATGGTGGCTTGGAGCTGGGTGGTAGCAGAGGGCAAGGAGGGAAGTGAACAGATTTGGAATATTCTTGGGGGTGGGGCCAACAGGACTGGTTAATGGCTCCCGAGAAGGAAGACTAGAAAGGAAACAGGTTTGGGCAGGAGAAAGGCAAAAGTTTGGCTTTGGCCATTTGAGGAAGAGATGCTAAGTGACAGTGTCAACTCGGCAGTTAGGTAAGTCTCAATTCCATGGGAGAGGTAAGGACTAAAGAGGCAAATGTAGAAGGCATTAGTTAATAGGCGGTTTGAAGCCATAGGACTGGATGAGATGTCCTGAGTATGCCAGTGCCTGGGCCTCAGCTGAGGGCAGTTAAGACCACTCCCAAATCCTACTGGCTGGTGGGGAGTGGAGAGGGCAGGGCAGTGTTCAGCTTACAGGCTGTCAGTCTTTCATAACCATGTGTGGGTGTAGCTGGCTCGGGCTGAGACTGGCACTGCCCCCATGTCTTCTGCATTCCTCCCTGCTTATCTCCACTCAACATGGTTCCTGGAAGGCCCCATTTTCTTCATACCCCACCAACTGGCCACACCAGTTGGGCTGCAAAGGCCAGAGCATAAGTCTAAATGGTCTTTGTTTACACATGGCCTCCTTGGTTACCATGTCTTGGTGTCTGCCCTCTGTCTTGGCTGGCTGATGGAGTAAAAACCCATATTTACATTACATGGCATCCTCTTCAGTTCCTTTAGGACCCTTCATCTCAAGAATTGCAAGAGATTTTAATAGTCATTCAATCTTCATTTTGAAGATGAAAAATTGAGGACCAGAGAAGAGAAGCGACTTGGCCAAGGTTTCAAAGAAAAGTCAGTAGGAATTGTGAATTCCTGGAGGCCAGGGGCCATTAGTGCTGTTCTTGATCAGTATATGGAGATGTGAGTTTCAACAGTAACAGGGACATTTTAAAATTAAAATGATTTAACCTTTAGAAAATGTCCTATTTTGTAATAATGATGGATTCACAGGAAGGTACAAAGAAATGTCCAGAGAGTTCCTGAGCCCCCTTCAGCCAGCTTCTTCCAATGTTAACATCTTGCATTATTATAGTACAACATCAAAACTGGGAAATCGATATTGGTACTGTCCAGATAGCTTACTCAGATTTTGCCAGTTATACTTCCACTCATTTGTGTGTGTGTGTGTGTGTGTGTGTGTGTGTGTGTGTGTGTGTGTGTAGCTCTATGCAATTTTATGTGTGTAGCTTCATGTAACCACCACAATCACAATACTTAACTATGCCCTCATCACAAGACTCTCTCTTGCTATGCTTTACAGCTGTATCCTCTTCATCTCCAAACCCTAAGCCCACCTCACCGCCTCCACCATCTCTAAACCCTGGCAACCACTATTCTGTTCTCCATCTCTGTAATTAATTGTGTTAATTAATGTTATACAAATGGAATCATGAAGTATGTGTCCTTTGAGATTGGCTTGTTAATTTTTCACTCAGCACAATTTCCTTGAGTTTAATCCAACTTGTGTGTAGCAGTAATTCTTTCCTTATTATTGCTGAGTAGTATTCCATGGTATGGATGTATCACAGTGTGTTTAATCCTTTGCCCATTGAAGGACATTTGGATAGTTTCCAGGTTTTGGCTATTATGAATAAAGTGACCATAAAACATTTGTGTACAGATTTTTGTGTGATCATAAATCTTCATTTCTCTGGGATATATGCCCTGTAATGAAATTGCTGGGTTGTGTGGTAGATTGATTTTTAGTTTTAAAAGGAACTGCCAAATAATTTTCCACAGTGGCTATGCCATTTTACATTTCTACCAGCAATGTATGAGTGTTTCTCCACATCTTCACTAACAGTTGGTGTCATCACTATTTTTTCATAAACCATTCTTATATGTGTGTAGCGATACATTATTGTGGTTTTAATATGCATTTTTCTAATGGCTAGTGATGCTGAGTATCTTTTCAAGTGTTTTATTTGCTAATCTATAAGGCCCCTTTCGTAAAATGTTCACTCATTTTCTAATTAGATATTTTTTTTAATGTTGAGTTTTGAGAGTTCTTTAGATATTTTAGATACAAGTCCATTGTCAAATATGTGATTTACAAATATTTTCTCTCAATCTGTAATTTAGTTTTCATCCTCTTAACAGGGTCTTTTGGAGAGCAAATAATTTGATTTTCATAAGGTTCAAATTATTAATTTTTTCTTGTATAGTTCACACTTCTAGTGTTAAGTCTAAAAACTGTGCCTTGTCATAGGTACCAAAGGTTTTCTCCAGTTTTTTTTCTAGAAGTTTAGAGTTTCATGTTTTACATTGGAGTCCATGATCCATTGTTAATTAATTTTTGTATATAGGTAGATGTTTAGGTTTAGGGTTTTTTAAAAAAAAATTACATATGTTTAATTGCTCCAGTTCCCTTTCATTGAAAAGGGTATCCTTCCTCCATTGAATTGCCTTTGTCAGAAATTAATTGGACATATTTGTGTGAGTCTATTTCTGGGCTCTTTATCATGTTACTTTTAAAAAATGCATCAGTTCCTCCACCAATACCTCATTGTCTTGATTATTGCAGTTATATAGTAAGCCTTAGCATTAGGAAAAGTGTTTTTCCTGCTTTATTCTTTTTCAAAAAATTTTTGGATATTCTAGGGCCTTTACATATAAATTTTAAAATAACTTTGTCTATGTCTAACCGAAAGCCTTATGAAGATTTTGATAAGAATTGCATTATGCCTATACATTAATTTAAAAAGAACTGATGTCTTTATTCAGTTGATTCTTCTAATCTATGAACATAGCATCTCTCTCAAAGCATTTAGTCCTTCTTTAATTTCTGTCATTAATTTTTTAAAATTTTCATCCTAAAGATTCTGTATATGTTTTGTTGAATTTATGCTTAAGCATTTCACTTTCTTGGTAACAATTATAAATGATTTTGTGTTTTTTATTCCACTAGTTCATTTTCAGTGTGTAGAAAAGCAATGAATTTTTGTGTGTTGATCTTTGTTCCTACATCTTGCAACATTATTGAACTCATTTATTAGTTCTAGGAGGTTTTTTCATTTTTCTTGTAGATACCTTGAGATTTTCTATATAGACAGTCATGTTGTCTGCAAACAGGCACAGTTTTATTTCTTCCTTTTCAATCTATATGCCTTTTTTTTTTTTTGCCTTATTGCAGTGGCTAGAACTTCTAGCACTATGTCAAATAGCATTGGTGAAAGCAGACATCCTTGTTCCTTGTCTTAGAGGAACATTTGGTCTTTAATCTTGATTTAAAAAATTCCTTGCACTAAGTTACCGTGTTTTGCGGGAGGGAGAGGTGGGGTGAGGTGGGGGATTCCCCCTTATGTTTACAAGCTGGGATTTTTTTTTTCCTGTGTCTAATTATTTTCCTCATTGGCTTGAAAAATCTGATAAAACATTTTAGGACTGTGTATAAAATAGAATTAGCCAAGTGCAATGTCTTTATTCAGAAGAAATTTCATGGACGTTGTGCCTACTCTCTTGGCTTCCTGGCTTCATGGCTTTCCAGATCCCACAGTAAGCTCTGGATAGTAGAAGTTATAGTAAGACTGACTTCTAAATAAATGAAGTGACTTTAACCTTACTGATATGGCTTAAAGAAAAGGAGTGGCCTTTAAGATCCATGAACTTCTCAAACAAAAGTGATAACGTTATCTCCATGCATATATAATACTAAATATAATGCAACTGAGAGAAGTAGGCTGTGGTAAGAAAGGAGACCCAAGTGCCATCTGAAGGCAGCACTTACCACTCTGCTTCATCCCACCGAGGAAACAAAGCATGAGTATTGCCAGATTTTCTTCTGTTTCAAGAAAAGCCAGAAATCCAGGTTTTTGCGTGAAATGTCCTGATTTTAATGTTGGGAACTAATTTATATTTTGAAATAACATTGTGTGGGACAAGTGAACTTGTATGTGGAACTGCTTTCTCCCAGTGGCGACCAGTTTGGACCGTTGATACTCAGCAAGTTCAGCCAAGTGCGCCTTGTCATTGTCAGTCATCAAGGTGATGTGTGATTGGTCAAGCAATTAGTTTTGCTCAGCATCTCGTGTGTTTTCAAAGGACCTGAGGGTTCATTTGCCCATGCAGATCTTGTAGTCCTGTTTATTCTATTAATTTATCTTGCAAATCTATAATGTTTTATTTTAAGCAGCGAGAGCCGTGGCAGCCTTTGGTCTGGACCCTTTCTAATGATCATTTAGTATCAGGCTATGTGGGAGTTGATTGTTTTGCATTGCCTGAAAGCCAACAGTATCACTCCTCCTCTAGGTGTGGCAGAGATGTGAGAGAGGGAGACTGACAGTCTGTGGGTGTGTATGCAGTGTTGGGGGAAGCGAGGCACAGGGGACAATACTGTGGTGTAGAAAACTAGTCTAAGGTAGCATCAGGAAGTTCATGAAGCCAAAATGATTTTCATAACAGCACAAGACATTATTTGTTTTTGCCTCCCTCTCATTTTTTTTTTTTTTTGAGACAGAGTCTTGCTCTGTCATCCATGCTCGTGTGCAGTGGTGCAATCTCGGCTCACTGCAACCTCCACCTCCAGGGTTCAAGCAATTCTCATGCCTCAGCCTCCTGAGTAGCTGATTACAGGTCTGCACCACCCCGCCGGCTAGTTTTTGTATTTTTAGTAGAGATGGGGTTTTGTAATGTTGGCCAGGCTGCCCTGTCATTTTTTTTTTACTAGTGTCCAGTGGAGTTTTTTAGGGGCTACATAACATGATACTGTCATTAATCTAATGGCTAATGAAAGGGATATGTATATGTTTTTGTGTTTAAAACAAACTTCTTTGGGGTCCTCAATAATTTTTAAGAGTATAAAGGGGTCCTGAGATCAAAGAGTTTGAGTTCTGCTGGACTGGGACAGTGGTTGTCAACCCAGATTGTACATTAGGGTCATCTGGGAAGCTTTAAAATAGTACTGATGCCCAACCTTACCGCAAACCAATTAAGCCAGAATCTCTGTGGATGAGAAGTCTTCATTGTCATCATCACCATGACCATCATCATTGTCACCGTCACTACACCATTATCATCATCATCATATCATCTTCATTATCATTGTTAGTATCTCCATCACCATCATCAGCATCACCATTATTATCATCATCATCATCCCCACCATCATCCTCATCGGAACTTCACCTGCATGGAGGACAATCCACTATGCATTAGGTGCTATGCTATTTGCTATACTCCTTATTCTCACAACTGCCCAGAGAGGCTGATATTATCTCACTTTATAACAGGAGGAATCTGGATCGGAAAAGTTAAGGTAAGCTAATTCACAGAGCGAGAAGAGATAGAGCCAGGATTCGAAACCAGTTCTCTGCTACATCAATGTTCCCAGTCCTTGCACTATTGAGAACCTCTTTAGTTATGCTTTCACCCCTCCAACACCACAGTAAATTTTTTCTTTTTTTAAAAAAATTATACTTTAAGTTATAGGGTATATGTGCATAATGTGCAGGTTTGTTACATATGTATACATGTGCCATGTTGGTGTGCTGCACTCATTAACTCGTCATTTACATTAGGTATATCTTCTAATGCTATCCCTCCCCGCTCTCCCCACCCCATGACAGGCCCTGGTGTGTGATGTTCCCCACCCTGTGTCCAAGTGTTCTCATTGTTCAGTTCCCACCTATGAGTGAGAACATGTGGTGTTTGGTTTTCTGTCCTTGTGATAGTTTGCTCAGAATGATGGTTTCCAGCTTCATCCACGTCCCTACAAAGGATATGAACTCATCCTTTTTTATGGCTGCATAGTATTCCATGGTGTATGTGTGCCACATTTTCTTAATCCAGTCTATCATTGCTGGACATTTGGGTTGGTTCCAAGTCTTTGCTATTGTGAATAGTGCCACAGTGAACATTCATGTGCATGTGTCTTTATAGCAGCATGATTTATAATCCTTTGGGTATATACCCAGTAATGGGATGGCTGGGTCAAATGGTATTTCTAGTTCTAGATCCTTGAGGAATTGCCACACTGTCTACCACAATGGTTGAATTAGTTTATAGCCCCACCAACAGTGTAAAAGCATTCCTATTTCTCCACATCCTCTCCAGCACCTGTTGTTTCGTGACTTTTTAGTGATTGCCATTCTAACTGGCACCACAGTAAATTTTTATAGATTTTATAAGCAAATTGTATTTACTGTGCAAGAATTGGTTTATTTTTTAAACCATGTGTTGCAAACATACAATGGTTAATTGTGATATTTGCTCAGTACAAGATCATCAGATCACTACACAGACTTGAGGTAATTCCACCTAAAAGCAAAGAGAACTGACCCCACATTAACTGAGAAGTCTTTACTTATTTATTCCCTATAAACGAGCCAATATGAAGAGAAGGCCTTAATGTGGTTAACTATGTAATTTTTTTCTGACTTTTTGAAATACTGAGAAGAGCTCATGACTCTCCCATCTCCTAATTCTACCTTGGTGGATTTTAGACTGACCACAACTCATGGGTAAATGAGGGAAGACGAATAAGAAACCTTGCTTTTTTTTCCTCCTTGTTTTTGGCTGGCTGCAGTGGCTCACACCTGTAATCTCATCACTTTGGGAGGCCAAGGTGGGAAGATCACTTGAGCTCAGGATTTCAAAACTGGCCTGGGCAACATAGTGAGACCCCATCTCTAAAAAAAAAAAAAAAAAAAAAAAAAGGCGACAGGCGGTGCGTGCCTGTAATCCTACCTACTCAAGAAGCCGAGGTGGAAAGATCACTTGAGCATGGGAGGTCAAAGCTGCAGTGAACCTTGATTGCACCACTTCATTCCAGCCTGGGTGACAAAGCAGGACGCTGCCTCAAGAAAACAAAAACAAAACCTTAATTTTTTGGCTATTCTTTTCTGGTAAGAATGGTATAGAGATGGGGATGAGGATGGCTATTGTATGAGAGAGCAAACAGGGTCCAAGCAGTGCTCTGGGCTGTCTAAGGACCAGTAGTCAGCTTAACTTCTCAAATTTCCAGGGAAGGAGTTTGGAGTGGTAGAATATCCTGGGTATGCCCAAAGCATCACCTTGCAAATAGCCTGTCATGAATAATTTGTTTCATTTGTTATGACTGGAAACTGGCTTTGTGTATGCCAGAGAATGGGGGCAGGAAAGAGAGATTGGTGTCTTGAGCTCTCTGTGCCTCTGGGGCAGTGATGCTTTTCCTCTCATGTGGAAGGAGAGCATGACTGAAAAGGTGCACAAATAAGGTGTCTGTGAGAGAAATTAACCTTCCAGATACAGAGACACAACCTTCCCCAAGAGGTCCTCATTGCTCTGCCTTTTTTCCTTTTTTTTGCTTGTTCTACCATTAATAACAGAAACTGATTATGACCTCAAAAGAGAGGAGAAAGCGACTCTCCCCACCCTAGAGCTAGTTAACCACCATATCTTCCTAGATCTCAGTTCAAGAGTCACTTCCATCCCCAATAAAAGCCCTTGAGTGCTGAGCACCTCTCCGTCATAGCATTTGTCCTAGGGGTTTTTGTACATTTTCTTGTGTGAAACTTGGGTTGACATCTGTATTTCCGACTAGATTACAGTTTCCTCAAGGGTAGGGATGTCTTGCTTGCCATTTTCAGTTCCAGCATCTAGACAGTACCTCAAGCAAACAAGGCCGAGGGGGGTGCGGATCACGAGGTCAGGAGTTCGAGACCAGCCTGATGAACATGGTGAAACCCCGTCTCTACTAAAAATATAAAAATTAGCCAGGCGTGGTGGCAGGTGCCTGTAATTCCAGCTACTCAGGAGTCTGAGGTAGGAGAATCGCTTGAACCCGGGAGGTGGAGGTTGCAGTGACCTGAGATCCACTGCACTCCAGCTTGGGTGACAGAGCAAGACTTCGTCTCAAAAAAAAAAAAAAAAAAAGAAAGAAAAAAGAAAATAAAATGAATGAATGAGTGAGATGAATGAGTTAGCAGTGTTGGATTTAAGTGTCAGATTCTTCCCAGCTTGACTTTTTTCTTTGGCTTAGTGATTTTGAGGTCCCAAGATTTATTTTCCTTTCACAAAGGTGATCACTACCATAAGATCTTCAGAAAAGGAAATGTGGCAGGCCAGGTCTCACTAATGCAGATCTCTATAACAACTGTTTCAGTACTGACTAAATGGTTAAGTTAAATATTAAAAACCAGTGTTCTTATACAAAGGCTGGAATGTAACAAAAGCCCATCAAGAGTTTTGCCCAGGCCTTTTCTGGGCCTTAAAATATGACAAAATAAAGAAGGAATTCTTAACAGGACCCATTTAGGATTAAACAAGTTTTATTGTGGGTCTGAAGAAACTCCCCAGGCCTCCACAAACAAGTTTATTGGTGCTCTAAAGGAACTCCCCAAACCTCCATGATTTAGCAGGGGACAAGATAAGGGTAATTACCCCAGCACCTGGACCCATTTAGATTAAGTAAATTTACTGAGGCTCCAGGGGAAGATCTTCCGGACTCAGACCTTAGTTACAGATTAAAAGAAGTTAATCACTTACGTCTTCAGGTGAATGCACACTTACACGTAGACATATAGCTTAGAAGGTATATAAGCTCTGGAAAATGTCATAATTTTGAGTTGGCCTGGTGATGATTTCCAGGCCTTCTCCCTGTAACTGGTTGCAGAAATAAAAACTCTCTTCCTCCCCAGCTCATCTGCATCTTGTTATTGGGCCATGAGAAATAGCAGCCCAACCCTCAGTTTGGTCCTGGAACAGAAACTCTGGATGAACACTATCAATAGAGCTCTTTGCCATGATGGAAATGTTCTATATGTTTGCTGTACAGTAGTCATTAGTCACATGTGGCTGCTGAGCACTTGAAATGTGGCTAGTGAGATGAAGGAACTGAGTTTTTAATATTACTCAATTTTACTTAGTTTAAACTTCAATAGCTACACATGGCTAGTGGCTACTGTATTGAATAGTGCAGTTCTAAACTATGTACTTCAAGTAGAAGGAAAATGATCCCAGAGGGGAGTCATAAATAGAAGAAGAAACGAAGAGCAAAGAAAATTCTAAATATATGCAAAAATGTAAATGAACACTCATGCTATAAAATAATGCTATTTTAGAAAGTTTTAAAAGTATACGGTATTAACATATATGACATTAAAAGCATGTAAGTTGGGAGAGGATTGAGGTAAGTGAAGGTGTTCTGTGGGCCTTAAATTAGATGGGAGGAAAATAAAGCTACTCATTAACATTAGTTTTTTAAATAAATTAAGGATCCATGGATTACAGAGTAATTTTAGGTAAGTGCTAAAAAATAGAAAATAAATGCATAAGTTTCAAACTAGTAGGAAGAAAAATGAAATGATAGAAAATATTCAAACTAAAAGAAAGCAAGGGGGAGAAGAAACAGAATGAGAATAATGAATAGAAAACACTATAACTGTCGTAGATTTTCAGTCCAAATGCTCTATTTCATTGATTTAAGGGAAAACATTTATTCCTATTTTTACATCTCTGAAATGGCGAGGCATATGCCAAGCTGTGTGTATTACAAGCTCTGTCAGCCAGCTTGTGTCAACTTGGCTGGAACTCTTCATTTGGTCATCAGTTGAGTTTTGTGTGTCATTGTCATTACATGTTTTGAGTTTAATTGCTGTTTAGAATGTCTTCAAAAAGATGCCCTCTGACTTGTCATAGAAACAGAGCAGCAGAATGAAAATTTAGTATTAGTGAAGCAATTCCAATCTTTTTTGCAAACACCAAGAGCTATAAAAAAGAAGCTACTCATGACTTGAAGAAGCTGTGTACTTTTTCTTTGCTTCTGGGAATGTAAAACCAGAGAAATTGCCATATCTCTGAGAATTGAGGAAAGAAATTTTGAGGTGCAGAGAAACTGATGTGATTGATTTATGCACATCACAGAGATATTGTTAAGGTGTGTGTCTCAGGAACTAATTGGTGGTGTTTTTTTTTTTAATTCATACATAAAATATGGCTGTGTTTTACAGTCCATGGTGTATTAGATGTTTGATGTAAATGATTTACATTATAAAGCTGAATAAGGAAAGCAAACAGAACCCATGCTGTTTTTGAGATACAGCTAAAATCAGCTGGGCATGGTGGCTCGCGCCTGTAATACCAACACTTTGGGAGGCCGAGGTGGGTGGATGACCTGAGGTCAGGAGTTCGAGACCAGCCTGGCCAACATGGCGAAACCTCATCTCTTCTAAAAATACAACAAATTAGCTGGGCTTGGTGGTGGGCTCCTGTAATCCCAGCTACTTGGGAGGCTGAGGCAGGAGAATTGCTTGAACCCAGGAGGTGGAGGTTGCAGTGAGCTAAGATCGCGCCATTGCACTACTCCAGCCTGGGCGAGAGAGTGAGACTCTCTCTCAAAAAAAAAAGAAAAAAGAAATATATCTAAAATGTAAGAATGGAGAAGGCTGAAAGAAAAAGGATGGAAAGAGATATACCACACAAAAACTAATTAAAAGAAAGCAGCTGTATCTGACAAAGTGGACTTTAAGGCAATAAGCATTGGTAGACATAAAGAGTGTGTCTCCTTAAAGATAAAAGCTTCAGTTCACCAGGGAGATATAACGATTCTAAATTGGAATTGGCTCTGGAATTAGTCAGATTTGGGTGCAAATTTTTTTTTTTTTTTTTTTTTTTGAGACGAAGTCTTGCGCTCTGTCCCCCAGGCTGGAGTGCAGTGGCGCGATCTCGGCTCACTGAAAGCTCCGCCTTCCGGGTTCACGCCATTCTCCCGCCTCAGCCTCCTGAGTAGCTGGGACTACAGGTGCCTGCCACCATGCCCGGTTAATTTTTTTTTGTATTTTTAGTAGAGACGGGGTTTCACTGTGTTAGCCAGGGTGGTCTCGATCTCCTGACCTCGTGATCCGCCTGCCTCGGCCTCCCAAAGTGCTGGGATTACAGGCGTGAGCCACTGCTCCCGGCCTTGGGTGCAAATTTGAGCTTTCTCACTTATTAGTGTAAGACATACAGCTAATTTCTAAATCTTCCAAACCTCAGATTTTTCATCCATGAAGTGAGGATTATTATAGAGCTCACTAATAACATGGCTTCAAAAATATATAATGCCAAAATTGAGATCAAAATAATAAATCTATATTACATGGGAGATCTTAATGTACCTCTTATATTATTGATAGACTAAGATGATCAAAAAAATAGAAAGAGAGCAGTAAGGAGAGCAAGCATTTAATCAATAGGACCAATACATTTTAATCAATAGGATCCTCAGGAATATATACAGAATACCAAACCTAACAACTGCAGAAAACATGCCAAACATTTAGGTACAGACATTGTTGGAAAATGCAATCTTGAAACGAGTGGACTGACATTCAGAAGATATTAATAAGAGCACTAATGATGGGGATTGCAACCATGTCTTTACTGACTTCCAGAAGCTTCTTACAGTAAACATGAAATCACATAATTTCTTCCACTTTCCTACTGTTTCTTGTTCTGGGCTCTGTCCTGCTTACTGTCTAATATCTTGGCCCCTTAAAAGTTGCTAATCTTCCAAACCTCATTCCTGTGACTGGGCCGCTGGTCCTTGTTCATGGGCCTTGAAGATACTGACTGTACACTTATCTGGAGCATCCAGTGCCTACCACCTGACCCAGATTCCTCATTGCGCTCCTCCCTCCTCCACCTAATGGGATTTGCTCATACCCGTGTGGGACCCCTCCCATTTTCCCCAACTGAATACTTATCAAGACAACGCATTGCCATACTCCCTCGTACCCTGCTCTGGGCATCAGACTGAATGTTTGTTTCCATTGAGGATCTGCAGCTGCATCAGTTTCCCCAGCACCGTCCAACCCCTTGAGCATGGCTAGTCCTAAAGCAGAGAATTAGCCTTTCTATCCCTGCTGCTATACATGCTGGGACAAATAATAAGAAATGACAGCATTTTATGATAATGCAGGCTGCAGGAGGCAGGAGGCAGGAATCAAATTCGTGCTTATCAAATAGTGCTCCAATTCTTTGAATATTGGACTATAGAATATGTCATGGATCTATGCTCAGGTGGGTTCCCTATTACTCACTCCACTGAGGCCAGGTTGTGGGATTAGCTGTCCAAGAGGGAGTTTCAGTCTCACAGCATAGGGTCATTCTGAGAATTACTGGCCCACACTTGTGTGGAGACCTCCAGAGAACAGAATCTGGGTTGGTGCCATGTACTTCCAGGAGGAGAGAAGTGGCAGGATGCCCAGCCCCACAATCAGAGGGGAAGGGGCAGAGCCACATGTATGAAGATCCTCTCCCCAGTACGTGCCAATCACAGGGCTTCCTAGCTTTTGGGCCAAGGAAACAATGTGGGAAGCAAAAAAGGACAATTTTCTCCTCCCTTTGCATGAAGACTGAGCAGTTTTACCAGATTCCCAGGGAAACACCCTTCCACTCTGGGTTGAATGTGAGTGAGAGACATTCAGCTGGAACACTAGAAAAACTATTTCCTGAGCCACTCACCTTTAGCCCTAGAAAGTGTTGGATTTGTCCTTCATCTTTGCCACAGTAGAGACTGCTGATAGCATCAGAACTTGGGCTCTGGAATTAGACAGATATGGGTACAAATCTGAGCTCTCTCACTTATTAGTGTGGGATGTAGAGCAACTTTTAAAATCCTTCCAAACCTCAGACTTCTCATGCATGATGTGAGGATTGTAATAGGGCCCACCTAATAGGGGTTTTTGAGAATTAAAAAAGTTATTCAATGAACAGCATTTAGCAAGATGCCTGACCATTGAGAAAATAACAAATTGTTTATTATTATTGTTATTATTAAACATCTTTCCTGCACCTTCTGACTGGGGGCATCATATCATCAGAAATACTTAGGATGGGATGGATTCCTGCATGGGCTGAGTCAAGGGTGCAATAATGGAGGAGTGAAGAAGGAAGAAATGGAGGCAGAAATCCCCAGGAGCCCAGCATGGTACAAGGCTGAGCTAGTGCTGCAGAGCCTCCTTGGAACAGCCACAGAGCTTGCATCTGGCCCTGGAGGAACCTCTTCTAGCTGGCAGGACCAGCCACAACAGTGGCCAGGGGATTTCCCAGGGCGTGGGCTCCTAGGAGTTCATTTGGACCAAGCCTGCCTGGAGAGGGGTTATAACAGGGATCCTTCCCTACTGGCAGGTGATTTACCCCTCGGTGAGAAGCTCAGGCATTTGTTTGATGGAAGGTGGAAGGCCCTGTGCTGGGCCAGTGACTATCAGGGATGGGCGGGTGGCTGGAAAATAGCAAATAAGACAATATGATAACACAGTTAACCACCACACTATGTGAAGCTACAATATGGGTATCTGTAATAGACAATTCCAATGTAGAGAATAATTCTAAGGTGTCATTCTCCCCCCCAATGCCATAAGCACACGGCCTCTGCCTGGGTTTCTCACTGTGGAATGTCCTCCTGGTCTCCTCATGCCCAGAGAGTGGGAAGTACTCCTACTTTAACACCGGCTTTCCTGTCATCTCCCTGCAGCCCTCCTCAGCCCCCTCTGCACAGGGAGGTTTCCTCCCTGCTGCTGCAGTGCTTTGTACTTGTTAGTGGTACCTGCACACAGGTATTGGTGTCCTTGTCTCACCACCCTACATCACTGTAAGCTCCCCAGGAGCAGGCTTCCTGTTTGACTCACCTGTGATCCTCCACCTCCCACCCTGTAGTGCCTCAAGCATTGAGGACAATCACTGGCTGCCCCTTAACCCAGAAATGCTGCCGAGACAGGAGGCCATGGCCCAAGTTCCTGGAATGGGGTATTACTATGTCAGCACAAAGGCCTTTGCACAAATGAAGGCTTTAAAAATGCAGTCCTAGTCAGGTGGAGGAGGGCTTATAGGATTCCCAGGAATCTGGATCATTCTCTTGAGAGCTTTCCCTTGTCTCTGTTAAAACTCACATCCTACGGCCCAAATAACAACAAAAAATGGATGTAAATTCTTGAAATAACTTGTGGATGGGGGAACAAGGCCCACCCCCCAGATCTGCCAGAAGCTTCAGGTGAGGGTCCCAAATGCCAAAAAGTCTGGTATCAGAGAGGATGGCCAGTGACCTGGGGACACATGCCCTTTGCTGTGTCACTCAAGGAGCAGCAGCCTCGGCCCCGCACAGTGACCAGGACCCTGGCTTCCCACGCTGGGCAGGAGCTGGTGTCTGATGAAGGGAATGCCTGGCAGCACGTGCTGTCTGTCTCCTCGTGTCAGCTTACCTGGCTTTGCTGCGAAGAGGCCACTTGCATTTCTTTATTTTTTATATTTTTTTAATTTTTTAAATTTTTTTATTTTATTTTTATTTTTATTTATTTATTTATTTTTAATTTTTTTTTAATTTTTTAAATTATGCTTTAAGTTTTAGGGTACATGTGCACATTGTGCAGGTTAGTTACATACGCATACATGCGCCATGCTGGTGCGCTGCACCCACTAACTCGTCATCTAGCATTAGGTATATCTCCCAGTGCTATCCCTCCCCCCTCCCCCCACCCCACAACAGTCCCCAGAATGTGATGTTCCCCTTCCTGTGTCCATGTGATCTCATTGAATTTCTTTAAAGGTGGAATCTCTCAGTGGGGTCTAATCTGTTCAGAAATATCAAAAGAGTATCCTTGGGAATGACTGGAATTCCAGAGTCATCTGGTAATCCTCATAAAACAACTCCTGGATGTCTCTCAGCACATCTCCCACCTTGAATGCAGGAGGCTGGTTCAAATGGAGGAGCATCGCTCTACTGCACTTTTTTTTTTTTTTGGCCTAAAGTGCAAAAGGGGATACGTTTCATGTAAATAAATCAACTGCAAATCGCTAGTTATGCTGAGCCCTGTCCCGTGCTGTGGACACAAAGGAACCAAAGGCTTTTCTCCCCGCCCAACACACACATAACACACACACAAAATCATAAAAACATACATACCCCCAACACATAACAACACACAACACACACACAAAATATATACACACAACACACACCAAACATGCCCACAAACCTGTGTCCAGAGATAGATCCTACTGGTGGGTTTGTGGTCTCGCTGACTTCAAGAATGAAGCCGTGGACCTTCGCAGTGAGTGTTACAGCTCTTAAAGATGGCATGGATCCAAAGAGTGAGCAGTAGCAACGTTTACTGTGAAGAGCAAAAGGACAAAGCTTCCACAACCCAGAAGGGGACCCCAGCAGGGTTGCTGGTTGGGGTGGCCAGCTTTTACTTCCTTTTGGCCCCTCCCATGTTCTGTTTCCATCCTATCAGAGTGCCCTTTTTTCAATCCTCCCTGTGATTGGCTACTTTTAGAATCCTGCTGATTGGTGCATTTTACAGAGTGCTGATTGGTGCGTTTTACAATCCCCTTGTAAGACAGAAAAGTTCCTGATTGGTGTGTTTTACAATCCTCTTGTAAGACAGAAAAGTTCCCCAAGTCCCCACTGGACCCAGGAAGTCCACCTGGCCTCACCTTTCAACTCCATAATGGCATGAAAATACATATGTTGTACAAAACATACATACACAAAGTATACATGCATCTCCCCAAATATACACATACCACAGAAACATACACACAGGAACTCAGCTACCTGTCAAAAGTCTGCATGGTGATTGCCTCTGCAGTGAGTAGTTAGAAAAGTGAATTTGTTTTTCAATAAATTGGAGTCCTTAAAAATCGTTGTAAGATAGAAAATTTTTAAAAGTATATAAAATAAAATATGTATGTCCTTTGGTCTAGCATTTACACATGTAGGAATTTATCCTAGTGGAGTAATCAATGATATATGCAAAGATTTGGACAAGCATATTAAGCACAGAATTATGTATGCATATGTGTGTGTATATATATATATATCTCATACATATAATAATGTAAAAGTGAAAATAACTCAGATGTTCAAAATTGAGGATTAGTTAGACTATGATCTGTCCATATGTGACATACAAGTTAGCTGCCCCTTATTCTCTCGAGCTTCAACCTCCTATAAACAGTGTCCCTTGTATATCAGTATTGGTACAGATAATCGAACTTATTGAGGTTTTACATGGGGCAATAAAGGCAAGAGTTTATGAATACTCCATACTACACTAGGTAGCACCCCCTATTAAAGACAAACTCTTCTCTCTCATTTCCCTTCCTTTCCGGAACCACTTGGTTGAATCTCTACAAGTCTCTATTGCAACTGCCTCAACATGGCACCCTCCCTGCATCTCCATCTTCCCTGTCCTGAGAGCAATGGCCTGCTGCCCCCACACTCACATCCTCATTCATTCCAGAAGTGAGCACCACAGAAGTGCCTACAGTTACCCCAACCACCTTCTTAGAAGATAAGTTAGTGTTTGTTTTGACTTTTTAAAATTTTTACTTCCTCTTTTCCTTCACAATCTCATCCCATCCCAAGAGGTTTATCAAGAAGTTCTCTAAAGATATGTGTCTCCTTATGGAATTTAACAGAAATCAGGGATTTGTATTCTAGCCATCAAGGGAATAACATTTTTCCAGGTCTTTAGACAAATAATGGAATACCTTGCAGTAATTAGATACACTATTGTAGAAAAGTATTGATGAAATGGAACGATGTTTGAGATATCATATTGAGTAGAAAAGGCAAGATACATTAAGTAGGAAATGTATCTTACAAAATAATTTGTCAGACACACTCCTATATTTGTATGTTATATAAATGCGTATGTGAAGAAAGGCTAGAGGATGAGACCACAGTCTTCGGTGAAGTTTAAGAGATGAGGCTGCAGCATGCTCAGAAAGGCCTGGGTTATAGTTCTTCCAGTAATTAAGGATGTGATCTTGGGTAAATTGTCCATCCTCTCTAAACTGCACCACCTTTTGTCTGTAAAACAGGAAGGATGGTATTTACCCCCAGGGTCATCAAAGGATTTGGTTGGAGAAAAATAAATAAATGGGCTGAGCCCAGACCTGGCACAGTGAGAGCACAGTGGTTGACTATTGTGCTGGCCTGTTGTTCCTGTGTTATTGACATGCTGCTGGTGGTGGTCCAGAAGCTATTACCTTAATTGGTTATGTGGATTTCCCCTCATACTGAGCAGCTGTGTGTGGTGTTGTAAAACATAGCCATACACAGTAACTGACAAGGGCAAATGTGATGGAAAAATGCAAGGAAGTGCAGATAAATAGCTAATGGGCTGTAGAAGGAAGCTAGTCCTTGGAGGGCTTGATCAAGGAAGGTCCTTTTGCATGTCACCTTTGAAGAAGAGGGGACATAGAAGAGGTATAGTGCATCCCGGAGTGTACCTGGAAGGGAACATGAAAAGAGGACATTTTTCTCTGGGACATGGGGACTCCACTTGCATGAACTCTGGAATTGGGGCAAAGAACCATCATGAGAACAAGGGCTTCCTTGAACCTCCCAGGCTCATTGGCTGATCTAAACCCTGTGTCCCCTCTTTCCTTCACTCTCCTCTGTTTTCTATACCTGTATTATTGGACTGGACTGGAAGCCACCTGATCTATCACAAGTACCTTGAAATGTGTTGAATAGGTGTGGCACAGTCCTTAGCAGAGTGGCACTACCCCCACAGGAATTTGTTTATACCGTTGGCATGGAAAATAGCAGGAAATGAGTGATCACTGATAACTGAGGATGCTATTTATTATTGGCCAAAGGAATACTTGTGTTGTATTTGCATAACCACTCACAAACTGTTGATTACAAATGAGTACCAGACCTAGCTCCTTCAAGTAAAGGATCCTGAGAACTGAAGGCAAACAGAGCTCCAGGAGTCCAAGACAGAGCCACAGACCACGAGGATCCCTGGCCCAGGTAGGTGGTCCTCCTGCACTGGCTTTCAAGGCCAACAGGATGGATGGGGAAGTAGAGTAGCATCTGGCCATCTAGACCCTTGCTTTTTATCCCCACTGGAAGCACATCTGAATTTCTAAATATGATCTCTGAGACCTGCCCAGAACACCTTGCTCTCAGCCCCAGTAGCAGCCTGCTCTCTCCCAGGAGGGCTTCCACTAACAAGTAGGGCATTGCTGGAGGGCCAGGCAGACACTAGCTTAGGAAATCCACCAACCCTGGAAATGCTAGTCCCTTCTCTGAAGGCTCAGAAGACTGACTTTAGAGTCTAGAAAATATTGGTCCTTGGGAACAGATTTTGAGTGCAAAGAGATGGACTTCAGATGGCCAGATGCACTGCTTCTTTAGGGAATTCTGTGAAAGCTCCCTGCATTTATCTTAATACAGGCAGCAGATTTCATGAGTACCCCCGAGGGATGGCCCCAGGTCCTCCAGCCTGTGAGCATCCTTCTGTCCTTCAGCAGCACCACAGTATCTTTATATGTCTTTGGATACCTACGTTTCTGCCAGACATCTCTTGCTCTGATGTTCTGGCTGCCAAATTCTCTGTCAAGCGCCTCCAATTTTTTGTGTCCTTTGATTTACCCCAACATGACAAAGGCAGTTGTGCTTCATGTATTCAGGGATACTGCCAAACCACAAACAGGTTAAAATCAAATAGCAGATATCCCTGTTCCTAAAGACCCATCAGCTCTACCCACCTGCTCCTGCTCACCGTCCTTATTGTTGAGTCCTGAAGCCCTTCCTTGTCATTTTTATTTTTTGCATGAACAATTTAGTTCCCTTTGTCTCACTCCTAAACCTTTCTCAAAGGATTGGATTTGTACACAAACTGCCTATCTCTGCAATCTTAGAAGTGATATGATTCTGAACAAATCACTTAACTTTTGATTTTTTATCGGTAAGATGGGAATACCAATTTTTGCTCCACTTCTGTCCTATGTTGGCCTGGGCTGATGTTGAAAGCTCTCGGTCAACTGAGATAGGGTGTGCAGAATTTATATATATAAATATATCTCCTCCAACCCCTCCCAATGAAGCAAGTCACGTGAGTCAATCCTACCCTAAGATATTAGGGATTGAGCCTCCTGGGACATTTGGTGGCTTAGGTTTTCATGAAAAGAGGTTGCAGAGCAACTGCTTTTTGTTAGGCAAAGATTAGGCTACTGCAGAGACTCAGCAAACTTCTATAGAAGGTGTCAGATGGTAAGTATTTTAGGCTTTGCTTGCCAGATGATCTCTCAACTAGTTAACCATGCTATTGTAGCCTCGAAGCAGCCAGAGACAATATGTAAACAAGAGCATGGCTGTGTTTCAATAAAACTTTATTTAAAAAAACAGTCAGGGACCGGATTTGGCCAAAGGCCATAGTGTGCCAGCCCCAAGACTAGAGCAATGCACTTTTAACTTTTTTATTTTATTTTTGTAAAATGCCAAGATCCACAAAAATGCTATTGCACCCCGTGTGTTAGCACTGTGACTCAAGGTTTGGGAAATTCTGCTTTGAAGGCGTGATAGACAGGAGAGCATGGTCTGGCCCCTTGGTGCCTTTCTGGTTGCAGCGAGCATTTCAAACTACAGAGCAAGGCCAGTGGTCTGTTCAGCACTAGAGACATGCAGCAAGGTGTCCTGGGGTGAGAAGATGCCATAACTGGTCCCCTTTCTATCTCCTTAGGTCTTGGACTTCATTCCATTTTCTGTTGAGTAATAAACTCAACGTTGAAAATGTCCTTTGTGGGGGAGAACTCAGGAGTGAAAATGGGCTCTGAGGACTGGGAAAAAGATGAACCCCAGTGCTGCTTAGAAGGTAAGGTTCTTGTAGAAATCTACCTCAGGGCCAAAGTGTAATTCCTAGAGCAGAACTTTGCTAGGTGCTGTGCACAGACCCAGTTGTTTCCTGCTGACTTGCACAGTAAGTGAGCTTTCAAATTTCCCTGGACAAATAACTAGACAAGAGAAATTCTGGAAGGGAAAAGGAAGCTTTGCTTCAGTGTCCAGGCACATCAGGTAGTAGATAAAAGGATCGTCCTCACCTACAGATTTGGGGCTTTAGCATCCTGTTTGCCAACTGGATGGTTGCATATGCTTCAAAATGCACCTCTTCCCTCCCAACATTCCCAAGTGGAAGAGAAGCCTCCGATGAGAAGCAGCTCTCTAAGGCTGGGCTGAACAAATGACCCAGGCACAGGGCATCTGAGTATTCCATGAGGAACACATTTGGGTGTTGCCCATGGGGGACAATAGGAGGAGGCTTTTGACCCAAATGATTGTCTACTGAGGTGTGACGGGAGAGGCCTGTGACATGCCAGAGGCCAAACCCGTGATCCAGTTCATCTCTATTCTATGTTTCTGAAGAGGGAAGCTATGATTTAATGTCATTACTATCATGCTGCTCTAGTATTTCTCAGCACATACACAGAAGAGGGAATTAAATGGTCTTTGATACCCCTAAATCCTTGGAAAATCCGAATTGCATATGCTAACCTCACTGCGTCTGACTGCAGACCCGGCTGGAAGCCCCCTGGAACCAGGCCCAAGCCTCCCCACCATGAATTTTGTTCACACAAGTAAGGCCTCGGGGTGAGGTGATGGGGGTGGCTGAGGTGCGAGGGTGGGGATGGGGGATGGAGCCATTGGGTCCTCTTACAGGGTGGGAGAATTGTAGAATGGGGACACCTAAGGGTGCTGGATGGGGCTGAAGTCTTTCCTTTGTGGAAGCAAATCCCATTAGGAGATAACTCTGGGAAAGATGAGCCCGGGGAGGGGCAGGTGATGCTCACCTGCTAAGAGGCACAGGGCAAGGAAGAGTTTGTGCCTGGGAACCTTCCAGGTGCCTCTTCTGACCATAGCCAAGAGACTGGAGACACAGACCTCCTCCCAGCACTGAGGACAAACAGCCATGGGGCCAGTGGGGGTGCAGGGACACCCACACCACTAAGGGCTCAGGGCGGCGCCTTCAGAGCCTGAACCTTCCTCTCATGCTGCCATTTGAACACCACAACACCCTAATAGGAAACTGTTAACATTGCCACTGTTCAGGTGTGGAAACCGAGACAGACAGTGGAGATTCCCTGCCCTAGGTGACACAGGTAATAAGTGACAGATGTGGAAATTTAAAGGTACTATAACGTCTGTCTGCCTGACTCAGGCTTAAGGCTCCCATCACCTCCTCTTCTCAGGACAGAGTCAGGAGGCCTCAGCCTGAGCCCCAGCTCTAGTGCAGGTTCATGTGGGAATACTGAGCCTCACTAGTACAATGGCAGAGAGGACCAAATGGGACCAGGTGTGTAAGGGTGCCTGGCACAGTTGGGGGAGGCTGCTGTCACTTCTCCACCGCTGCTGCTGCAGTTACCTTTGATGTTTTAGTTTTGTTGTAGTTACACCATTGCTGGCTTTGGATCTGCACTGTGTCCACTCCAGGTGGAACCACGCACACAAGCCTCTCTGTCGGGCCTGTCCTGACTTCTCCTTGTCAGGGCTGGGATCTCCTTCAAATCTGGCGGAAGTGGTTCTCCAAGTCTGGTCCTCAAACGTCAGCAGCATCAGCGCCTAGAAGTGTTAGGAATACACATTCCCAGGCCCCACCACAGACCTCCTGCCTCAGAAACTCAGGGCGCTGAGGCTCTAGGGGCTGCTTTAACAAGACTTCCAGGTTATCGTGACGCACCTTGAAAGTCTGAGAGCTACTGCCCTACAGAAAGTTACTAGTGCCCTAAAGCTGGCGCTGGCACTGATGTTACTGCTGCTGTTGGAGTACAACTTCCCTATAGAAAACAACTGCCAGCACCTTAAGACCACTCACACCTTCAGAGTGGCCTTGAGAAAGATTTGGGGTCAAGGATCATGAGCGAGAACACCACTTAAGAGGATAGTGAACTAGTCTGCATGTGAGACGCTGAGATCCTATGTCAGGCTGTGATAGGAGGGAAACAGAAACCAAAGGAAAGAACAGCTTTAAGAAGCGCTTAAGAGGTACAAAGTAAAATGATGGTGCTAGAAAAGTAGCTTCTTAAAAAGAGCATTTTCCAGTCTCACCCTGGACTAACTGAATGAGAATCTCAGGAGTGTGAGGCCCAGGTATCCATGGTCTTAAAATGCCACCCACCAGGTGATTCCCAGTGTGCACCAGGGGTGAGAGTCACAGCCTTAGGCCATGCCACTCAAAGGGTGTCTTCAGACCAGCAGCACCCACAGCTCTGGGAGTGCATCAGAAAGACAGAGGCTTGGCACCACCCACACCTACTGAACCATAGTTTGCAGGTGATTTCTTGCACATTAAAGTGTGGGAAATGGAAAAGCTTAGAGTTCAGCTAGCTCGGTGACTCTCAGTCAACCTGCACCTGCTCCATGAACTCAGACTGCCTGGGATGGGCCCAGAAAAGCTCCTGAGGAGATTCTGATGTAAGGCAGGGCTGATAACCATGGATCTCATCTGACCCCATATCACTGGGGAGTTACTTAGGATCTTGCCTGGGGCCAGTCATCTCTTCCATAGACACTGAGAGTGTCCACGATGCTTGGGGCACTACAGGGTGGGAGGTGGAGGATCACGGGTGAGTCAGATAGGAAGCCTGCTCCTGGGGAGCTTACAGTGCTATAGGGCAGCGAGCCAAGGATGCCAATACCTGTGTGCAGGTACCACTGACGAGTGCAGAGCGCTGCAGCACCAGAGAGGAAGCTACCCTGTGCAGAGGGGGCTGAGGAGGGCTGCAGGGAGATGACAGGAAAGCCGGTGTTACAGGAGGAGTCCTCCCCACTCTTTGGGCATGAGGAGACCAGGAGGACATTCTACAGTGAGAAACCCAGGCAGAGGCCATGTGCTTATGGCATGGGAAAAGAATGACACCTTAGACTTATTCTCTACATTAGAATTGCCTACCACAGATACCCATATTATAGCTTCACATAGTGTGGTGGTTACTGTGTTTTCATATTGTCACATTTGCCATTTTCCAGCCACCCACCCATTCTTGACAGTCACTGGCCCAGCCTGGGGGCCCCTGTTCTTTATCAAACAAGTGCCTGAGCTCTTTGCAGAGGTGAGGGTCACCTGTCCAATCAGAGGCCAGGAGGGAACGTTCCCTTTTAAGACCCTACTCTAGGCAGGCCTGGCCCAAATGAGTTGCTAGGAGCCCACGCCCTAAGAACCCTCTGAGCACTGTTGTGGCTGGTCCTGCTGCTAGAAGTTGTTCCTCCAGGGCCAGGTGCAAGATTTGTGGCTTTTCAAAGGAGCCACTAAAGCTCCAGCTCAGCCTTGCACCGTGCTGGGCTCCTGGGGGCTTCCTGCCTCCAACCCTCCCAACTCTTCCATCACCGCTCCCTTAGCCTGGCCAGTGCAGGGATCTGTTCCACTCTAGGCACTGCTGAGGGAATGATGCCTCCAGTCAGAGGGTGCAAAAAAGAGAGTTAAGAAAAACAATGATTATAAAAAGTCCTTTTTATACGCCAGACATTTTCTTTGCTCAGGCTAAGTGCTACTTATTTGAGTAAGCATTTTAGTTCTCATAACTCCTCTCTCAAGTAGGTGCTGCTATTACTTTCATTTCACAGATGAGGACATTGAGGTTTGGAGAGACTTAGTAACTTGTCCTCTGTCCTACAGCAGAGCTGGGATTTGAATCTATCTGTCCAAATCTGGAACCCATTTGCTTGCACAGAAAGCTTAATTGCTTGTCCCAGCAAGATAGAAAGCCTGGGAGTGGAAGAAATATTCAGTGGCTGTGATGTCTGAGCCCACAGGCAGGGTGGAGAGCTAGGGCTGGGGCCCTTGGACGTGGGGAAGAAAGGGCTGAGTCTTCCATTTTCAATGTGAAGTGTTGATATCTGGTGATATTGATCTAGGTCCAAAGGTGAAGAACTTAAACCCGAAGAAATTCAGCATTCATGACCAGGATCACAAAGTACTGGTCCTGGACTCTGGGAATCTCATAGCAGTTCCAGATAAAAACTACATACGCCCAGGTGACTCTCAGTTTTGGCTGTGTTTTCTGCCTCCACCTAGCAGGGGTAAGGCCTCCTGCTAGGTGGGCTCAACTCCATGCTATACCATGCCCCATCTCCAGCAGGTGGTGGAAGCGAGGAGGAGAGGCCCCAGGGACTAGGGCATCAGATGAAGGGTCTCTAGCAATGACCAGATCTGAAAGTAGTCTTTCTGGAAGGGCTGGAGAAAAAGAAGGAGGCAGACACTTAGACTGGAAGAAGAGGAGGCTTAAACCAGTGTGATGGAGGGAGAAGTGGACCACAGAGTCAAGGGAGAGGGACTGTGCATCAGGCCTGAAACCCCAGCAGACAGGAGAGACCTTTCCCTGCTCTCAGAACCCACACATGTTCTGACTGTCTTTTTCCAGAGATCTTCTTTGCATTAGCCTCATCCTTGAGCTCAGCCTCTGCGGAGAAAGGAAGTCCGATTCTCCTGGGGGTCTCTAAAGGGGAGTTTTGTCTCTACTGTGACAAGGATAAAGGACAAAGTCATCCATCCCTTCAGCTGAAGGTGAGAGTTCTAGCTCAGTTTCCTGGGCCTTTGGCTACCCCAAAGTAAAAGGCCAAGATCCTCAATGCCTCTCGCTTTCCTGCAAATTCTTATCTTGGCCAATATAACAGGGACATCCACCTTTCTGGAAGCACCAGGCAGAAGAGCCCCATAACTTCTTCTCTGGTTCCTTGCCCCTTCTAGGGAAGGAGGAGAGACTCCTCACAGCGGGGAGACAGCAAGGAGCTGAGCACCTGTTCTCCTCTCCTGGGCTCACTGGTCCTGGCCCTGGGCGGGTGGCGGTCCCCTCCTGCTGTGGCCCTCCATGTGGCAAGCAACACAATTGGGCCAGGACCCTGGCGTGCTGCTGTAGGGTAGGAGGGTGTGAGGGAGCACTCGGAGGGCAGTGTGTCTGCCCTGCAAATTTAGTCCTGGATGGAGCACCTTTCACTTGAGGGGAGAAATCTTAGGAAGCTGAATTAGATACAGATCTAAGCCATATTCTCTAATTTTAAAAACTATAGAGCTGAGATTTTGGTATCCATCTGACTCTTACGTCTCTCTCTCTCTCTCTCTCTCAGTTTATTTTTAATCTGGGGGACAAGAAGGCCTGGAAAAGAGGGCAGGATTGCTTATCATCCCTTAAATACCAGTACCAAGGCTGACACGTCATCTTTCCCAAGGACCATCTGCCTTCTCTCTTTTCCTCCTCTCCTGTGTAAAGGCCTGGAGGATGAGCACATGTGCTGTGTTTTCCTCCCTCTCAAAGCCTGTGCTATCTAATTAATCCCTTTTACCTCACAGAAGGAGAAACTGATGAAGCTGGCTGCCCAAAAGGAATCAGCACGCCGGCCCTTCATCTTTTATAGGGCTCAGGTGGGCTCCTGGAACATGCTGGAGTCGGCGGCTCACCCCGGATGGTTCATCTGCACCTCCTGCAATTGTAATGAGCCTGTTGGGGTGACAGATAAATTTGAGAACAGGAAACACATTGAATTTTCATTTCAACCAGTTTGCAAAGCTGAAATGAGCCCCAGTGAGGTCAGCGATTAGGAAACTGCCCCATTGAACGCCTTCCTCGCTAATTTGAACTAATTGTATAAAAACACCAAACCTGCTCACTAAACTTTCTGTCATTGGGTTTCATTTCTCATTCATGCTTTAAGGATTTGTGTTTTTAGGATATAGCAAGAAGCTTGTTTAATTACAAAGTTCTGGGTTGGAAAGAGACCGGCTTCTGCTTGTGTACTGCTACCCTGAACCATCAGACATGCATGTGTGTGTCATATGCTATGATGTGGCCAGTCTGAGTGCAATACTTGCAGTGGGAAGGAGCAGCTGGGTGCATGCTGTGCTCTAGAATTAGTCTTTCCTACTGGGGTTTGGTAGATTCTGAGGGCATTGATCCTGGGGCAGAAGTGGCTGAGTCTGTGTCTAGGGTACAGTGTGCAAGAAAGAAATGTAACAGCAAGTCACAATCCAGCCAAGTGATAGTGGAAAAGGGGTAGTTAGGTCCCAGATAAGGAGCAGGGTGACTTGACCTGTGGGAAAGGCACAGAGACAAGGAATCTGGGTCAGATGACAGCCAGGAGACCAGGTGAGGGAGGAGCCAGGTACTGTCTGGGAGGCTTGTCAACAAGGGCATGGTCCTATCACTAAGCAGGGCTCAGATCCTCATAATGGGGGAGTGGAAGGCTGGCCGAACAGAAATCAGGGCCTGGAAACAGAGTGAGGGGGTGGAGACAGGAGACTGAGGCTTGGAAATTAGTTTATTAGTTTTAGCTCTTCAGTTACAAGCAATAATAATAGCTTCTAGCTTATTTAAGCAACAAGTATACTACAAAAGGAGCTTTCTAGAAGGATATTGGGTATATTCATTTCTTACTGCTGCTGTAACAAATTACCACCAACTTAGTGGTTTAAACAATGCAATGTATTATCTTGCAGTTATGGAGGTCAGTCTGGAATGTGTCTCACTGGGCCAAAATCAAAGTATCAGCAGGATAGCATTGCTTTGGGAGGCTCTAGGGGAGAGTCAATTTCCTTGCCTTTTCCAGCTTCCAGAGGCCACCTGCATTCCTTGGCTAGTGGCCCACTCCCATCTTCGCTGCTTGGGTTTTTCTCACACTGCTTTGCTCTGACCCTCCTGCCTTCCTCTTTCACATATAAGAACGCTTGCAATTTACATCGGGCTCACGTCAATATCCAGGATACTCTCCCGTCTCAAAGAGGCTTAACTTTAATCACAGATGCAAAGTCCCTTTTGCTATGTCATGTAACATATACACAGGGTCTGGGGATTAGAATGTGGACATTTTCGGGGTGCCATTATTCTGCCTATCATGTGAAGTAACTTTCAAAATGGAAAGACATGCTGAAGAAAAAGTCAGGGATTTCTGGCAGGCCAGAAATGACAGAAGGCAGAAAACGTTGGTCCCATCACTCAGATGGGTAAGAGCCAATCATGCTTTTTGTCAGTTAGCAAAAGATTGAGATTCCAAGCAAAGCATGCAACTGCCCTAGTTTGGGTCATGTGTCGACTCCTTGGTCAGTGAAGGGCAGCACACCTTGATCAATACTCCCTCCAAGACTGTATCCAACGAGGCCAGTGATGTTCCTCAAAGCAGAGCTAGAGAGCTAATCCCAGGAGAGAGGCGTGTGGGTGGTGGGCAGGAAGACAAAGCTCAGCCGTAAAGGAGTAGTAGGGACAGCACCCCAGGCATGGAGGCTCAAGTGAGATGATACCCATGGGAAAAGCTCTGATAAGGTCAGCTCCTTCTGTTTCTGATCCTGATGGTGATGGTGATCAACACCAGCCCAGTGACAAAAAAGTACATAGTATATTTAGTAGATGTTTCCCACACAGAGAAATGGTAAATATTCAAGGCGAGGAATACTCCAAACATCCTACCTTGATCATTACACATTCCGTGCATGTAATGAGTACTTGCATGTATGCCATAAATATGTGAAATATTATGTATCACTATATAAAAGAAAAAAAAATGTGGCCAGGTGACATCCATATTTTGGAGAGGAAGGCATGTCTTCTTCATAATATCACAAAACTATTTTCACAACAAAGACACAGCTGTTCAAATTAGTCTCTGAGCCGGGGCTGTCTCATGGCAGTGAGGACTCTGGTTCCCTTACAGACTAGCAGAAAGGAGATGGGGCTTACTGACCATGGCCTTGAGGAGGCCGAACATGCAGGCCAAATGGAGACACAGACAGCCTGGGCTTGGTCCTGCTCCATCCCCTTCCAACCTGATGAGATATAGTGAGTCACTATGACATGGGTCACTCATGCTTCCTGTGAGGCTCCACCAAGACAGCAAGTGCATCAACACCTTACGGAAGCACAAGGCCCTGTTTGTTGTTGACTTCATGAAAGGCATGGTTGTGGTGATCGCATTGAGTAGGCTTTTGGGTGAGAGGTGAAAAACCCCAACTATCATGCATTGCAGCCCTCTGGTGGAAACTGTGCTTCAGGCTCTAAATTTCAGGCTCTAGACTGACTCCGGGATGAGTATTTGGAAGCTGAAGTCAATCTGTGGTCTCTTCTCCTGTAGAGCAGGAGTCAGCACTTTTCATAGAGTGCCAGATTCTATATATCCTGCCACATGCTCTGTTGTTACAGAACAAAGAAGGCCATAGACAGCATGGCTGTGTTGGCAAATACACAAAACAGGCAATAAGCTGTATTTGGCCTTTAGGCTGCAGTTTGCCAACCCCTGCACTAACACAGAGCTTAAAGGTGGTGGTGGTGTGCTGGAGCTAGCTTATATCAGCTTGCAATAGCCAATTGCTAACATCTCTTCCAAACTCTGTGTCTGTGCCTTGATGTTGATAGTTTGAAATTGGCTACCCCATTTAATGCTGCAATCTTTTCTCACCCCAGCACTACTGACTCCCCTTTGCCCTGTCTTATTTTTCTCACTCTAACATGCTGTATAGTTTTCTTCTTACATTTATTGTTTGTGTCTTCCACTAGCATGTATGTCCCACAAGTTCTTTGCTCTGTGATGTATCCCAAGAACCCACTGCAGTGCTTGGCACTTGTAGGAACTCCATAAGATTTTTATAAATGAAGAAAGGAAGAAAAAAGAGAGGGAGGGAGAAAGGAAAGGAAGCCTTCTATTTAAATGATGGCCTTCTCCATATTTCTATAGTAATATGACTTCCCTTGCAAAGGAGATGCATTTTGGAAAATGTGTATAAATAAACTCAGGTGGTTTTGAATTTCATTTTCCTAACTGTAATTGTAATCATTGGTCTTTATGTTTAGTGAAAAAGTTTTGGCCCTTATGCCTCACACCTGAGAATCCCAAAGTATTGGTTTGTTAGAGCTCCCATAGAGAACCATAAACTGGGTGGCTTAAAACAACAGAAATGTATCGTCTCCTGGTTCAGGAGGCCAAAGTCTGAACTCCAGGTGTTGGTTCATTCTGAGAGCTCTGAGAGAGAATCTGTTCCAGGCCTCCCTTCAGTTTGTGGTAGCTCCAGGGTTCCTTGGCTGGTGGCAGCAAAACTCCAGTCTCTGCCCCCATCTTCACATGACTGTCTTCTCTCTGTGTTTCTGTGTCCAGATTGTCCTATAAGGACAGAGTCATACTGAATTAGGGCTCACTCGAATGACTTCATCTTAAGTTGAACTGTATCTGTAAAGACCTTATTTCCAAGTAAGGTCACATTCACAGCTACTGGGGGATAGGACCTCAACATATCTTTTTGGGGGACATAATTCAACTCATAATACCCAACATGATAACTGTTCATCCCATGAAATTTAATGTCTCTCAAAAGGTGATCTCAGGGCATTTAATCTGTGACAGAAACTCCCATAGGAAACATTCCAACCAGAAGCTCCTTTCACAGCTGGTCACTCCTCCTACCCCATCCGAGGTCCTGGGGCAGGGTGAGGCAGGTGGGGACAAGAAGAAGGCTGTCTCGGGTGTAGAAAGAGAAGACCCTTATTCACCCGGCACTCTGTTCATGAATGAGCTATCCAGCATAGGATATAATAAATCGCTTTAGGAGTGGTAGACTCCAAACATTTTTTTGGTCCCAGTTATCCTAATCAATTAAACAAACTCTAGAACACATCTTGAAGTGCAGGCATTGGGACATTATGAAACTTACACAGAATTCAAAAATTTACAAGGGCTAAATAAAACAGGGTCTGACATCTAATATTTTCTTCCCACATTCCCATGCACTGTCTGGCTCAACCATCCCCAACCCTCACTCTCATCCTGGTGGACACATGCCTAGTGATGTGATCAGCTGGTTCACAGGGGGCTGGTGATGGTGGATATACAGCTTTTGCCAATTTCCATGGCATAACTACTCCAAATATGGCCAATTTCAAACTACCAACATGAAGGCACAGACACAGAGTTTGGAAGAGATGTTAGCAATTGGCTATTGCAAGCTGATATAAGCTAGCTCCAGCACAGCACCACCGCTACCTTTAAGCTCCTTGTGTTAGTGCAAGGGTTGGCAAACTGCAGCCTAAAGGCCAAATACAGCTTATTGCCTGTTTTGTGTATTTGCCAACACAGCCATGCTGTCTATGGCCTTCTTTGTTCTGTAACAACAGAGCATGTGGCAGGATATATAGAATCTGGCAGTCTTTAATAAGTGCTGACTCCTGCTCTACAGGAGAACACAGATTGTCTTCAGCTTCCAAACATTCATCTCTGAGTCAGTCTAGAGCCTGAAATTTAGACTGAAGCACAGTTTCCACCAGAGGGCTGCAATGCATGATAGTTGGGGTTTTCACCTCTCACCCAAAAGCCTACTCAATTTTTTACTGCAAAAACATGTTATCATCATTATTTTTTACTTAGCCCACCTTTCCTTGGCAATTTTCCATAGGAAAATGCATTCTAAATTTCAACTAATCAGGGGACTTGGAGCCTCTGGACACCCCCTTGTTCCTTGCCCACAGTCCCTTGCAGAAGGTGCCTTATCAGAGCGGCTCCATGCAGGGGCTCAGGACAGGATCAGATGTCAGTTGCACCAAGGGGGCAGGGACAGATCCTCTCTGCTGACCATGCAGAAGGGACTGTTCAGTGCACCGTCATGGTCCTGGTGATTTCTGGCCCATAAGGGAATTTTCACATGCATCGGGTGATTGTCACATCAGCACAACACTGTGAGGAAGGCAGAGTGAGAATTTGTGTGCCCATTTTATAGGTGAGAAAACAGATGCAGAGACATTAAGTAACTTCACCACAGTCATGCGGGTTTTAAGTGGCAGACTTTCAGGTGTTGTGACTCCTAGTCCAGAGTTCTTTGCACTGCCCCTGAGGTGCTAAAACTCTACTGTGCTTTAAGACTCACTTGGGGAGCTTCCTAAAAAGAGAGATTGCACAACCTGAGATTCTTGTTTAACTGTTTTGGGATGTAGCTCAGGGATCTAGCTGCCTTAAAAAAAAAAACTCCCAAGTAATTCTGATGCAAGCGGTTCTTTCTTGTCCACCTTTGAAGAAACACTGCCTCCTCCCTATACATTTCATTAGAAAATGGTAACATGTTTTTCAGCCTGAGAGCCATTTCTGGGTGACCGGACGTCGGCAGCCCGCTGTACTAGCTTTCAGTCTAGGCTTAAACACACATGATAGGAGATGTCCTACTCCAGATGATATGAGTCTGAACCATGGAAAAATTCCATTGTGTGGCACATCTGGTGGGTGTGCACTGTCCCCAGCAGTGAGGCACCCAGTGAAGACAGCAGCTGGGAGAGGCTTAGTTACATGCAGTGGGACAGTGTGGGCTAGACTGCTGAGCCCTCTGCAGTTTACTCTGTGTCAGGCAATGAGGGTGAAAGGCTGATCAGACCCACGTGCAGACCATACCCTCCAGGGAGACAGATATCAGTCAGGACAACCCCAAGTGTAGCTGGAGAAGCAGTGCCCAGGTATGACCGGATGTGTATCCAACCAGGAAATCTGCATATAAATATAAGAGGAGAAAATGAACAGATGTTGCTCTTATATGTAGATATTTATGAAGAGCATATAATTTTGTTTTGTGTGTTTTAAGAAGTTTATAAGTATGCCTTAAAAATGTATGGTATATACTGTAGGTATTTTTTCCATTAGATATTTTGTTTTTCATACTTATCCACATTGACATTGTAGCAACAGTATAATATAACAACCTCCTCTACAAAAGCAGAAGGAAGTGAAGCTTTGGAAGGAAGCACCCAGTGAGCTTGCCCCTTTCAGGTGGGTGCAGTGAGCAGGAGTCAGTGAGGTTGAGATCCTTTGAGAGGAGGCAGTCATTAACCAGGAAATCTGCACTGCATCCTGGCCACACCTAACCCTTGGACAATGGTGCTTGGAGCGCCTTCCAGCTCTTAAGGCTTGCGATTTCTTTCTCTCACTCTTCACCCACGATGATTAAATCTTCTCCTACAGAGTTGGACAACAAAGCCTTGAGTTCCTGCCTCCCCTGGTGTGATCACGAGGCATAGACATGGCCAGGAACATGTAGGTGTCTTTGAAAGCTGAACAAGTTAGTAAATTTCAAACCTCATTTCACCCACCAGTAAAATGGGAATAATAATAAACCTATTTTACATAGGGTTGACAAGAGGAGTAAAGAGGGATTCAATGAAAGTTCGTTATTATCATTTGTAGTAGCAGTGTTGATAATATCAACTGAAAGTTCATTATCATTATTAGTAGCAGTATTGATAACCCTCTTTTCTGTGCCTTCTCACTGGTGGGCCCAGGCCATCAGCAATGCCCAGGGTGTCATGGATCTCTGCTGCATCGGGCACCAGCTGTGTCAATGGTGAGAACAGTACAAGGGTGGGCAGGGCAAGGCAGGAAGCACCCAGGAGCAGCAGCTTCATGGGGTGAAGATGTCAGGAGCTTAGGGACAGTCAGAGCGGGTGTGCCTCCTCTTGTGGAGCCTTTCTGCGTGGGTAGGAACTGCTGCAGCTGTGGCCATGGATTCACCTGAATATGGGTGGAATTAGGCATTCAGCTGGGTTAGCTGTGCCTAGAAGGAGGAACTCTAAACTGAGAACTTGTCCCTATTGCCACCTCTGATAGGCAGATGATCCATCCATCAGTGGCTGAGCTGAGGTGTGCATGGGGATGGGTAAGAGCCCACACACAGGGCTGATGACTGAGTCTATTTAGAACAATAGATGTAAAATCTGATAATGTAAAATGTGATAGATTATTTTGTCAATTAGAAATGGTACCATATAATTATATATATACATAAACATGTATACATATACACACATATACATGTGTGTATAAACACACACAGTATTGTCCCCTACTCATTCCATAAACCTGATGCCTTTAGCTGGGATTCCCAGCTTTCACTCTCCTCTCTGTCATCTGCTGTCTATATCCTCCCCATCCTGTAATTCTGGCTTATATGCCACTTCCTCCCTAAAGCCCTCCCTCAATCCCTTGCTGGAAGTGACATTTTCCTCTTTGAGCTGCCCCTGCTTGTGCTTTGGTGAGGTCAGCTGTATTGCAGTACCTTGTATTGTGGTTGTCACATCATCGTATAGAATTAATTTCTGACACATTCCGTATTTTTCAAAGGGCCTAGTGTGGGGCTTTAACAGTAACTACGCCACCACGCCCAGTTAATTTTTTGTATTTTTGGTGGAGACAAGGTTTCACCATGTTGGCCGGGCTGGTTTCGAACTCCTGACTTCAGGTGATCTGTCTGCCTCAGCCTCCTGGAGTGCTAGGATTGCAGGCATGAGCCACTGCACCCAGCCACCTATCAAAATTTTAAGTGCCATTTTTATTTTTTATTTTTTGTAGAAATGGACAAGCTGATCGCAAAATTCACATGGAATTGCAGGAGGTTCCAAATAGCCAAAACAATCTTGAAAAAGAAGAACAAAGTTGGAGGATTTACACTTTCCAGTTTCAAGACTTAGCTCTTAGCTACAAAGCTACAGTAATCAGAACACTATGGTCCTGGCATAAGTGATGCTGGACAGGTGAGCCCCAAAGTGGGACTTAACCTGTGAAGGTTCTTGGCCTTGCCCAGGAAGGAATTCAAGGGCAAGCCCATGGGACAAGAAAACAGCTTTATTGAAGGGGCAGTATTACAGCTCCAGCCCTGTTACAGCTCCAGCCCTGTTACAACTCTGACTACTCCTGCACAGAAGGGCTACCCTGTAGGCAGAGAGTAGCAACTCAGGGCAGTTTTGCAGTCATTTATATCCACTTTTAACACATGCAGATTAAGGGACAATTTATGCAGAAATTTCTACGGAATTGGTAATAACTTTTGGGTCATGGAGTCATCATGGAAGGGGGGCGGGGAACTCCCTGGTGTTGCCATGATGACGGTAAACTGATATGGCGAACTGGTGGGTATGTCACATGAAAAGCTCCTTCCACCCCAGCCCTGTTTCAATTAGTCCTCGGTTTGGTCCAGTGTCCAAGTCCTGCCTCCAGAGTCAAGTCCCACCCCCTACCTCTTAAGGAGAGATGTAAATACATGGAATAGAATTGAGAGTCCAGAAATAATCTCATACATCTATGATCAATTGATTTTCAGCAAAGGTGCCAAGACCATTCAATGAGGGAAAGAATCATATTTTCAACAAATGGTGCTGGATAACCACATGTGAAAGAATGCAACTGGGCCCTTATCTCACACCATATACAGAAATTAACTCAAAATGGCTCAAACACTTACATGTAAGAGCTAAAACTATAATATTCTTAGAAGAAAACAGGGATATATCTTTATGACCTTGGATTTGCTGGCTGATTCTTAGATGACACTGAAAGCACAAGCAACAAAAGAAAAAAAAATAGGTAAATTGGACCTCATCAAAATTTAAAACTTTTAGGCTGGGTGCACACCTGTAATCCCAGCACTTTGGGAGGCTGAGGCAGGAGGATCTCTTGAGCCCAAGAAGCTGAGGCTACAGTGAGCCGAAATTGTGCCACTGCACTCCAGCCTGGGTGACAGAGCAAGACCCTGTCTCGAATAAATAAATAAACAAATATATAATTATAGATCTCTGGATCTTGCCTTCGGAGACTGACTCAACTAACTGGTCTGGGTGGGAGCCCAGCCATTTGTATTTTTTGAAAACTCTCCAAATGATTTTACTGTGCAGCCAAGGTTGAGAATCACTGTATCATAGGGTTGGACTCCTAACTGGAAACAGTTTGCACCATCAGGTGTCGCAGCATTCTGATAATAGTTAAGCTTTCCTCCTAGATTTTCTGATATTAGATGAGTCATGTTTACAAGTTTTTACCAAGAGACAAACTATCTTTCTGCCCTTACTTTCTCTCTTATACTATTCTAATCCCAGAACCCTTTGGAACTTCCACTGAGAGATGAATCTAGAAAGTGACTCTCTTGGCTACAACAGAGAGTAATGTTGGCCTGTTTGTGCCAGATCCAGTTGGTGCTGGTGGTGGGACAGCACCTCCCTGAAATCCCCTCCTCTCCCGTCAGATTCAGTCCCCCATTTGCATCACGTACAATCATCACTATGGGTTTCTATTACCTTGCTAGGGCATTTGGAGGTACCATATATACCAACTATTAGTTTTGAGCCATGGTTCCCAAAGTGTGGACTGTAGGGCACCTCAGCACACTCACGAGGTGTCATGGGATATTTAAATATTCTGAAGAAAACACAGTGACATCTGTCAGGCCCGTGAAAACCGTTGGCATTAAATTGTCTCAACCCAATTGCTTAAGAAGCAGAACTGGCCAGGCACGGTGGCTCACATCTGTAATCCCAGCACTTTGGGAGGCCGAGGCGGGCAGATCACGAGGTCAGGAGTTCGAGACCAGCCTGACCAACATAGTGAAACCCCGTCTCTACTAAAAATATAAAAATTAGCCATGCATGGTGGCATGCACCTGTAACCCCAGCTACTCAGGAGGCTGAGGCAGGAGAATTGCTTGAACCTGGGAAGCGGAGGTTGTAGTGAGCCAAAATCGTGCCACTGCACTCCAGCTTGGGTGATAGTGAGACTACATCTCAAAAAAAAAAAAATGAGAGAGAGAGAGAGAAGCAGAACCATCAGGTGTTTCTTTTGGCTTAAAGTACTCGGTGAAGAAATTCCTGGGACACGAAGGATACCATGAACTGAGAGATTTTGGGAACCTCTGCTTTAGAAGCTGGAGGTAGCATTCCTTGGGCACAGTACTGCCTTGGGATCAGCAAATCCTTTTGATGGTGCATTTAGGTGTGGCAAGACAGCTCTTAGAGTGGGACCGGGATGTGCTTGGAGACAGAGGGAACTAGATTGAGCTGCCCGATAAAGACATGCCAGCCTGGCAGAGTGTAGTGACTCATGTCTGTAATCCTAGTGCTTTGGGAGGCTGAAGTGGGAGGATTGCTTGAGGCCAGGGGTTTGAGATCAGCCTGGGAAACAACAAGACCTCTACAAAAAAAAAAAGAAAAAAAAAAATTAACCACATGTGGTGGCATGCACCTGTAGTCCCAGCTACCTGGCAGGCTGAGGTAGGAGGATCACTTGAGCCCAGGAAGGTAAGGATACATTGAGCCATGACTGTGCCACTGCACTCTAGCCTGGGTGACAGAAAGAGACTCTGTCTCAGAAATAAATTAAATAACTAAATAAATATATAGTGGCCATGACATCCCTAGAAAGACAAGGTCCTGGGAATAGGTAGAAGCCAAGGGAAATGAGAAATGAGAGGGGGCCCTGGAGCTGGAACTGGGGGAGCAGGATGGCCTCTGAGAAGTTCCTGATAGTGGTGTCACTGATGTGTCTGATGTTTAGTTGTAATTATTTGCTGGGCCCCTGTCATCCCTCATATCTGATAGCTCTTTGCTAGTCAAAGTGTGGTCTGGGGATCAGCGGCATCAGCATCACTTGAGAACTTGTTAGAGATGCAGAATCTAGAGCCCTACCCGGGACCCAGAAACAGAGCCTGCATTTTAACAAGCTCCCCAGGTGATTCTCACACACACTCGCATTTGAGAAGCACTGGGCTAGTTGACAGATTCTCAGGCATGGCTGACATTGAAATATCCAGGGAGCAGGCTTGGCATTAGGATGTTTAAAAGTCCTCCAGGTGTTTCTAAAGCCAGGTTTGAGGAATTACTGGGCTGATACAAATGTTTTGTGATGATGCTTTGTGTGTGTGTGTGTGTGTGTGTGTGTGTGTGTGTGTTGGGAGTTCTGGGTCAGTTGGCACCAACACAGGAAACAATTGAAATATGTGAGCCATGACAGAAAGGTCAGGAGATAAAAGAAATTAGTGACATGAGAGGTACTCCTCAGGTGTTAGGAAATAGGGTAGAGCAAACCAGGTTTTCCACCATATGTTGGATAGGGGTTCAAGTAAATTTCTACTTAAAAATTACAAACAGGGGCTGGGCGCGGTGGCTCATGCCTGTAATCCCACACTTTGGGAGGCTGAGGAGGGCGGATCACAAGGTCAAGAGATTGAGACCATCCTGGCCAACACGGTGAAACCGTGTCTCCACTAAAAATACAAAAATTAGCTGGGCATGGTGGTGCGTGCCTTTATTCCCAGCTACTCGGGAGGCTGAGGCAGGAGAATCGCTTGAACCTGGGAGGTGGAGGTTGCAGTGGGCCGAGATCGCACCACTGCAATCCAGAGCGAGACTGTGTCAAAAAAAAAAAAAAAAGAAAATTCCAAACAGGATGACCCTAAGCCTGCAGGACTTGGAGACATCTAGGTGACTGATACTCAGTCACAAAACATAATTGGTCACAGGCCTGATGAAATGCACAGCAGACCTTCAGATGGTATGCACTCAAGTGATATCCACAAGTCCACCTAAAGAAATGCTATATTCAAACATTTGGCATCAATCTCTATCAAACAAAGATAGTCCAAAGCAATGGGTTCCAAAAACACTTTCCTAAGACAAATTCTCTATTTGCTTTTAATATCAGTCATCCCAGCCCTTGGAATAGAGGAGCAAATGATACCAGTGGTACCCTACCACAATGCACCAAGGTATTATACTCTCATGCTCCATTTTCTCCCTCTGTCTACATCACTAATAACTCATTGATTTCTGGTGCAAGCCCTCCTGGGAGAAAAAGTCTACTCTTGTACCTTGGAGCAAGTTGTTCAGAGTAGGTATCGAGGATAAAATTTGGAAAGTTAGAAAAGCTATTAGAAGGAGATCCTAGTAGTTGAAAACACAGCCTGGCCAAGTCAATGATGCTATTTCATCTCCCCAGCCTTGCATGTCCATAGCTAAGGAAGACAATTTAGGCTTGGGCTAGAGGATGGGAAAGGGCAAAATTACTGATGCCACAGCCCAGAGAGGTATTCTAGTAATCTGAGGGTGAGGACCACATACCTGGTTCAGGGACGTACAGTGTTGACAGCTGTGAGTGGATGCCTGGAGTTCTGGCATGTCTTCTAGCACAATGATACCTGAGACTCTTGCATCATTGGGAATAATAAAATGGGAGTGGATAGATATGAAATTATGATGGCAATAAGCAATCAGCTAATAGCTTCATTGATGGGACAGATTAAAGATGGCTGCAGATCCTTTGGTCCAGGGTTGGGATACAGGCAGCATTTGTATTGGAATGCTGATAGTCTGAGGCCATGAAAAGTCCACCTGCAGTAGTGGTAGGAGGAACAAGCCTCACTTTCTTCAATGTGTGTGACTGCTGTCTTGATTCCCTGGGTGGCCAGTTCCATTCGTGTGGTTCTTTGGTCCACTTGACTCTGGGGTGGCTCTGTGATGGCTTGACCAATAGAATGTAGTGGAAATGATGCTGTAATCATTTCCAGCCTCTTCCAGCCTTAAGGAACTGGCAACTTTTATTTCTGTCCCTTGGAATACTTGTTCTTGCAACCCATCCATCATACAGTGAGAAATTCTAAGCTGCCCCCTTAAGAGGCCCACATGGTGATAAATTGGGGTCTTACATACAGCCCTAGCTGTGCTCCTAGCTGACAAACAGTAGCAACTTGTCACCAGGCGAGTGAACCACTTAGTACTGTATACTCCAGCCCCAGTTGAGCAATGTGGAACAGAGTAAACCATCTCAGCTTAGCCCTGCCCAAACTGCAGAATTATGAGCAAAATAATCCACTAGGCTTTGGGCTGATTTGTTCCAGATTACTGGAACAGAATTTGGTACCAGGGGTGAGGTGCTACAGCAATGAAAGCTTAAGACACGTGACTTTGGTTTTGGGTCTGAGTGGCAGGGGAGCTTGGCAGGCCTCAAGGAAACTTTTAGGGAGGGTTGAAGCATAGTGAGGAAAACAGTAGGGGAAGCTAGAGGAAAAAATGATGCTTGGTATGTAGTGGTGGGAAGTTTAGCAAAACTCGCCTGATGTAATGTGGGAAATTGTAAGAACTCAGAACGATTTAAGGGCATGTTTTATAGGTCCTTTAAGAAACTTCTAGCCCGGGCGCAGTGGCTCACGTCTGTAATCCCAGCACTTTGGGAGGCTGAGGTGGGCGGATCACAAGGTCAGGAGATCGAGACAATCCTGGCTAACATTGTGAAACCCCGTCTCTACTAAAACTACAAAAAAAAATTAGCCGGGCATGGTGGCGGGTGCCTGTAGTCCCAGCTACTAGGGAGGCTGAGGCAGAAGAATGGCGTGAACCCGGGATGTGGATCTTGAAGTGAGCCCAGATTGTGCCACTGCACTCCAGCCTGGGCAACAGAGTGAGACTCCGTCTCAAAAAAAAAAAAAAAAAAAAAAAAAAAAAGAAACTTCTAGGGCTGGTCCCATGGAAGCCTCACACATGGTACACAAAGGCTGTCTTGAAAAGAAACGTAAGTGTGTTTTTTGGTTTAATAAAATTGATTATAAATGGATAATGCAAAACATTTTAAAGAATTTTACTAGCTTACATTAGCAGATTTGGATCCAGTGATTGTTACATTCTGGTACTGAGCCCCTGAATTACTTCTTTGAGTAAGGCATTATACCAAAGCTATTGATAGTTGGGCTTATAGGGTGTATGTTTGAAGAACTACTAATGTCAAAACCAATATTTCACGGTCGACAAGAGGACATCAGAACTGGTAATCCTTATTACCATGACTGGCTGGACAGAATACTCAATGTAATGGGATTTCCTGCAAATAAAGACGGGGAAGATATAAAAAAGATGCCTGAACATTCAACATTAATGAAAGATTTCAGAAGAAATATGTATACTAACTGCAGCCTTATCAAGTATATGGAAAAACACAAAGTTAAACCAGATAGTAAAGCATTCCACTTGCTTCAGAAGTTTCTTACTATGGACCCAATAAAGTGAATTACCTGAGAACGGGGTCCCTGTTTCTTCGAAGACCCACTTCCTACGTCAGACGTTTTCACCAGTTGTCAAATCCCCTACCCAAAATGAGAATTTTTAACAGAAGAAGAACCTGATGACAAAGGAGCCAAAAAGAACCACCACCGGCAGCAGGGCCATAACCACACGAATGGAACTGGCCACCCAGGAATCAAGACAACGGTCACACACAGGGACCCCCGTTGAAGAAAGTGAGGCTTGTTCCTCCTACCACTACCTCAGGTGGACTTTTCACGGCCTCAGACTATCCGCGTTCCAATCCACATGCTGCCTATATCCCAACCCTGGACCAAGCACATCCCAGCCGAAGAGCAGTGTAGGATACTCAGCTACCTCCCAGCAGGCTCCACAGGACCCACGTCAGACACACGGGTACTGAGCTGCATCGGAATCTTGTCCGTGCACTGTTGTGAATGCTGCAGGGCTGACTGTGCAGCTCTCCGTGGGAACCTGGTATGGGCCATGAGAATGTACTGTACAACCACACCTGCCCAGTAGCCAAGTTCCTTCCACCGCTTTTCACAGATCGGGGTAGTGGCTTCCAGTTTGTACCTATTTTGGAGTTAGACCTGAAAAGAAAGCGCTAGCACAGTTTGTGTTGTGGATTTGCTACTTTCATAGTTAACTTGACCTGGTTCAGACTGACCAGTACTTTTTTTTCCGTGACAGTCTATAGCAGTTGAAGCTGAGAATGTGCTAGGGGCAAGCGTTTGTCTTCATATGTCATGAATTCCTCCAGTGTAACAACATTATCTGACCAATAGTACACACACAGACACAAGGTTTAACTGGTACTTGAAAACATACAGTAGGTGTTAACTCAGTGAAATAACCAGGACTCAAAGTGAGATTATTTTGGTACACCTTTCTTGTTAGTGTCTTATCAGTGAGTTGATTCATTTTCTACATTAATCAGTGTTTTCTGACCAAGAATATTGCTTGGATTTTTCTGAAAGTACAAAAAGCCACATAGTTTTTTTCAGAAAGGTTTCAAAACTCCTAAAGATTAATTTCCAAGTATAAGTTTGTTTTTATTTTCAATCTATGACTTGACTGGTATTAAAGCTGCTATTTGATAGTAATTAGATATATTCTCATTGATATAAACCTGTTTGGTTCAGCAAACAAACTAAAATGATTGTCACAGACAATGCTTTATTTTTCCTGTTGGTGTTGCTTGTGGGAAAAAGAAAGAGAGATCAGATTGTTACTGTGTCTGTGTAGAAAGAAGTAGACATAGGAGACTCCATTTTGTTCTGTACTAAGAAAAATTTTTCTGCCTTGAGATGCTGTTAATCTATATAACCTTACCCCCAACCCTGTGCTCTCTGAAACATGTGCTGTGTCCACTCAGGGTTAAATGGATTAAGGGCGGTGCAAGATGTGCTTTGTTAAACAGATGCTTGAAGGCAGCATGCTCGTAAGAGTCATCACCACTCCCTAATCTCAAGTACCCAGGGACACAAACACTGCTGAAGGCCGCAGGGACCTCTGCCTAGGAAAGCCAGGTATTGTCCAAGGTTTCTCCCCATGTGATAGTCTGAAATATGGCCTCGTGGGAGGGGAAAGACCTGACCGTCCCCCAGCCCGACACCCGTAAAGGGTCTGTGCTGAGGAGGATTAGTATACGAGGAAGGAACGCCTCTTTGCAGTTGAGACAAGAGGAAGGCATCTGTCTTCTGCCCGTCCCTGGGCAATGGAATGTCTCGGTATAAAACCCGATTTTATGTTCCATCTACTGAGATAGGGGAAAACCACCTTAGGGCTGGAGGTGGGACATGCGGCAGCAATACTGCTCTTTAAGACATTGAGATGTTTATGTGTATGCATATCTAAAGCACAGCACTTAATTCTTTACCTTGTCTATGTTGCAGAGACCTTTGTTCACGTGTTTATCTGCTGACCTTCTCTCCACTATTATCCTATGACCCTGCCACATCCCCCTCTCCGAGAAACACCCAAGAATGATCAATAAATACTAAGGGAACTCAGAGGCCGGCGGGATCCTCCATATACTGAACGCTTGTCCCCTGGGCCCCCTTATTTCTTTCTCTATACTTGGTCTCTGTGTCTTTTTCTTTTCCAAGTCTCTCGTTCCACCTAATGAGAAACACCCACAGGTGTAAAGGGGCAACCCACCCCTTCATTGCTGATTTGTGAGCGTGCTTTAAGGTGAAAAAAGCATGAATGTTAACTTCCTTAAAAAGGTACAGCATCCAATTCAAATATTTTTGTCCTGATTTTAATGCTAGTTGATGTAGTGCTATTAAAATTTTGTTCAACATGGACACAGAGAGGGGAACAACACATACCAGGGCCTGTTGCGGGGTGGGGATGAGGGGAGGGAACTTAGAGGACAGGTGAACAGGTGCAGCAGATCACCATGGCCCACATATACCTATTTAACAAACCTGCACGTTCTGCACACGTATCCCATTTCTTTTTTTTTTTAAGAAATAGAAAAAAAAATAAAATTTTGTTCACTGATTCTTCCATTTTAAAACTTGTTTGCATGTGGTTTAGGATGCCCTTACTTCAGCAAAGGAGAAGGAATAGGAGGGCCTTAGAATTTTTGAGGGAAAAAAACCCTATAACATACATTGTACTGTATCAAACTATTTTACATGAATGACACAAGTATTCTGAATAAAAAAATAATTGAACATTGTTAAGAACAAGGTGTCATGTAATTTATTTTTCATAAATAAAAAAATTATAGTGGCTTAGACTGAAAGGAACAGAGAATTTAAAAAATTAAAAAGAAGCCTTAGTATATTATTCTATATATTTTATATGTGCCATATTTGCCATAATTGGATGAGGCTTTTGGGACCCTTGGGAGGTTGTGAGTATATTTTGCATAATGGAGGAATAGAAATAGTTTGTACCCAAAAGACAGATTGTGATAGATGCAAATTTGTTGACACTTATCCCATTGAGAGATGTCCTCTATATGTTCTCCTCTTGAATTGGTGCAGGTTCTGTGACTGATCAATAGAACATGGCAGAAATGAAGCTTTTGCCAGTTTCTGGGCCAACGTCTTAAGAGACTGTGAACTTTCAATATTCCTCCACTCTTCTGTAGGTTGTGATACTTGCTCTTGGAATCCAGCTGCCATTCTGTAAAGAAGCCCATGCAGCCCGAGAAGGGGCCATAGGAAGAGGAATTGGGGCCCTTGGTCAACAGCTCCCTGTCAATTGTAAGCACCAATTTGCTGGCCACTTCAGGGAGCCATCTTCTGTGTGACCCTCCAGTCTCAGTTATACTTCCTGACACTGCGGGAACGGAGACGAGATGTCCTCATTGAGCCCTGCCCTGCCCAAACCACAGATCTTGAACAAAATACACGAGTGCTTTTTTTTTTTTTTTTTTTTGAGACGGAGTCTCACTGTGTCACCCAGGCTGGAGTGCAGTGGCATGATCTTGAGTCACTGCAACCTCCACCTTCCGGGTTCAAGTGATTCTCTTGCCTCAGCCTCCGGAGTATCTGGAATTAAAGGCATGAGTCACCGCGCTCGACCACGAGTGCTGTTTTCAGCTACTGTTTTGGGATGGTTAGAAATGCAACAGTAGATAGCAGAGATATTTTGATTTTTGTAATTTTTTGCTGTAACCGTCTTCTACTACATTAAATTATCTAAAACATGTGAAGGAGGTAGAAAAAGATGAGGTGGCTGCACATCCACTTCTACAACAAGGTGACCACAGAAAGTAGCCATGAGTGAGAGGGAAGGGGCAAAGACTAGGTTAAGTCAGGGAGTGAAGTTGGGCTCAGGGAAGACTTCTGCTCTTTTTCATTCTTCTTAACAATCAGGGAGTCCAGGCAGAAGTGGCCTGTCCCATCTCTTCTTCCAGGTGCTCATTTAGACTCAGTTAACATCTCTCCCCACCTCCTCCCTGTACCCCTCTTCTTTAACACACGAAGGACCTTCTGGAGACTTCTCTCAACTAAGCCCCACCAAGGGCTTACTTCTGTCTATGGCCCCTTGGCTACTTGATGATTTCATGTTCTTTATTTTTTTTGGGCAAATATTCCTTAATGTTTTTAATTTTTAATTTGTTAGGATCATTATGTTTCATAATGCCAAAAACAGATGGTCAACTTAGGGAAAAAACGTATAAAGCACTTAGGAACATATGTAACAATGAGTACTATGATGCATATTGACTGAGCACATAATACATGTTAGGTACTCTCTCTCTCTCTGTGTATTGCACTTAACTCTTACAACAACCCCAGCACACAGATAAAGGAACAGGGGCTTTGAGGCTGAGCAAATTGCCCAAGGTCCCATGGCTGATAAGTGGGAGAGAGGCTGTAGTTTTCTGTCCCAAAGGCCATGGTCCTAACTATTATACTATGCATCATCTTAAGCACTATGAATGTTTAATGTCTGTCCTTCCTGTCTTTTATGTGTGTGTATTTATAAATATAGAGGCATGCATGGAAAAATTCATTTATAACCTATTTTTGTCACTAACAGTATATCTCCAATGCCTTTCTGTCACAAGATAGCCTTCTACAGATCATTTTTAACAGCTGCATGACGTTCTATTGAATGTGTAATGATATGCAGAAAACCTCATGCTCTTTTCAGCCATTACAGGAGTTTTTAGTAAGGGGAGACCCACCTTTGTTAGGAGAACTTCTTGTTAGTCTTCCCTGGGGATTGGGACTCCTCAAATTGTACCAAAATAACAAAATATGGTCATTAAAATGTGTTTGAAAGAGTTTGTCCTGTTTATTATCCTGGCCTTTGTTTTGGTGAAGTCTGATGTAGGTAAGGAATAAAGATTGGGCAGGAGTGGGGGAGGAGGGCTGAGTAAAATAGTTTTCAATAAGGAGGGATGAGACTGGAGCTAGTCAAGTTTTGGTTGGAAGTAAGGAGTGGGTGATGGAGGAAGGAGGAGCAAGGGAGGGAGAGGAGAAGAGAAAGGAGGGGAAGGGAGAAGAAGCCATCCAGGATCTAGTGGTTTCCTGACTAGACTGAGGCATGGAAAAAAGGGACAAGTGACTGATGGGGTCATAAGTTGTTTTCTGTGGGGCTACACTGTAAACCCTCTCCACTTCTCCTACAAGTCTCCAGCATCTTCTATATTGCTAAGATGTATTTGAGTCCAAGAGGTCCCTCTTTGGCATGGGAAGTTCGAAGGTGAGGAAAGAGGACAGCTTCCATGTGGGTTATATATGGACGTGCTGCAATTCATTGAAGAGATTTCATATTGTTGGACATTAGGTACACCCTGTAAGCTCAGCAGTGAGGTGAATATTTCTTTAGAATATAGCCTCTAAAGAGGATTCTAGGTTAAAGAGTAGGCACAGGACAAGGCTTTTAGTATATTTGAAAACTTTAGAAATGGAAATGTTTTTGGGGGGCGAGTTGTCTTAATATTTCATTTTTCTAGCTTGTGTGACATCCTTTTGAAAGCAGCAATTCTGGCCTTTGTGAGAGATGGTGAATGCCTGCAGGTATGTGGACCAGTGCGTCCCTTCCTTCCTACATGCACGGCCCCAGCTGGGCCCAGCAGAGTGCTGTTACAGAATAATTTCCAAGGGCTGTGTCTCTAACCTTTGGTCTTGTCCCCCATTGCTGTAGATTTGGCCAATTGACTTCATAAGTGCCTCTTATGAACATAGATGTTGGCAATGGAAGTTGAGGACCAGTCAGTGGTTGTTTTATTGAACACACAGCGTAAATCCCAACACAATGCTGACCTAAGAGAATTCCAGCCACTCTGATTCTCAGTCTCTTTATATCTGAAAGGGTTCTGTTCCACTTTTTCCCAGATCAAAATGTCCCTGCAGCTACTCAGCAGAGCTGTCGCAACTTATACGTAGAAGAGGTAACAGTCCACAAACAGAAAGGCACAGGACGAGAGTGGTCTGGGTGATGCTTCCTGTGGGGGAAAAGGTGATGAGGGTGCATCTGCACACCTATGTTCATAGGTAAGTCTGGGAGGAGGTGACCTCCCCTTTGGTTGAGGTGCTGAGGCGTCTTGTTAGAATGGCACTATTCCATTTATCTGATGCAGTCTGTGGGAATTTTGTGGTATGGCCACCACAGGTACCATGCTGGGAACAATGCCAGATACTGCCTGCTAAGCCACAGCATGAGTCACATGAGCATTTGTGGGCTTTGGGAACTAAAGTTATTGAACGATAGTTATCTGAAAAGGAATTTAGGGAAAGGGGACTTTAGTCCAGCGAACAGTTTGCAAACCAGGGGGAGGCAGCCTTCAGCGTAAAATGAAGACGTGTGTGCCCCAAATAACAAAGGGAGAGTTTGTCTTTTAGAGAGTAAGTTTCCACCCAGGTTCCACTTAGGCAAATGAAAGATGCAAACTTGCTTAGTTCTGATTTGTTTACATTTGCTGAATTCGGATTGGTCCGTGCAGGCTTTTCTGGGAACTCCAAATACATGTATGACCTCTAGTCATACATGGCAAATGGCCGCTTGGCTCTAATTTGAATTTAGGCCCAGTTAGTCACTCAGGATTAACCTTTTTCAGGGTTCACAGCTCTGAACAATGGACTTAGACCTGCAGGACATAGTCTGTTCCTAACTCTGGGACTACCTGTGCCTTTTGACTGTGCCCAGTGAGCAGCTGTGGCTCTGGGCCCAGACCCACAGGGCGATAAGGCACAGAGGTACGCATGGAGCAGGCTGTCCTTGCTGAGTGATCATGAAGATACACTTACATAGAGCAGCACTTTTCCTTCCAGTCTTTGTGATTTAACTCATTAGATCCTTATAACAAGAGTCAGTCCTCTATTTAACCCATGAAGCACAGGTGGAGTCCAAGCTTAGTTTGTGAAGGATGAGCCAAAAGGATTCTTCTCTTGTAGACCTCAAGCTCAGCTCTCTCCATGGGCCCTGGAGTAGGTGAGAAGGCCTCTGTCTTCCAGAGCCCACTGCCAATCATCTACATTTTCTGTTAGCCCAATTCTAGGACATTGCTTTACCAACTGAAGGGTGAGAACTATCATAAGTTATAAAAATCAATTGAAAAACAAAAAGGTACAGAACAGAAAATAAAAGATGAGAATCTATTAAACATAGTGATGTTACTGGAAAAGGGGGTCTCAAACCAGACCCCAAGAGAGAGTCCTTGGATTTCACACAGGAAAGAACTCAAGGTGAGTTGCAGGGTGCGGTGAATTGAGAGAGTTTATTGAAAGCTATTCCATTACAAAGTAGAGCATCCTCAGACAGCAAGTGGAGGAACATGCCATCATTAAATTTTTCTTATATAGGAATCTTGTCTATATAAAGACTAAACTAAGCTGTGGCTATGTGTGGGTGGGCCGACAGCATGAAAACATTTATTCTCCTATTGATTTAAAGAGAACTATCCTTGACATTTTAGTGTGTTTAAGTACATCAAAGCATAACTATAATTATCTTGAAAGCATATATTTTTATAGGGATTGGGACATCTGGGCTTTCTGTTGTTGTAGAAGTTTGTCCTTGCAGGGATTACCAAGCCACTTCCTTAGCTGTAAACATCTTAGGGCCATGGGTCCTGACTGGCAAGGAATGTGTCTTGCTAGTTTTAAGATGGGCTTGATTTGAAAATGGTGTCCATCTGGCTCTCCTAGGCTCCTGCTTTCCTAACAGTAAGGGTAAATGCTATGTTATGAAATGTCATTTCTGCCTTTAGCTTGCAAACTCTTGATGGTGAAATTCTCCTGTCCGTTTTCAGTGGGGTATTTATTCTGCATCCACGTCTTCACAAGGAGCTGAAAACAAATTGGATGGAAGCAACTGGGTTTTATGGGACACGTTAATGTTTTAATGTCATTTGGTGTGGAATTCAGATGTCCAAGCAACATTTTACACTACAAATCTGCAACTTTAATAATCACTCAAAGTACCTGAACCTCAATGCTTTCAGACAGACTTGGTATAAAGCCACCACCTCTTTCTATTATGGCAGCCCTATCCTGAGGACACAAATTTCTGCAGGGCTTCTGGCATATCTCTGATTAAACAAATGTCAACAAGGTTAAAACAAATGTCATCTCTGATTTGTTTGTTTTAAAGCCTGGATTTACTCATTGAATATTTCACTCCTACTAGCATGTCTTGTAGTAGTTTTCTTCAGGGACCCTAATTATTGCTATTAAAAATATGTGTGCAGCTACATGTTTTTTTTTTATCAATTTGCAATGAAAACTTTAATTGAATAATCTATTAGTGTTATTATTTGAAAGTGAAATCTTTTCCTTTTGCTTTCTTGTTCTCACACATAGTGCAGACAGTTTCCACACGGGCTCATAAAAGGAATGATTCTGCCTTGTGTGAACTTTTTGCCTTTATTGTTAATTGCACCATTTTGTGACTGGCTTCTTGACCCTGTTGTAACCAAGCTCATAATGTACATTATTTCTTATTTTGCAGTTGTAGACACTTGAGGAAGTTCCCATTCTTTGTTTCTTCTTGCTTTTGTTCCCTGTGATAACTTTTTCATGCAGACATTTTTTTTTTTTTTTTTTTTGAGACCGAGTCTTGCTCTGTCATCCAGGCTGGAGTGCAGTGGCATGATCTTGGCTCACTGCAACCTCTGCCTCCCAGGTTCAAGAGATTCTCCTGCTTCAGCCTTTCTAGTAGCTAGGATTGCAGGCGTGCACTACCACACCCAGCTAAATTTTTCAAATTAGCCACCCCACCTGGCTAATTTTTGTATTTTTAGTAGAGACAGGGTTTCAACCATGTTGGCCAGGCTGGTCTCGACCAGGTGATCCACCCGCCTTAGCCTCGCATAGTTGCAGGTGCTATTCTGAGCTCAGGGCTCTGGCAGCTACAAGCCCAAGATGCGGTCTCCAACATGTGGCCATTCAATGTCATGGCGCCCTCTACTGGTCCTGGGAAGCGCAGCTCTGCCAGTAGCTCCAGCAGGGCACAGCTGTTAAGTCGTGATGTTCTACAGGTGACCAAAGGGCAATCTCTGGACTCCTTAGCCGCTAGGTCCTCTCTGTAGCAGGACCCAGGAGAAGGCAGGGGCTGAGGATGGCTCTCTTAGACATTTGTGATGAACCAAACGTGTGCATTCATGAAACTTCTGTGAGCAAGCAGGTGAGTAGAGTTGGGTTATAAAAAGTCTTAGGGTCTCACTACAGAGATGGACTTGCTGTGTAGATGGTGCAGAGCCGCTGAAGAGTTCTACTTGGGGTAATGGTGTGATTGGGTTTGCGTTTTAGGAAGATTTCTTGGCCAGAATGAGGCGGGCAACCCAGAGCAGGGAGTGGCCAGAGGTGGGTGTGCAGTTATGGGCCAGTAATCCAGGTGATAAATGGTGTCTCTGAGCTTCAGGTGGGGGTGCCACATGTCTCCATCTGCTCTGTACCCTTGAGACTGGCCTTATGGGCTGCCTTAGTGGTCTGTTGTCCTCTATCTCCTGGTTGGGCTCAGGCAATGGGAGATCAGAGGGAGGAAAGAGAGCTTGGTTAGAGTGCACCCGCGCCCCTTCAGGTTGGCAGTGGCCACATTCCCCTATACAGAAGGCCACAGTTTCTGTCAGTGGCCCTCCCACAGCCCCAGCTTTCTCAGTGGGCCAGCCACCTCCCCATCCCTTGCTCCTCCTCCTCCAGAGAGGGTTGTGGATTTCCACTGTCAGCAGTGCCTGGAGCTCCACCATCTCCTGCTGCTTCCTCTGGACCTGCCTGCAGTTTTATAAATAACCTTTCCTTACATTACCTCTAGCATGCACCTTTTGTGTGTATACTCTGCCCCCTGTCAGCACATGACTCATGCCAAAGAGTTTGAATTTTTTTCTCCAGGCAACGGGAGGTCATTGGAGGATTTTAGACATTGAGAACAGATGTGTATTGTGGAAATATCTGTCTGACTGAAGTGACCAGGATGGTCCAAAAGAGCGAGAATTTGAGGCAAGCAAACCATCAGCAGGCCAGCAGCAGAAATCCAGGTCATAAACAGGGAAGCTGAGGCTCACAGGGTTGGATCAGGGAATGGGAGAGGGAAGCCAAACAATTCCATGAGCATGTCAGTTGCACATATGACTTGGTAACTATTTTTATTTTTATTTTTATGTTTTGAGACAGAGTCTCGCTCTGTCACACAGGCCAGAGTGTAGTGGCATGATCACAGCTCTCTGCAACCTCTGCCTCCTAGGTTCAAACAATTCTCCTGCCTCAACCTTCCAGGTAGCTGGGACTACAGGTGCGCACCACTACACCCAACTAAGTTTTGTATTTTTAGTAGAGATGAGGTTTCACTGTGTTGGCCAGGCAAGTCTCAAACTCCTGACATCAGGTGATCCACCCACCTCGGCCTCCCAGAATGATGGGATTACAGATGTGAGCCACTGTGCCCAGCCGGTAGCTAATTTAAAAAAGCTGTAAATTTAATGTTTTGGGTTTTTTTCAGGCCACAAAATGATTGTTTCAAAAATGTCAATAGCATCAAAATGTTCTGCTTTTCCCTGTCTTAAACCACTCCCCAACATTTCCCACACAAGCTGGGCTAAGCCAGCTGGCCCTTTCATTGGTGTTAAACCTGGATCTTTCTGGAACCACTGTTAAATCACTTAGACTAGTCTAAGAGATATATGGTCACCAGCCTGTATAGTGTCATCAAAGTATAATGTGAGCCACCTACATGAGCCACATAGGTAATTTTAATTTTTTTTTGTACCTATGTTAACAAAAATGGAAAGAAATAGGTGAAGTTAATTTTTCAAATATATTTTATTTAACCTAATATTCAAATTATTATCACTTCAAAATGCAATACATATAACATTGTTGAGACATTTTGCATTCTTTTTTTGGTGCCAGGTATTTTTTATTCTTAAAATATTTAATTGACAAATAGATTATATATATTCAATGTGATGATTTGATTTGACAAGCATCTCATTTTCTCTACTCTCAGGCTCTGGCAACTACCATTCTACTCTGTTTCCATAAAATTAACATTTTCATATTTCATATGTAAGTGAGATTATGTGGTATTTGTCTTTCTGTGTCAGGCTTTGATTTTACTTAGCATAATGTCCTCCAGGTTTATCCAGGTTATCTCAGATGTCAGGATTTTGCTGAATAATATTCCATTGTATATATATAT